>NC_000004.12:57573169-57899575 GCF_000001405.40 Homo sapiens
GGGTCCTCATCTCAGATCCATTCATGATTGGGAACTATATCAAGAATTCAGAAGACCTAGCAAATAGTGCCAAAACTATCCAAGTATATCTATAATCTACAAGTCACAGTTGTTTTGAGAATCACTGAAATAAATACTTTGAGGATAGTGGTTTTGCCTCCAACCGGACATTTGACAATGTTTGGGCGGCATTTTTGATAATCATGATTTGTGGGGCAGTAAGCTAGTGGCTTCTAGTGGGTAGAAGTAAGTGGTGCTATTAAACATCCTATAATGCACGGTATAGCCTCCTACAACAAAGAATTACCTAGCCCAAAATTTCAAAGGTGCTGAGGTTGAGAAACCCTGAATTCGTTTATTAAACCTCTTCATGTTTCAAATTCAGTTTATTTTTAAACTATGTATTTCAAAAAGTTTGTGAGTTGTACTGTTCACTGAATTAATAGTTGGATGTTAATTGTAAGTTGGTGACCAAAGATGTCAATCTGGTTCAGGGGAGATTTTCACACAATCAAAGATTTCTTTGGCATTCAAGGGAGTAGAGCAGTTACCAAATTTACATTTCTATGCAGCAAAGAACAAAAATGAAAATATTAATGGAAACAACACAATAACAATATCAATAATGCAACAACTCACATACAGACACTTACACATACAAATAAGCACACAGCCATACACAGAAAAGTCAATGGAGTTGGAGTGAGACTTTCAGAGACAATGTGAAATTAGCTAGGGACATTTAAATCCTGGAGCAGATAGCATCTAACATTTATACTGCTAAAATTTCTGGATTTGTTATCAATATGAAATTGAGTTCCTCCAGGAATCTCTCTCTTCCCTAACTCTCTGAAGCCTCTTTTTAAAAGTCTTTTCACCATATTTTAATTTTCTATTTTTGTATCTCTCTCATTTTCTAGACATATTTAAGGGCAAATATCCTGTTTTACTCATTTTCTTATCAACAGCATTAATCGTGGAGCTTGATACATAGAAGACACTCAATAAATGTTTGAGGTAAAGAATGAATAAGTGAATGATTAACACCTCCCTGGGTTTATCCGTATTTATAGTGATATTTAAGGATACACACCAACTAAGGTAGGCATCACAGAATGCATTCAGTACCTACAAAATGGAATTGAAAATGCAAGGATAAATGGAAGCCCACTCTCAAATGACATAACAGGGTTGTGCGGGATTGGAAAACAATGTCAACAAAGTAAAAAACTTGATGTAAAGCAATCTAAAATGAAATTTAAACAAAGACTGAAGTAATTCCTGTTGTCTCAGAATCAGACAAACACCACTAGGCTCTGCAAATAGCAATGGCAACCCCAAAGCCAAGAACACACTTTGCTTATGTGTGTGCTGATGGTGTCTTTGGTTTATAATTGTGTGAGCCAACCAGCCTGGCTTCTCCCAGTCAGATTAACACAGCATCCAGCATATTGTACTTTCTATAAAACAGATATACATATTTAAATAACAGCATCACATCTCTAATGAACATATCATCTATTGCCACTATTTGTATGCTCAATTTAGGAAAAGCTGTAATGTCAACTTAGAAATAGAGAAATATACATCTGAGCGGAAACATTTTTTGTCTGTTTAAATAATTTTCAACCTTTTCCATTGATTTTTGAAATACTAATATTTTGTGCCTTCTTTAATGACAATGACATAATATATTCTCGCTTAAGATGCTGCCTTAGTTTCATCTGGAGATCTTTTCTTTGTCTTATAGATGAGGAAACTGAGCCTTAAAAAGGTGAAGAACTTGACCCCAGACATAACAACTAGAAAGTGACGAAACAGAGATTGAAGCCCAGGTCTTTCTGGCTCTGTATCTTGGCATTGTCTCCTGTGCCTAGTGTTTACCAAATTTCCAGTTTTTTGACAAACTTCTCCATATTGGGACTTTGCATTTTCCACTTTTAGTTATTTGTTGCAAAACATACTTGAATATAAAAGTTTCCATTTTAAATTAGAATAATTCAGAAATTACTCACACTATGCAACTCTGTACTATGCTCTATATAGTATAGAAGAAAGTCCTGTCTTTCCTAAGACAATTTTGTTTCTTTCATGAGTGTTTCGACAAATATACAGATATTTCATATGATAATCAACCAAAAGTATCTCCTTCAAATTCTTTTATTCTAAAATTGCAAGTAAAATATAGATATATTCTTGTAAAAGATTCAAATGACATAGAAAAAGCAAAGTCCTCTCCCATTTTTAGTCCCTTCCCCAGAAGCAGCCACCTGAGCCAGTTATTAATCTAGATTCCTCACCAACAAATCCACCTCCCCTTACTCTGCTTTTGATGTGCAGCTGGGCTGTGACTCCGCCAACAATATCCCCAGATTGCTTTACCAGATGGCTTCCTGGAAGTTTTTTTCCAGCAGGAAGTGGGAGGAGGGGAGAAAGGACTTCCCTGCTTTTTCCCATTCCTGTCAGTGTTAGTCTCACCAGTGGAATTTGCCCCGGTCTCTATGCCCTTTTGGCAACCCCAGGACCTTCCTTAGGGACTCCTCAGAAGTGCAGCTGAAACAGGTGGGGCTCCCTCCACAAATGTCTGAGCACACTCCTCTGGGGCCTCCTTTATATGTCTAGATTCCTGTAACCCTGCCTTTTCCTTTTTGTTTTCCCAGACCTAGGATGGTAGCTCTTTCCTGCAGTTATTTTCTCTGGTTTCCCTCAGTGTTTCTGCTGTGTTCTCTCAGTCCTCTAATTCTTGTGTTAAATCTCCTCTGTTTGCAATGTAATAAATTATTTTTCTGCATTTCTGACTGAACTCTGACATATATATCACCACGATCATATTGACTTACACCCCTACACATAGTTTTCTTTCTATTTTTATTTCCAATTTAATATTTTGTGATTTTTATAAATTGTTATTTCTGTATACAAAGAAAGTGAAGTGTGGTAATATTAGAAAAAAGTAACAAGTACAAAGCCGTGAAAGAGAAGATAATACTGCCACTGATAGATGCAGGCTTTCAGAAGAAGAAAAGTTAAATGGAGTTTCCAGGTCATAGTCTGACTTCATCTTCCTTGAGTTTCCAGGTACTCCTTCTGGGAAGGTAAGTGGACAAGGTCACGAATTAGTCCTGGGAGTTGTAGGCTCACCACAATGGGTAATCCAGGGTTGTATTGATCCAGCTACTGGTTATTTAGTATACAGTCAGGGGTTATGGGCTGCTCTGCGTTTTCTGATTTGAAGTTTACCTGAGCCAGCTTCTAGGTCTCCGAAGTGTGCCAAAGCAGAACTTCTTTGAGGGTGCCATGAATGTCCTCAGGTGATCCAGTCAGAAGGGAAGGAAGAAAAGGGCAGGAGCTTCACCAGCACATGGTCTATCAAGTCATCCTAGCGCATGGCCCATCAAGTCATCCTAGTAATGACTACACAATACTCAGTAACTTTTGCATGCACGCCTCGGACCTGGTCTGGGTACTCTCTAAGGCAGCTGTCTTCCTGGAGTCTTCATTCACCACCATCCTGGAATTCCTTTTGCTTCTCTCTTTGTTGAGGTTTCCATTTTCTACATCCCATAACTTCCTTTTTCTTGGATTATTCCCTCTGTTTAGTGGGGCATCCTTCAGTAGCTTCTCAAGAAACAGTGCATGAGAAGTAAATATTTCTGACATTGATTATCCAGTAATAATTTTATTCTACTCTCATATTTTATTGATAGTTTGTTCAAGATAGAAATATAGATTGGAAATAATTTTTCTTCATAATTTTGATGACATTTTTCCACTATTTTTTAGTGTCCAGTATTGCTGTGAGAGATCTGAGACATTCTGATTTCTATTCTTTTCATATGAGCTGTTTTTCCTCTCAGAAAGTGTGTGGAATCTTCTCTTTTCTTCCAATGTTCTGAAATTTTATATGTGCCTCAATGTAATCTATTTGTACAGATTGTGGGCCCTTTGAGTTTTGGAGACTCATGTCTTGAGTTCTGAAAAATGTTCTTGAATTATTTATTCAATGATTTCCTTTTTTCCATTTTTATCCAATTTCCTTTCCTGGAACTCTTATTAAAGTATATCTTTTTTTTTTCTAATTTTTAAATATTTTATGTTCTATTTTCCACTTTTTTTTTTAACTTTACTTCTGTGAGATTTTCCTCTGCTTTCTGAGTCATTCTTTCTTTTCCATCACCATCCTTGGCTATTTCTGAAAAGATCATTAAATACACCACTTCCTGTGCCTGAACAGCCTTCTCAGCTTGCTTCTTGCCTCTAGAAAGTTGAGGCCCTTGAGGTCCTTTTACATCTTGAACAGGCTCATGCACTTTTAGGGTAGGGTGTGGCTCTCTTGAATATTCAGCATTTATAATCATTCAAATGAATTTTTATGTATTTGATTCCATTTTATTATGCATGAAAAAACTACACCCACAATTATTTTGAAGACCTGCCTGTCTCTCTAGAGACAGGTTACAGGTTCTAGCATATCAGGCTTGTGTAGGATCATAGTCTTAAAGTCCATTGCCTATGGACTTTGAGTACTGTTTGAAAGTGTTCTAAAGCCATTGTGATTCCCAATACTTTACATACAAGTTTTCTTCTTTCTTCTCTAGAAGTTTGTGAAATCTCCTCTTTGTCTCCCATGTTCTACAAATGTGCTTTCCTGACTCTCTGCTAAGAATGAAGCTCCACAACAACTTTTCTGTGGGATTTACTTGGTTGTTCCATAGGCAGGTTAAACACCACTTGTCAAAAACACATCTTCCTCTCGTCTTTGACCAGAACCCTGCTCCTTTGCCTGTATTCCAGCTATTCTTTATTTCTACTGCCATCTATCATTTATCTGGGGCTAACACTAGGTCTCGTTCATAGCTTCTCTGTACCCTTCATTGCACATACTATTAGGACCATAATCTGATTATTTCTATGTTTGCCTACAAATTTATTGAGTTTTTGTCTCTTCTTGTTTAACTACTATAAGCTGTAAACTCCTCTCTTCTTGACTACTGTAACAACCTCCTCATGGATGATTCTGCTACATGACTTGGACTCTTAGCAAAGTTGCTGGTTATTCATCTAAATAGAACTCTGACCTTGGCCTCTGCTTATGAGCTTCAAACTTCTGACTGTTTACAAAGTGAAATAGAGGCTCCTCAACAAGACACTTGAGGTCTTCCGTGAACTGATTCCTACCTACTTAACTGTCTCAGTCTACTTAGGTGTGATGGTTAATATTAGGGGTCAACTTGATTGGATTGATGGATGCCTAGTTAGCTGGTATAGTATTGATCTGGGTGTGTCTGTGAGGGTGTTGCCAGAGGAGATTGACTTTGAGTCAGTGGCCTGGGAGAGGAAGGCCCTCCCTCGTTGTAGGTGGGCACCATCCAATCAGCTGCCAGTGTGGTTAGAAAAAAAGAGGCAGAAGAAAGTGGGATAACTTTGCTTGCTGAGTCTTCTGGCTCTGTTTTTCTTTTTTCCATGCTGGACACTTGCTTCCATTCCTCCTACCCATGGACATCGGGCTCCAAATTCTTCAGCCTTTGGACTCTGGGACTTGCACCAGCAGCTTCCAGGGGGCCCTCGGGCCTTTGGCCACAGACCGAAGGCTGCACTGTTGACTTCCCTGATCTTGAGGCTTTTGGACTTGGAGCCATTTCTTGCTTCTCTCTTCCCCAACTTGCAGATGGCCTATCATGGGATTTTGCCTTGGAATCATGTAAGCCAGTTCTTTCTACTGGACTCCCTTTCATATATACATATATCCTACTGGTTCTGTCCCTGTGGGGAACCCTAACTAATACATTAGGCTATAATCAAATACCAGAGACCGCGCAGCTTAAACAATAGACATTTACATCTCACTGTTTTAGAGGCCAAAAGTCTTAGATCAGGGTGCCAACAGGTCAAGTCCTGGTGAGGACTTGCTTCATGGTTTCCAGATGGCTACCCTCTTGCTGTCTCCTCATATGTCAGAGAAAATAAGCCCTGGTATTCCTTTCTCTCTTTATAGTTACACTGATCTCATCATGGGAGCTCCACCCTCATGACCTAATTATCTCCCAAAGGTCCCACCTCCTAATACCATTACACTGGGATTAGGGATTAGGGATTCAATATATGAATTTTGAAGGGATACAGATATTTAGTCCATAGCACTATCTCTTCCACTTTATGTCCTCCAGCTTCATGCTTATCATGCATTATAATTTACACTTAGGAAATTTGCAGCCATGCGTTTGTCTCAACAAACGTCATACTGTTCCATACTTTGTATATTTGTTGATATTTTTTCTTCTGCCTTGGATGCCCACCCTCCCATTCATCACATGCATGTTCTCAGAATTGAGCTCAGGCATTTCTCTCGGAAGCTTATTCTCAAGCCCCAAATTGGATCAATTTTCTTTTTCCTTTGATCCCTTAGTACCCCGTACACCTGTAGCTCAGCAAAGGCCCTAATATATTGCCTCTAACTGTATGTGATGTTCTTCTCATCTAGATTGTAAGCTCCTCAAGTACAGAGATTATATTGTTTATGTTTCTATACCTAGTCATTCAGTGTCTGGCTCATGGCAGACACTCAAAAAAGATTGTTACTAAACCAACTAAATATATTATTTTACTCATGTTGTTAATTTATGTTAACTACACCAAACTTTTTGAACATGTTGCTGGTATCTGTGCCTGTAGTTTATTTTCATTTTCTGTGTTGAGACACTTCATGTCCATGTTATAAATTCAAAACAGTTTTGACATCAACACTTTTTTTATAGTCTCAACTTCACATTTATAGCATGCATAAATTTATATAGAGAGACTAACGGGTCCCATTGCAGACATTAGAAAATTGTACTTAGGCTTTAGTAGTAGGGCATTACCCCAGTGGATTCTCAAATATTTGCTGATGGCTCAGTGAGAAGAGCTTAGATATGGCGGGCGGGGGGCGGGTACAGTATTGTGTCAAAGGTTAGTTGCTGATGTCAAGGCTAAATTGTGAAGCTTCTGGAATGTCTGTATTATTTATACCCTATAGAGCTGGTTTTGGAGAAGTGAAATATTAGGCATCAATAGTTCTTAACGTAGATCTCCGAAGAGATGATAGCAAGCGAGAGGCCCTCTTCTGGCAAGAGTGAAAGGAAAGTGAATCGTTTCAGAAAGCAAGTAATGTGTGGAAAATGCTTTTTCAACCTGAAGGTGATGCACAATTTTTTACTCTTGAAATCACTATGATTGTTCCTAGGGCCAGTCTGAAAGTTGATTGCCTGTATCAGCTCTACCAAATTACTAGGCCTTCCATATTCTCCCACGACTCAAGACCAACAAATTTCATATGCCATTTTTCATGGACTCTAGCAGCGATTGTTTCTGGCTAAAAGGTAACTTTGTCTCATATTCCTCTCCCTTCATCCTATTTTTGAACAGACCCCGCTATCTCTCTATAAGTGTAACTGAGGCCTGGCCAAAGTTAGTTCTGGTCAGAGTAACCTTTTCAGTGAGGATCCAAGTAGAGCCAATCAAAGAATCCTTCCCTGGGATTTGTATATGGATGGTGTAGAGGGACAGTATCTTTTCAGTGGGTTTTTAAAGTAGGGCTTTTTGAGTTGCTCCTGGACAAATTTCTTGGTTGCAGTGAGGAAATATACTGATCATTTTGTGATAACATAGAATTAGAATAATACACAAAGAAAATCAAGGCTGAGAGATAGGGCAGGTGAGAGAGAACATCAGGTGTATTACTCAATTCCACTGTGTCTGAATCTAGTAACCTCTGAACTCATCAGGTCCATTAACTAATTCAGTGTTTGTTGCTTATACTATTTCTAGTTGTTTCTCTTCCCTTTAACCTGAACATGTACTCACAAACATACCAGTCTTTTCTAGGATGTTTTGGCCACCAATCCCCCTTACCTCATTCTTTTTTCTTGGAAAAAGCATTTTCCACATATTGCTTGCTTTCTAAAATGATTAACTTTCCTTTCACTCTTGCCAGAAGATGGCCTCTTGCCTGCTGTCATCCCTTTGGAGATCTACATTAAGAACTATTGATATCTAATATTTCACTTCTCCAAAACCAGCTCTATAGGGTATAAATAATACAGACATCCCAGAAGCTTCACAATTTAGCCTTGACATCAGCAACTACCCTTTGACACAATACTCTACCTGCCCCCCATATCTAAACTCTTCTCACTGAGCCATCAGTAAATATTTGAGAATCTACTGGGGTAATTCCCTACTACTGAAGCCTAAGTACTATTTCATTTCCTAATCACATGACAGTTTGGTGGTTAAATATAGGTGCACTGAAGACAAATGAGTTTGAGTTTGAATCTTGGTTCCTCTACTTACTAGCTGTGTACTCTTAGGCAAGTTATTTAACCTCTTTGAGCTTATTTCTATAGAAATAAAATGAGGGAATTAGTTGTATCCACTTTTTGGGGATTTTGTGAGGATTAAATGAGCTAGCTCATGTGAAGTGTTTAGAACAGAGCCTGACACCAGGTACCTGTAGAGGAGGTGTCAGCTATTTTAAAATAGTGCTCTGAAGAAGAAGAAAAATCAAAATATTTGTGTTGTCTTTATTGTCTATTTAAAATTATTTTATTTTGAGGGATAAAGACCTTACCTTCTTGGTTTGCATCAATTATGCACCTAGCATAGTCTCATGTTCATGGTAAGCATCTCGCTGGCTTACCTGTTTCCACTTCACACTGTCAGTAGAAACCTGTCATTCTTAGTTTTATTGCTGAATTTCCTGCCTTGATTTATTTCTTGGTGCGCTTAACTTCACTTTTGACCTCAATATTTTCTGTTTGACTCAAGGCTGTCATTTGACTGTCCTTTTTCTCTTCTTGACTATAATTTTTATTCTGCTTTTTGTGAAGTTACTTCAACTCACCACCCCTGTCACAAAACCCGTTATGAGAGAAGCTCCTATTAGCTTTAGCCAAGCCCTGCGAGCAAGGTTAGAACAGCATTTGGTGAGTATTTATGGTTAAGAAATTACGGAACATACCCAAAGAGTAGTATTCTAAGCTCATAGTGAAAGGAAGTTGACTACAAACTGATTGTATGACCCAATACAGGCTTATCAAATTTGTTTTGCTTATCACACTTGGTTATTCTTTTTTTTTATTATACTTTAAGTTTTAGGGTACATGTGCACATTGTGCAGGTTAGTTACATATGTATACATGTGCCATGCTGGTGCGCTGAACCCACTAACTCGTCATCTAGCATTAGGTATATCTCCCGATGCTATCCCTCCCCACTTCCCCCACCCCACAACAGTCCCCAGAGTGTATCACACTTGGTTATTCTCTGGCTGGTATCTTCTTCAACCAATAATTTTCTTTTGCTCAAGTAATTCGGAAACATTTTTATATGAAAACAAACAGGCATATATTCTTAAATATGTAGAAAAATTTGGATAAGACTCACTTCAATTCTTTGGGTGTTTAGGCCCATGGGCTCACATGTCTTGTGAGTCTAAGTGGTGGTACATAAGCTACTGCTGTTTGTCATTAAACACACCTCGGCAGAAACATTTGAGAAGATGATAGAATACTACATTTCCTAGGCCAATGCTAGATGGGGTTAATGTTCACAACAGCCAGAACTTAATACTAGCTACCACTTTGGAACACTTATTATATGTTCAAAACTCTGCTACACACTTTAAAATAACATATAATTTAATATTCACAGCAAGTCTATTCTTAAGTAGAGGAAACTGAATCTTAAGGATTTAAATAATTTGAATAAGGTCTCACAATGATTCTGTTTTGGGGCATAGACTCAAAACCATGTCTGTAAAGCTCTAAAGTGCTTTTAATTACTACAGTGCATAGCCTATGCAGAATCATTTGAAATAATCTCATTAAAGATGAGAATTTTCTGAATAATTAAAAATAGTAGCTTCTATTAATAACAGCCAGCTTGAAGTCTTATAGGAACTATAGGGTAAAGGGAGGATGGGAGAAAATGAAAGGAGAAAAACATGTGTTGTGTGTGTGTGTGTGTGGTGTACATGTATATGTACATGTCCATAAACACATACAGATTCCATGTTACACACAAATAACACATATACTGTAATATATATGTAACAACTTGCTTGAGGTACATTATAAACTGTCCCTATATCTCAAAATTGTAGTTGTCATTGTACCTTCTGCCAATTTAGTTTTAAAACTAACCAGTTTTTTTTCCTAGGAAAGGAGGCTGTGGGATCTTCTTTGTGTAGGTCATGATCTATTCAGGCCCCAAGCACACGTTGGTGAGTATAATGAAAACAAAACTTGATGGATAATTTGCCCTGAGCATTATCCTCTAGGATTAGAATTCTTCAACTAAAATCACTAGAGAAGGTCAAATAGCCTGCTTTATTATACATTATTTACAATAGAAAATTCATTAACTTCCTTTCTTAAAAGCTCTTTAACAGAGCTATTTACCACCATCACATTTCCTTCTCCATTTCTTTTTTGCAAAGGTTGACTTGGCAAGAACTTTATTTCACTTTGCTATGCTCTGAACTTTTGGTGCGTATTCTCATTTATTTTTCAGTGAACCATTTTGGCTGTTTGGCCTAAAGTAGTTCACTCTAGGGTGCAATAGATAGCAAGAACATGGCCTAACTTCTACTGATGCACTTGAACCTCCATGATCTACATATACAAAGCTTAATGAAAACTTGTAATCCTAAAAGCTTACCTAAGCTTCTGATCTCGATATTAATTTTATTTGTAGTTGCTAGTGCAGTTAGGCTGTTTCTCAAAGAATGTTCCATGGAACATATGATACTGTGGTAGCCACCAGTCCACATAGAAGCAGTCTCAGATACACCAGGTATTCACCTCACTTTGGTTGTCTCCATTGTCTTTTTGATTCTCTGTCTACATCTGTAGATCCTGAATCCATTTTTGCAAGGTCTTAAGTTCAAAATTGTACTCAAAGGCAAAGGCAGATTTCACCTAGCAGACTTAGGTTTTTCAATTTTAATGGAATAGCATATGTATGAGATAAATCAACTCTCCTCTTAGTAAATTTTGCTCTCTTTCAAAGCATAACTTTGATGTGTTGCTATGCTAAAAGACATGGCTGTCTCCCATAGAGAAAGAGAGAAAGTAGTAAAAAGTGTGAGAGAGGAATGAATCCTATTCCACTCTTATGTTCTTATGAATTCTTTTAATGTTTATTTCATTGCCTGAACATTCATTTTGTTTGAATCATTTAGATAAGAGTTGTCTTTGATAGAGATAAAAGTCAGGGATTCCTGAGCAGCTTATGGGGATATGTGGTAGCTAAGGTGAAGGATGGTGTCTTGGTATGTTTTATATTTCTATAGCAGAATACTTGAGGTTGAGTAATTTATTTAAAAAAGAATTTTATTTGGCCCATGGTTCTGCAGGCTGGGAAGTTAAAGGACATGGTGCTGGCTTCTGGCAAGAGCTTTTCTGCTGTGTCATAGTATGGCAGAAAGTCAAAGGGGAAGCAGACACATGCAAAGGGGCCACACATGAAGGGCATCCTCACTTTATAACAACCTCCTCTCATGGGAATTAATTTATTCTCACAAGATCTAATCCTGTCTCTTGAGAGCAAGAACTCACTCACTACTGTGAGAATGGTATCAAGCCATCCTCAAAAGTGGAACCCATATGACTCAAACACTTCTTACTAGGCCCACCACCCAATACTGCCATACTGACAATTAAACTTCAACATTAGCGTCGGCTGGGAAAAACCACATACAAACTAATTTCACCTCTTGCCTCCAAAACTTATGTTCTTCTCACATAAAAAATACAATCATTCTGGCCGGGTGCGGTGGCTCACACTTGTAATCCCAGCACTTTGGGAGGGCGTGGCAAGTGGATCACTTGAACTCAGGAGTTCGAGACCAGCCTGGTCAACGTGGTGAAACCTTGCATTTACTAAAAATACAAAAATTAGCTGGGTGTGGTGGCGTGCACCTGTAATCCCAGCTACTCTGGAGGCTGAGGCACAAGAATCACTTGAACCCAGCAGGCAGAGCCTGCAGTGAGCCGAGATCATGCCACTGCAACCCAGCCTAGGCAACAGAGAGAGAGAGTCTCAAAGAAAAACCAAAAACAGAACAGAACGAACAGAACAAAACAAAACAAAATGAAACAAAACATCATTCCATCCTAATAGTCCCAAAAGTCTTAATATTTTCCAGTAGAAACTTAAAATTTCATGATCTCATCTGAGATCCAATGCAAGTTCCTTCTAGCTCTGAGCCTGTAAAATCATGTATGGGCATGGATACAATGCAGCCAAGTTGTTTGCTATGATCTAACATTTCCCAACACCTTGTTCCTCATTTCCATGGGAAATGAGACTTCATCAGAATGGCCTTTACTGTTCATATTTCTATTAGTATTTTGATAATGGTCACTCATCCAGTCAAGACATTCCAAACCTTTCCTCATCTTTTTGTCTTTTTCTGGTTTGCTCCTAGAAATCCTTCCAGTCCCTACCTATAACCCAGTTCCAAGGCCACTTTTACATTTTAACGTATCCATGTAGTACCAGTTTTCTGCCTTAGTCCATTCTGTGATGCTATAAAGAATACCTGAGGCTGAGTAATCTACTTAAAAAGTAAGTTTATTTGGCTCATGGTTCTGCCAGCTTGGAAGTTCAAGGGCATGAGGATAGCTTCCAGTGAGGGCTTTCCTGATGCAGCATATCATGGCAGAGAGCCAAAGGAGAAGCAAATTCATGTGAAGGAGCCAAAGACAAAGAGCATTCTTGCTTTATAACAACCTACTTTCACAGGAACTAATTCATTCCCGCAAGAACTTATCCAGTCTCAAGAGACTGGGACCTCAACTCATTCCTGCAAGAACTGCACCAATGCACAAATAAGGGTGCAATTCTCACGACCCAAATACCTCCCAGTAAACTCCACCTTTCAACACGACTACACTGGCAATTAAACAATTAAACCTCAACATGAGTTTTGGGAGGGATGTACCACCCCTAAAATATAGCAGAAGGCCTATAGTATTGGCTTTGGATTTAGGCAGACCTCGATTGGAATGCAGACTCTATCACTTACTGGCTATGTCGCCTTAACCTTTGAGATTCAGTTTTCTCTGCAGGAGAGCATAGCAGCTATAACGGACATTGTGCTTGTTTCTCCAGCATTTATTTTACTTCTTGGAAGTAGGCTAGACATCATCCCTAGTTCCACGCATGGGCTCTATTTGATATGAAGGAATCATAGTCCTTCCCACAGAGAATGATAAAAGGATGATCAGTGACCTGGGCCTAAGCCAATCAGTGCTTAACATTACACTGGCTTCTGTGACTGGTTAAGGCTGGCCCAGTCAGAGTAAGTGCAGGTCTTTTGCACAAAATACACACTCTCTCTTGCTGTGTTCACGGTTTGAAGGTGAAGAGTCTGGGAATCTGTAGTAGCATTTTTTTTTTCTTTTCTTTCTCTCTCTTTCTTTCTTTCTTTCTTTCTTCTTTCTTTCTTTCTTTCTTTGTCTTTCTTTCTTTCTTCTTTCTCTCTCTCTCTTTCTTTCTTTCATCCATTCTTTCTTTTTCTGAGAAAGACTCTCCCTCCATCACCCAGGCTGGAGTGCAGTGACACGATCTCATCTCACTGCAACCTCTGCCTCCCAGGTCCTAAGCGATTTTCCTGTCTCAGCCTCCTTAGTAGCTGGGATTACAGGCACGCACCATCACACCCGGCTAATTTTGCATTTTTAGTAGAGACGGGGTTTCACCATGTTGGCCAGGCTGGCCTCGACCTCCTGACCTCAGGTCATTGACCCACCTTGGCTACCCAAATTGCTGGGGTTACAGGCATGAGCCACAGCACCTGGCTAGCTTTTTTACTTCCATGGAAGATGATAGTCTGCACATAAAGCTAGTATACAGAGGTGAAAAGAATAAAATGAATGACAGCAAACAGGAACTGTGCTTAACTATTTTCTTTCAAAGTTTTCCATACTTCTGAAATTTCTAGTTACCTGGGTAAATAGATTCCCTTTTGTTTAATCTGATTTTAGTTGTGCTTTCATTACTTGCAAAATAAGGAATCCTAACTAATGAATATACTAAAAGTATATACTATCTGACATATATTTCTGATAGTGGCAATCAGTATGGAGGAAAACAAATAAAAGGGAGAGAAAGAGAGAGAGAGAGAGAGAGAGAGAGAGAGAGAGAGAGAGAATTCCAATGAGAGTAATAATTATAAATGAAATCAGGAAATTAACTGAGAAAGTGACCTGTAAGCAAAGACCTGAGAAGGCAAAGGAGCAAGCCACAGCCCATCTGGGTGAAGAGTGTTAGTGGAAGTAAGAACAAATACAAAGCCCTGGGGCAGTACTCTGCCATGTATTTTCCAAGACCAGGAGAAAGACCAGTGTGACTAGACCATGGAGAACAAGAGGAGAGAAGGTCAGAAAGGTTATGTGAGTTCAGGGTGTTGAGGCTCTTGTAAGGATTTTTTTTCTTTATTCTAAGTTATAGGGAAGGCCATTGGAAGGTTAAGAGTACAGAATGACACGACCTGACTTACATTTTTAAAGGATCATGTGATTATTGTTTGGTGTATATATTGGGTGGGGTGCTGGGGTCAGGTGCAAAAATGGCAGAGACTGGAAAACCAGTTGGAAGTTATTGCAGTAATTCAGGGAAGATGAGATAGTGTCTTAGGCTGGGGTGATAGAGAGGAATTGCTGAGAAATTGACAGAGCCTAACTACATTTTGAAAGTAAAATTAGATGATTCAAAGAAAGAAAACCGTCTTCTTGAAGATAGAATTTTGACAAGAGTTTTCCTATAAAAGTGAAATTAGAGATCCTCTCCTTTCACTTCAAAGAGTCCTTGATTCAGAGGCATGGCTCATCTTAGAAGAGCTGACAGAACAAAGTGTTTAACAAGATTTCATTACATGTCCAGGAGTGCTGTTTTACCCTAAGTGACTTGAAACTGGGAGAAAAAAGTACAATTTTTTTATTAATCAAAATATTGTAAACAAAAAGCTTTTAGAGTATCTTTAGGCTACTAAATCCCCTTTCTATTTTGCTCTTCAGTAGACATTTTTGAATATAGGTCAGCAAGAAGCAATACTAACATCAGGAGGCCTCATTTCACTGGGCCCCAGGGGATGTTTAAAACTTTAGATATCATTGTTTTTCTTCACTCCTCTTAGGATACTTGCTGGGCCTAGCATAGTTTCCTACACTCAGTAGGCACTTGTGTGGTATTGGTTAAATTGAATTATGTTTTTAAGAGGCAGCAGGAGGTCATGAAAATATCTGGCTTCTAGTCTGTAATCCACCATTAAATTGTTATGGGACCTAACATGAATTATGCCATCGCTTTGGGCTTCATGTTTTCATTTGCAAAGTTATGACAATAATGTAGGAAATCCCTATGAGCCTTTGGAAGTCTGGACTTTGATGAATCAAAAGGGTTAAGCTTGTCACCTATGTTTCATGTGGCAAGATAATATTTTAAGATATTAAATATTTAAGATATTAAGATTTTTAGATATTTAAGATAATATTTTAAGATAAGATAATATTTAAGATATTTTTAGATATTTAAGATTTTAAGATATTAAATATTTGAGATATTAAGACATTTTAATATATTAAATATTTAAGATATGTTTGCTCCCCATAGTCCTCCTTTTCCCTACTTTCTTCTTCAAGCCTAGGTCCCAGAGAGGTTTGCATCAGAACTGAGAACCTGAGAGTACAAGGAGCTTGTGTGGATAAAGGCTAACCAAGGATCAGATTCCCCTACCCAGACTGCCCATGTCTTGATCTTGTCTGAATTTGACAAGATGTTTATGCTGCTCCAAGGAAATGAAAGAGAGGGAAGAATCTCTGAAGTGACTCTATCTGCCCTTCTGCTACCAGACAGAAATGGAAACAAATATTAATAGAGGAAAATAAAGTTATAGCTTGAAATAGTATATCCATTGCATATGCTATTCAAAAGATCCAGCTTAACTCTTTTCTTCCTTGCACTGGCTGGTGTCTTGGTATCCTATAAAGACAGTCTAAAATAACATTATGAAAGAAATGTTATATTTTTGTTATAGAAAGTGCTAGAGCTGAATTGTGGCATTCCCCACCCGCAATTAATATGTGAAAACCTTATCCCCTAATCTGACTATATTTTGAGATAGGGCTTGTAAGGAGGTAATAAAGGTTAAATGAAGTCATCAGGATGTGGTCCTAATCCACTAGGGTTGGTGCCCTTATAAGAAGAGGAAGGGACAACACGGATTTCTCTCTCTGCCATATGAGGACACAGTGAGAAGGTGGCCATCTGGAAGCCAAGAAGAGAGCCCTCACCAGAAGCTGAGCTCTGCTGGAACCTTGATCTTGGAATTTCTAGCCTTTAGAGCTGAGAGAAAATACATTTCTGTTGTTTAATTCATTCAATTCAGTCTATGGTATTTTGTTACAGCATCCTGAACAGACTAATACAGATTTTGGTACTGAGAAGTGAAGCTCTGCTGTAACAAAAACTTAAAGTGTGGAAGTAGTTTTGGAACGGAGCAGTGGGTAGAAACTAGAGGAGTTTTAAGGTGCATGCTGGAAAAGACCAAGATTGCTGAGAAAAGAACTGTTCGTGGAAATATGGAAGTAAAGGGTGATTCTATTGAGAGCTTAGGAAGAAAGGCAGAGAGCTATAGAGAAAGCCTCCAACTTCCTAGAGAATACATAAATAATCATAAACAGAATGGTAGAAATATGGATGTTACAGGCCATTCTGGTGGCCATTCCATCTTTATCAAATGGAAATACGGAACAGATTATTGGAAACCGATTTATTGTTATAAAGTAACAGAACTTGGCTTGAACTGTGTTACAGTGTTTTGTGGAAGGTAGAACTTGTGAGTGATGAACTTGGATAGCTTGCTAAGGAGATTTCTAAGCAAAGTGTTAATGGAGTGGCTTGGTTCCTCCTCACTCCTTAGAGTAAAATGTGAAAGGAGAGAGATAAGGAATTGTTAACAAAAGAGGAAACAGGACTTGAAGATCTGGGAACTTTTGAGCCTATTCATATTGCAAAAATTGAGAAACATATTCTGAAGAGAACACCAAGGCAGTGGCTAGGCTAGACTATTACTTGATAAAAAATTTATGAAATGATATAGGCAGAAACACCACCAGTCTGAACTAAAGAGGATGGTAATGAGACAAAATGAAGAAAGGTTGTCAGATTTCTTGCATTGACTGGATAGGATGACCAAGCCATTTGGCTGTGAGTGTGCGCTACTCTTCAAAATGAAGAAAAAATGACTCTGAAAATGATTCAGAGATGACCAGAGCCACCATTTTGGTTTTATCAGGCTGGGCAGCTTCTATCTGAAGCCATGGTGGGAGGGGTTCACTCTGCAGAGGTATAGGGGTGAGACCAATCAGCAAAGCCTTGAGGGCTGCACTCCTGCCTAGAGCTGTGGAGGTGACACTGCTGCCACAGTGGGTCTGGGAAGCTGAGTATCAAACCAAAGAGGATTATTCTCAAGCCTCAGAATTTGCCTTGCTAGGTTTTGGAGTTGCTTGGGACCCATTACCCCTTTCATTTTTCTAATTTATCACTTTTGGAATGATAATGTCTATCTTATGTTTGTCCCATTATTGCATTTTGGAAGAAGATAACTTGTCTGCTTTCACAGGTTCACAGATGCAGATAAATTTTGGCTAGGGATGAACCATTCCTTGAGTCTCAATCCATATCTGATTTAGATGATATTTAACTGAGACTTTGTATTTTAGAATTGGTGCTGGAGTGAGTTAAGACTTTGGGGGCTATTGGGATATGATGAATATGTTTTGCATGCAAAAGGACATGAAGTTTTGTGGACTAGGAGAGGAATGTTATGGACTAAATTGCATACTACACAAATTTATATGTTGATACTCTAACCACCAAGGTGGCTATATTTGAGGATACGTCCTGTGAGGAGGTGATAAGTGTTAAATAAAGTCATAAGGGTGGGGTCATAATCTTCTAGAGTCGGTGCTCTAGCAGATTACAGAGAGGAAGAGGAAGAGAAACCACAGTTCTTTCTCTGTGCCATACAGTGAGAAGGTGCGTGTCTGCAAGCCAGGGAGACAGCACTCACCAGACTGACCGTAATGGTACTCTGCAGAACTGAGATACAATTAAATTCTCTTGTTTAAGCCAACCAGTCTGTGACATTTTGTTATGGCAGTCTTATCAGACAAATACATAAGGTCCCAACATGGCCATTAGGTGACAGGAAAGCCAATGCAGATTGGTATATAGTGAACTTTGTTGACATTAGAACATCCTCAGAGGTAAGCTATAGGAGAATGAGAAATTTTGCTATCAATTATTTGAAATAATTAAAAATAAATCTCAAGCTAGGATCTACATTCCTAAAATGAATGAAATCAGAGTAGCAAGCTGCTGAAACGGTTGATAATTACAGCAAATAGACTGTAAGCAAAATTGTAAGTATTTAGTGCCTTTGATATTGTTATTAACCTCCTCTCTCTTATTTAGAACTTGTGAATTTTAGTTGAGGGAGGGGGTTGAGTACATCAGACGTGATGAAAAGGGGCAAAACTGAAGGACAGAAGGAGTAAGAAGTGCTCATAGAGTAATTTTGTGGGGAGCCCTGCTTGCCCTATTACAAACCAAAGAACACTCTTTTGACATTCCTTCTAGGACACAGAAATTTCTCCACTTAAATTTTCCATTTAACCCCTGCCAACAGCACACAGACTATCTTATCATAAGGGAAATCAAGATGAATCTCAGATTTTAAAGCTGGAGGCTTACTTCTATTTATGGTTTCTCTATTACTTACAAATGGGAAAAAATGGTTGTGGCTAAGCCAGTCAAAGAATTTTTAAAAATCACTTTAATTTTGCTTGAATTATTGGAAAGGCTGTTTGCTGTCTTTATTTTAGGTAGCATATTTATCTCTTTAATCCAATTTGTTTATATTATAACCAAAGTCTCTATCTTTCCATGAACATACCCAGGCCAGGGAATAGGAACCAGCTTCAGAGCCTGCTGCCCAGTGATAGAAGCTGATCTGTTGTGATTAAATGCAGCCTAGGAAAATCCACAATGATTTTAATTTGCTTGCAGAACATTTGTTATACATAAAGCCTATGGCTACTTGAGATTTTTTTTTCTTTTATCTTTATCCAATAAGCAGTGATTAAGCAGCGGGCCTCACTTTGGTTATGTGTTCCTTCTGACTTACCTGCAAAATGACCATTATGTCTCCTCAGATTCTAGTGTTCAAGAAACCCTAGAGAAGGCATGGCACAGTTGTGTTAAGTCTTATTGTGTAGACTTTTGTCCCTGACCCCTTCTGAGCTGTCCCTGATGACAGCCCAGTGCCTGTCAATAAACTGAAGGCTCTGGAAGGAGGTCCAGTTTCTTATGCTCACTCTCAGGGATGATTTCCATGGCCCCAGCTCTTTGTGTGACCTCTATACTCTGATATTTTAAAGAAATACTAGATGGCATGGTATTGGCTGTGATGATGAAGTTACTAAAAATGACAAATAATGGACCCTTTAATAAGATTTAAAACAGATTTATTGAGCTGTGAGGTTGTCAGTGGTAATGAGATTTTATTCTCATCTTCTCACATCTCTTAATTTACAGCAGAGTTAGAAAAAAATTGTTTTTAAGGGCCACCAAAAATATGATTCGTGGCTTCTGCTCATGGATATCTTAAGCTCATTAGAAAATTATGAAGATGCATAATGCCCAGGGTAAACTAAAGGCTCATAAAACATTTTGCTTAAGGTAAAATTGATTTCAAATGTGCTGGGGGAAGTGAATATTAGTTATCCTTAGATTAATTCTCTTTAGCTTCAAGACTACATTGTATGGGGGCAAGATAGTTCTTTAAATTAAAGATGGAATAATTAAAAGTGCAATAAATTAAAGGAATTACTTTATTTGATATAATTTCTATGCAGTCTGATCTCACTGATTCTGTTATGGCACTGTCAATGAGTGGTGATGACTAGGTACTGATTTCCAACCATATTATTCTTCACTGTAATCACCCTTTATTATAATACTCATCTGCAAGGGTACATCGATCAGAAAATGCCCATTAATTACACTGCTAATGGTCAGCAAGTGAGAGGATTATGCTAAATGAATATGAAACGAGCTGTAAGTACTTTTGGGGCCACTGTAACTCTAGCAGTGGTACTATGGGCAATGCTGAATTCGTAGGCAAAGCTGCCAGCCTGGAGCCGGCAGGGAGCATGCATTATCGACCTTTCATTTACTTGGAAACCTGCAGGGGCTGAAGCCTAATATTAACCAGTGATACATAGAGCATCTTTGGCATGCAAGGCATGGAGAATATTGTCCTCCGATAATGCAAAAAAAAAATGAAGATGTCTCTAAATGACACAGTTTGATTCTGCTTCAGGTTTTGGAGTGTTTCCTGTCTGCTCTGAAGAATAAAATTTGAAACATGAGGCAAAAGCTCTTTATATCTGAATATAAAATATAGCAAGGAACAATGATTTTCAGATAAGATGTTTCTAAATACATAGTAGGTTAGTGGGTGCATTTATTTAGTATACATATGTATTAAATTGTTCTTCCACTAACTTCCACATACTTCAGATTATTATAATGCTTACCAATATGCAGATGTCTTATTTTTAAAAGTAATAGGATCTTAATCCAGTAGTATTTAACCTTGACCCTACTGGTATTGAAATTACGCTCCTGTTTTTTAAAAGCTATTTGCAGTGTTAGAAAGATTACAAATTTCTCAAATTTGGTCTTCTACTTGTGGCACAGGGGATATTGTTAGTATAGTTTTAAAATGCCATTGAGCTTGAAAGTTGGAGAAAAGGGAAAGGAGATGACTTTGAACTTGCTTTAATAGAGAAACAGAGAGTACAAAATTACATAATTAGAGAAAGAAGAATATAGGTTGATTTTATGGACCTATTCACTGGAAAATCAGAGTGTAAGTTGATTTTCATATTTGAAATAAAATAAAAAAAAAAAGAAAAAGGGCTGGAGAGCTGCAAACACTCTTGTAAAGAAGCAGAATACGTTTTCTTCTTTATCCAAACTTACTGCTAACACGATAGAGTTAGAACATTTTTGGACTATTCTTAAGGTCAGTTAGAAGTACTATCCACCAGCAAAAAACAGCTTTATAAAATACATAGAAGAAGAAACAGGTAACTAAGATGCTGAACTTCATAAATATTATTACTCTTCACTGGTCTCTCTATTGAAATGCCAGAAAAACTAAAAATAATGGCTCTATGCCGGCTAGTTTTTTTTAAATGAAGCACTCAAATTTTCAACTCACATCTTTGTATTCTCTGCCAAAAAACTTTGATTTTATTGTATTTTTCAGGTTGTATTAATGAATTTCTTATTTTTGGCATTGAGAATACAATGCTTTTGTCTCCTGTAGATGCCAAATGTAGGACAAATTAACATTCAGCATACCTATTACTTGGAAATTAAAATACTGTTACATTTCTTCTGAATGATTTCTTTTATTACAAAAATATATTTAATAAGACATTTAAAAAATGAAGTGGCCCTTGAAATTTCAAAGTAATTTTTATTATTTCCATAACTCTCTTGTCAAATTAATTAGATATTGTGGGCCAAATGTGTAGTTTAAAATCATCAGATTAATGCAAATGACATTTTATATGTAAAATTAAATAGGAGACTTTTAGAGATTTCTTAATTTAACCTGAAAGGCAATTGTGAAAACAGTTCCTTTTGCCAAAATTAAAGATATTATTTAAAATTAATTTTAAAGCTAAAAGACAAACATTACTTCAGATTAAATGCTAAAGGACAAAGATTAATAGTGAAAAATCTTTAATTAGTAGGAAGGAATTGAGTGGAAAATTATTAACTCGTTGCTTCATAAATCTTTAATACTCATTGATTAATGCTTTATATTTAAAGATATAATCACCAGAGTGTAAATAACCAGTATAACCTTTCTTAATAGTGGGCTAAAACATTCCACCAGGCATTTGAAAGACATATCCTTCTGGAATAGTTGGACTATGTTATTCTGAAAATATTGAAGCCGTTTTATTAAGAAAACCAAATTCTCATGAACTTTGGAAACATTTATTAAACCTTCAATCTTTCTTTCTTTCTCCCACAAACATCACACTAGCTATTTCAGAAATACTAAATTTACCACTATCATTTTAAAAAACATGATTTCTTAGACTATTATTAGGTAGTCATTTAAAAACACTCTTTAAGAATTTATTTTTAATTTCTTAACAACTGTATTTCATAGAACTGTGAATATCATGCTCATATTGGTCAAAATGTGGGCATTTTTGAGCTGCTTTGCTAATAAACATAACTGGGGATTGTTTTCTCATCTTCAATAGTGATGGAAAAGGCCAGGCAGTAAGGACAAAATGAAAACTCAAATATATTTTCATTAGCATGTAAGGATTTTATAATAGAAAAATTTATTTATTACAATTTCTCTTGGGGTGAGCATTGTCTGAGAGAAGTACTTTGATAAAGCAATTTTGTAGATGGTAATAAGGGAATAGTCCCTCATTTTCTGGGAACGAGATAAGAATAATTTTTTGCTTCCATAAAATAGTTAGTGAGGGGAGAGAATAATAAGAATTAGTAAGCTGCCAGAATGCTGTGTGTTGCATAATACGGTTGATCTTTGTGATATCCCACACATGCTTCATGTCAGTGTATTTCTTGCAGAAGCTCGAGAAGGTGCTGAATTTTGCAATACCTGTTGATATATGGTGAGACAGATGCAATACACACACAAATAGAAGCCAAAGGCAAGTTCTGGACCTAGAGCTAAAAATTCGAGACACAGAAAATTAAACAAAGGCATTATATCAGCATGCTGATGAAAAATATCCAACTCATAGTCCTGAGGACCCATGAATGAGATTGAGGAAGAAAGCTGTCCTTAGTCAGCTTAGGGTGCCATAACACATATCATTGCCTGGGTGGCTTAAACAAGAAACCTTTATTTTTCACATTTCTGAAGCTGGCCCATCCAAGATCAGGAGGGCAGCAGGTTCATTTCTCAGTGACGGCTCTCTTGCAGAGGTCTGTCTTTACACTGTATCCTCTTATGGTCCAGAAAGAGATCATTTCTCTTGTATTTCTTCTTATAAGGGCACTAATTCCATTCGTGAGGATTCTACTTTCACAAACTGAGATAAGGAAAGAACATTCTCCTTGAATTTAGCAACATGGATTTGACATCCATGGAGGTCCTTGGAGGCTTGACTGGAACAGTTCCTATGGAACAAGAGGAAGAAACTAGTCTGTAAAGAACCTCATGACGAACAGGAAGTGAGGAGGTAAGGAAGTGGAGAATGCTGTGAAGACAACTCTTTCAAGGAGTTTGACCATGAAGTGGAGCAAAGAAATAAGGACATATTTAAACCAATATATGGGTCATGGGAAATATTTAAAAAATTATTTTATTTAATATGCATTAAATTACTTACACATTATTTATTTACCTTAAAAATCATGGCAGCTGCCATATACTATTTGGAGGCAATGTTACAATAGAAGTAAAAAGACTGATAATGCAGGAGATTTGGGGTTACTTGATGAATAAAGGCTTTGAAGAGAAAACAAGAGATTGGCACCAAAACACAATGAAATGGGTTGACCTGTTATAGGGAGACAACATAATGGGAGAGAAGAAGAAGGATTATGTTCAATCTGTTTTTAGGAGGAGAGATTTTCATCTCATGACTCCAATTTTCTAGTTCTAGTGAGAGGCAGGTTCATTAAGAGGGTGTTACTGTGGCAGAAAGTAGCAACTGTATAAAAAGAGTGAAAAAAATATGGGCAGTATCAAACGCCAACTGGCAAAACAAAACTAGTCAGCTCAAGTGTAAACTTTTTTTTTTCAAGTAACTACTAGTATAAGTGCTATGAATGCTATTCGGAATATGTGACAGGAACTCAGGTGGCTTGTAACACAGATTCTGGGGAGAAGACAAATCTTACATTCTGTTTTGAAATTCTGCTTTTATTTCTTCTAGCTGTGTGATCTTGGGCAAGTAATTTTATTTCTCTGGCCATTGATTTTGTTCACTGTAACATGACTATAATAATACCTATGTTGTGTATAATAAAAATTAAATGAGTCAATGTATATATGGTCCCTAGAAGAAATTTAAAAATCCTTAATACATGACAGCTATTGCTATTTTACATAGATATTTCTCTTATAAAAGCCTCTATGAGTACGACAGCTTTGTTTGTTCAGACCTTTGATCGTTTTCTTTATCTGCAAGATATTTTCTTTGTTTTTAATTTAGATCAAACCATTTGTGAGGTTTGGCACTCAAATTATTTATGCATTATCTTGAATCTCTTTATATTTTCACATCCTAACCCTCAATAACTCCAGAGTATTACTCTGTTTTGACGGGATAAAAGACAAAATGAATCCCATATTTGATTGCAATTAATTAAGAAGAAATTTCTGAAGAGATGAGTGATGAGTAGAATTTTGAAGAGAAGCAAGATATTGATGAAAAGAGCAAGAAATGAATTTGTAGCTCAGTGGGTGGGGGAGTTTGCATGAGGAAAGATACAGAGATGAAAATGAGCAAATCACATGTGAGAGATGGTCAGCAGCTATTGCTCGTGGGAGTAGAGAGGCTATAGTGAGAGGTAATGAGAAATGGAGGTGGGATGGGATCCTGGGGGGTGTCGTATTAGTGGAAAGCTCTGAAGGTCAGATAAGGCTTGGGATGTGCATAATAAGTGACATTGAAGCCTTGGAGATTGCTGAGCAGGCAGGACACCTGAAGAAAATAAAGTCAGAGGAAAATCATTTGAGCATCAGCGAGTAGGTGGGATGTGATGAAAGAGACTGAAGATAGAGATATCTGCTTGGAAGCCATCACTGCAATACAGTTCTGACCTTTAATGGACCTGGACTGGGTGGCTATGGGAGCAGAGAGAAAAGGGTAGATTAAAATAACATAATTCGGTGTTTGTGGGAAGTTGTGTGAAGAAGAGCTAAGAGAGCAATATGAAATAACTCAAACTTGATAAGCTAGAGTTTGGAGGGAACTTGGAGATTACAGTGATACGGTATTTTGACAGAAGGTGGGGTGGGGGCAATAGGAGAAGAGAACAGAAACGATTTGATCAGGTGACGTCCAATAAGACCAATGTATTTGTGTGTAAAACTTACATCTGAATATACAATAATGAAAAACTAGGACTGGTTAATACACTGCTGCCTCAAGGAAGGAAAAATAATGAGAAGGAATATTTATAACCCTCTCCAGAAATTTTAATCTTAAGCAATCACAGGTCAGATAATGTTTTTGTTTGATTTTGCATATAGTTATAAAACTGTGCCAGAGAGAGATGGTAAGTATGCATTCCTTGGATCCATGTGTCTGTCCATCTTCCCTCTGCAGTATTATCTTGTGCTGCCAACCTTTCAGGACTGGGAATAGGAAGATGAAGTTTTCCACGATACTGGGTACTCCATGAGACACCTCAGAGGTTCCAACAGCCTCTCTGTGGCTTGGGAATACAAGATGAAGCAGGATTTTCCTGAGAGCTGACATTCATTGAGGAGTTGTCTCAGGTGCCCTGGATCATGAGGTGGCTTGGGACCACAATCTCTAAATGATTGAAGAGACCCTGATGAGCACTTAGCTGCTGGCACTGAGCTCAGTCCTTTGCATATGGTTGTATTTCATAGACATCACTTAAACACGACTGCCTTGCAATCTATGCAAATAGCGCAGTCAGTGTTGGAAGTGAAATCTTTTTCTTATAAAAAGCTCCCATGAATTTCTTAGTTTGAAATGCTTTTCTCAAATTTCTCTGTGCATAAGGAGAGGAAAGACAGTGCCCTTTCAAGTTTGATCAGATCACAGAAATACTGTTAACTTTAACACTTTCAAGGTATCTTTAACTGTGAAGTAAAGTGTAAATCAGCAGGAAAAACATGTTTGGTTTCCTGAGTAAGATGGGGAAAATTTCACCAGTTGACATCCAGCTGGTTTTTAGTATTGGCTTCTAAGTGTTGTGTTTTTAATAGTGCTGACAAAACTTTAAAAGAAAGAGGAATACATAGTGAATATAAGATGCAAGTCCCTGTTTTAAAGAATGTGGTCTGATTGATTTCATATATAATATATATATATCCTATTTATATACATATACATAATTTACTAGATAGTATGCATCTTATGCATCTTTTACATATTATAGAGGCACACATTTCTCTGTAATGTATATGTTCTAAGTTTATTCTCTCCAATTCAGTGGACTTTAATACTTTTGTACACTAATTTATTTTTAGTCAAAATATGGCAAATTGTGGTTATTTCACTCCATTTTTAAAACTACTTTTGTAAGGCCTGAAGATTTAAATTACAATGCATATTATGTTGGTGTTTGGTAACATGCTTGAGATTTCTATACCTAATGAAAATGTTTATTTTCTTTAGGAATAATTTTACACTTTATAATTTATAGCTTAATAAAATAGTATATATCAGGTGGAATGTGAGAAATAAGGAAATTGATCTATTTTGAATTTGTAAAGAATGCTTCTTTGAAAAACTAAACTCAATTTAATAAAAATATTAATACATTAAGTTGAAGAAAACCTGGCTTAAAAATGGACAAGACAAAGTATTTTAAAAAGAAGATGTTTCATGTATTTGACCAGCTTTCTATAAAATAAAGCAGGGACTGGGTGCATGGCCAGTGTGTGGGCAAAAGAAAAAGCCTTAATCTTCAACCACACTGAATCACCAGAAAGTGTATTACATCTTCCACCTGTTTGTTCAATGGCCACAGGGGCTGAAACGTGTTTTTCAAATTGCATTCCACAGTTTTCCAAAGCATCTTTGAATGTAGTAGCTCTTTTGGAAATTAAGTGTGATTTTTGAGAGTCAGGCTTCTGTGAAGCAGAGTGAGAACTTCTTAAGCCATGAATTGGGAATAGCTTCTCTCCTTCAGGTCACCTTTACGGGTTTTCATGTTTGTGTTGAAATGACTGTGAGGATGGCTTCTCATTTAAGTGATTGCCGAGTTTTGGTGAGCCCCTGGCATGGCTAGCTGGATCTCTAGTCTGCCTCTAACTGGTTGTCACATCCCTTTCTCAGCACTAGTGGTTTCTCTGCCCTCTGGGAGGTTCACTGAGACTCAGAAGTTGCTCCAGCACACACATTCCCAAACCCCAAACCCTAAACCCCAGCATCAAAATCTTTTGGATGAGCTTCTAAATCCATTCTTAGATATTTTTAAATTTTAGAGCAGGAATAGAAACATTTTAGACTTGCTCATTCAAAGGAAACCCAACCTTTGAGTTATTTTATTGAGACTAGTTTCTTTCATTTTTAACATTTTTCAAAGTCTCCTCACTATGCCCAGACCAGTTCAGTGCTTCTTTTTCACAATCCCATTTAACAGGTGGAGTAAGTGGACCAATTCCATCACCCACTACCTAATGCATAGAAATTCACTGTCTCCTTTAAAATCCGTATCAAAGCTGTTGTTTCTTCCAGACTAAGAATAAAGACCAAATATCCACGTGTGAGGAAGGACTGAATGTTAATTCCCTGCCTCTGTTCCTCAAAAGTCTTCTTCATTTTAGTGTGTTCTCACGAAATACCGTTCCCTTTACACGATGACGGATCCTGAAGAATTTGAGTATGAGTCTTCTGAGGGAACCAGCATCCGTCCTTATCCCTTCCCAAAGGTTGGGAAAGTGGTGGGCAAAAGCTAGTCAGAAATATTTCATGAATAGGGATCTCTGCTTGTTCTTGGAAGCATCCTAGATCATGGGAATGAGAACCTGATATCCAAAGTGGAGGTGTAAAAAAGCACAAGAGTTTTTACTTATTATGGGATCAGGAAAAAGCAAAGTCCCTAATTTCTGTATTGGGACTTTTAAAATAGCAGTGACACAATGCTCAGCTCAGAATAATGTAAAGGTGTTTTTTTTTTGCTCATAAAACCAAAATGTCTGGGAAGAAGATTCTTTGGGCAACATAGGACTCAAATGATTTCCATCAGGACAAGATCTCCCTTTATTTCTCCACACAACCTTTCTGGCATTGACTCCTTTCACTGATAGACTCGCCGTTAGGGTGCAACATCAGCCTCACAGTTTATTAGAGTAAGTGCGCCATCAGTCAGGGCACAAGGCTGGCACTGCTTGGACATGACTGACTCAACTCGGACCGTGTGCTCAAAGCTGAACCAATTCCTGCCTCTAGAGGAAGGAGGTGATCTGATGGATCAGGCTGGGATCACATGCTACTCCAGAAACTGGAGGTGGGCTTAGCTCACAGCAGCCATGTGGTTTGTGAATGAAGGAAGGTTGAGTCCCCATATAAAGATGAGCGTGCTGCATATAAAGTAGGATGAATGGATTCTTGGGAATCAGAAACTACAGTTGTTTTCTCTGCCCCTAAAGTGCTTTCTCCTGAAAGTATGTTAAGGAAGAAAGCTGATATTTCACAAGACCAAGGTACCTGGGTAATAAAGTTATATAATAAAGATAAACTTCTACCAACTTCCTTGGAATTAAAATTTTTCTAAATATACTCCACTGCACAACTCAACTCCATATTAGATTTACTGATGGCAATGCAATCATCAAACTTCATGTATATGATATATTTGGAACAAGTGTTGAAAATGTGTGTTTATAATTCTCTTTACAACCAACATGAAAAGACCAGCAGACATCATTTGAAACTTTTGAAATACTTTGAGTGATTTTGATATGGTCTTACATTAAAACTGCTAGCAAAATTTTGAGAAGTACAGAAGGGACAACAAAATGCGGTGGAGGAAAGAAAAGGAAATTACAACAGATGCTGAGGTTATACAATTCATTATGTATCAATTTGTCTTATTTCAATAATCCTGCTATGGAAAGTGTTTCTCAGGCTAAAGAATATTGTGACATTATTTCTTAGTATAAGCCTATATCCAAAAAAAAGAGAAATTCTGCTGATATCCTATTTATTCTTTAGATTTTCCTACTTCAAATAAAAATCTGTCAGTGTTTCTTTTTTGTTTTTCTTTCTCAGCTTCTCCAAGTGCTGGATCAAGCTTCTATCTCCCCTGTGAATGAGGTCTGTTTTGTAAACAATTGGCATAGCATTGCTGACAGCTCAGACAGGTTCTGGAGATTCAGGGGAAGAAAGAACAGAAAATCACTGGCAAAGTCTGCATGAGCTCAAAAGTGTAAAATATGTTTCATGGTGATGTTTTGGATTAAATATTGCTCTTTATCTGGTCATCTTAAGTAAGACACACATATGTGTATATTTGCGCACACATACATTGTACTTGATGGAGGGGCATTGTCATTTGAATAATCAAGATACATACTTTCTACATGGTGCTGCTAAGTAGAGTACTTGGATCAAATTAAGTGAATTCAGCCAAATGATCAATTTAATTTTTTCCCTGAAGAATCACTGTGTCGTTGAACCGAAACATCCAATTGGTCAGTTATTTTGATGTTTTTAGGAACATTATTCCCTCTTTTATGACATATTTGGGTTTTAGACTTACTGCTCCAAGAGCTGTGTTCCAGACTTACAGTTTTTTGTCAGGGGTAATTAGGTCAAAGTTGAAATTTAGTAAAAGTGATGGCAATAAAAGCCACAATGTCAAAATGGCATTGTGTTACCTCTAAGTGAAAAAGTACAAGGAAGATGAGAAAGCATTTCTGGGAAACAGTCAAATGGGTGTTAGCAAATAGCCAACAATTTTTTAAAATAAGAGAATAAGCACCATCTTCTACAATCAAGACTATAGTTAATAAGCCTGCTGCTTGTTTCCTTTTCCCCAGTAGGCCCAGAAGAATCCATCTGTGTTCTCATCTATACCTATTTGTAGACTAGCCTCAAACTCATGAACAAGCATCTTTTGAGTATCAACTATGGAAAGCACATGTGCTAGACCAGAATATTAAAAGGTAGCAGGAAGGTTTATATTTTTGAAGGTCTTAAAGGAAGTTAGGGGAATAGGAGATATATACAAGCATAAATATTAATTCTAAGAAGTACGAGTTGAGTACTTAATTAATAGTATAGACCAAGGGTTAACAAATTTTTTGTTTTTAAAGGGTCAGCTAGTAGACAGAGAGCCTATGGTGTATGTCGCAAGTACTGAACTCTGTTGTAGTTGAATGAATGTGGTGGTGTTCTAGTAAAACTTTATTTGTGAACATTAAAATTTGAAATTCATATACTGTTCATGTGTCATGATATATTAGCCTTTTTTTTTTTTTTAACAATTTAGGCTGGGCATGGTGGCTCATGCCTATAATTCCAGTGCTTTGTGAGGCTGATGTGGGAGGATCACTTGAGCACAGGAGTTTGAGACCAGCCTGGACAACATAGTGTCAAAAAATAAAATCTACAAAAAATAATAAAAAAAAACTAGTTACAAAAAACAAAAAACAAACAAACAAAAAAACTAGCTTGGCATGGTGGCATGTGCCTGTAGTCTCAGCTACCTGGAAGGCTGAGGCAGGAGGATCACTTGAACCTGGTATTTCCAGGCTGCAGTGAGTGGTGATTACCCCGCTGCACTCCACCCTGAGAAACAGAGGGAGACCCTGTCTCAAAACAGACAAACAAACAAACAAACAACCCACCAATCAACCAAACACACCAAAAATAATTTAAAAATGTAAAACCCATTCTTAGTTTGCAGGCTATACAAAAACAGCAGATTTGGCCTGAGGGTCATACTTTGCTGACCCATGGTATAGATAAGTGTTCTGGTTTATTGGGGTGCAAGTATGTAACATGTTCATTGTTGATGTTTATTCTCTTCAAGAGAAGTCAACTATACAAAGCAATACATTTAATTTTAAGATAACTAAGGTCAGTCTCCATTTTTTTTGCAATTAAATAATTGGTTATTTAATTATTTCCAATGGAAGCTTGGCTAGTTAGGGCTAAAGCTCAGCTATATTTGTATTGGTCCCTGGGTGATTGTTTGATTTGACTATGCACAAGGGCTGTATATAAGACAGCAGTGAGAAAGAAAATTGAAAGGATGAATGGCAACCAGAAACTTGAATTCTCTGCTGAATGAGCCATACTTCAGCAAAGCGGTGCCCTGGAGGTGTTTGAGGAGGAGGATAATCTGATCAGAGTTGTACTTTAGATGGTGTAGAGTTTAGGCCAGAAACTGGAAGGGAAAGCCAGATAAGGGAACTCACATGATCCAACTTCTCTTACATGTCAGACACTTTATAGAAATGCGTTAAAGCATTTATTTATTTAGTGGAATGAAAGGGAAGTCCAGTTTGTAAAGTGGAACAAGAGGAGAAGGGAAAAGTGCTAGAGAAATTGCAGTCTTGCTTCAGATGAATGTGGAAAGTAAAGGAGAGAAAAGAATTGATGATAATGCAATCTTTCCTAACCTAGGTGACTGAAAGAATGGTAGTAAGGAGTGAGTAGGAGTTGGTTTCTGGAAAGAAGCTTGGGTTGAGAAACATGTAAGCAGCTAGGCCAGTTACTGCAGGCCAGCAGATTCGAGTTAGGGGAGACTGAGATGAAAATCCCTGGCTGTCATAGTAAATATCATCTAAAGATCATTCTAAAATCTGTTACTGCATGGCTTAAATTAATGACTCTGGCTTGTATTGTGATGTATCACTTCATCGCCAGTAGTGAGTATGAGAGAGATTTGTTACATTTTGTGGGTTAGTAAAAAATGGTTAAATAGTTGAAAAAGTTTAAGATGTTATAAAAAAATATATACACATACATACACACATACACTCACACACACACACATAAACACAGAAATTGTCATTCTGAATTTAATAATTCCAGGAGCTGGATGTATTATAAGTGGTCGTTCTTTCAGTTCAGATTTAAATATGTCAAAATCAATATGTTTAACACCTTTGTTTAACATATGCCTCAAACATATTCTGCTTTTTATTCCCCTAACGTTTGGTTTGTGAATACTGAAATAAAGAAGTTAGGTATTGGATTTATGGAAGCCTCATTGTTTTAGTTTGCTGACTCATAAGGCTTTTCTTTATTCATATTAGAAAATTCTTCAGAAGAATAGTTTCTGACTGATCTGTGCCATTCCCCTTAAGTTCCTTGTGTGATTAAATAGATGTTCTCACTGCTCTACCAGTCTCTTCTCTTAGTGGCTCAATTATTCTGTCAGTTTTGATTATTAATCTGCCAACATGTTCACATTTTCTAATTTAGAGAATTAGTAACAATTTCTTGTGGTGCCCATCTTCAGTGATTTGCTTTACTGGTGTCCATGAATGCGGAGGAAGACTGGCTTTAAGTCACAGTGAGTGACATTTTAATATTTCACAAGTCCTGAGGAGTACACGCTATTCTCCTGCGGAGGCAGAGTGCACATAGATTTAAGAAGGAGGATTAATGCTGGCTCTAGTTAGCTGCATAAAACCAAGAGGCTATTTCTTACCTTTGTTCCCCTTTTCCTTCCTTCTTTATTTTCTTTCTTCTTTTCTCTTTTCACTAAAGTGCTCTGCTTCATTAAGTTCCATGGAGTTGTGGTTTGACTAAGCCATGCCCCTTGAGACACTTAGTGCAGACAAGTAGGCCTCATGCCATATATTTTTTCTGGATAAGATATTTGCATTCTTGGTTTCATCTTTGCCATTCAAGCCCCTGAGAAAAATAAAATATAATTTTTTTTTTTTTTTTTTTTTTGAGAGCAAGTTTCACCTTGTTGCCCAGCCTGGAGTGCAATGGCGCAATCTCTGCTGACCGCAACCTCCGTCTCCCAGGTTCACGAGATTCTCCTGCTTCAGCCTCCCAAGTAGCTGGGATTACAGGGAGGCCACCACTCCTGGCTAATTTTTTGTATTTAATTGAGATGGGCTTTCACCATGTTGGTCAGGCTGGTCTTGAACTCCTGACCTCAGGTGATCCATCAGCCTCGGCCTCCCAAAGTGCTGGGATTACAGGTGTGAGCCACCGTGTCTGGCCTGAAATTAAATTTTTGAAATTCTTTTTTTTTTGAGACGGAGTCTCGCTCTGTCGCCTAGGCTGGAGTGCAGTGGCACGATCTTGGCTCGCTGCAAGCTCCGCCTCCCGGGTTCACGCCATTCTCCTGCCTCAGCCTCCCAAATAGCTGGGACTACAGGCACTTACCATCACGCCTGGCTAATTTTTTGTATTTTAGTAGAGACGGGGTTTCACCATGTTGGCCAGGATGGTCTTGATCTCCTGACCTTGTGATCTGCCTGCTTCAGCCTTCCAAAATGCTGGGATTACAGGCATGAGCCACCGCACCCGGCTGGTGAAATCTTAAATGAGGAAAACTTTCTGAAACTTCAGAGCTGCTCTGTTCATGTTAGTACCGTATATCATTAGTATCATATATCAAAGAAGTTTCAGATGGTACTAGTGCCTAGAGATTACTGAAAATTCAGTGAAATTGATTCATTTCTAGTCTTAGTTCTGTCAAGTGTAGATTACCTTGCCAAAGGGGCATATGCTATGTTGAGAGATGTCCATTTATGTTGTGGGGGATGTGAGAGAGCGGGGAGAGAGAGCAGGATAAAAATCTTTGCTCTGCATCATAGCCAGGCTCTCTAACCTCAGAACTCATGTTTTCCCGTCACATTGGTCCTTTTTTTTTTTTTTTAATTTTCCTAGTTCTTCCTTAATTTTGTCTTGCCATGTCGCACCCGGGTATCTTTATAAATGCTACTTGCTCAAGTTGAAACCTATCCTCCTCTTCTCCTCTCCTTTGTCTACCAAGACATCTCAAATCAAGCTGATTTCATTTTTTAGTACTCAGTGTCCTTCCAAGTGCTGCGTTCTCTTGTTCCCAAGGGACTCAGTGCTTACCTCTATTTTTCTACTTAAGTTTTTATTTTAGTGATTTGATTGCTTGTAAGTTTTCTGCATGGGACTAAAAGCTCCTCAAAGGCAGAGACTGTTCTTTTACAACTTGGCATCCTTAGAGCTGGCCAGAACTCCCAGTACATAGTAAATGCTCATTAACTGATAAATGAATGAATGAACAAAGCTTGGAAGCAGGCAACCTCTAATCGCAATGGTAAAATGAATAAAACAGAAGCAACCTTACATTTATCCCTATTTAATTGTTTTATAACTATAGCAGTATTATAATATTTTTATCATAATTCTACAAAAAGGACAGGAATTATAGATTTTTCATAATGTTTTTCCCAGTGCCAAGTATTCTACTGGGGCCCAATGTGTAATTAGCAATGCTTGCAATAATGAACTAAGCTGGCCAATATATATTTTTTTCCTTCCAATTAATTCACTCTCCCTAGTTTGCCTTGCAAACCCAGCTGCTGAGAGAAGCTCTGATGGTTATGGGGTTAAAGAGGGAATGGTCATAATTTTTATTTAGTGTTTTCCATATAAATGCACCTCATTATCTGCTGTACCTCATTATATATGATCTATTTTATGACCATTTAGTTCTCCTTAGCAGTTCTGTTTTTATTCTGTTATGCTTGCTGTCTAAACTCTCAACTTTATGACTCCATTACCCCCGCTCTCTGCTGCCTGCTGCCCCACTCCCACTGCTGAGGTGGATAATGTAAGCTTTGCTGTTGCCAGGCCACATTCCTAATAAATTCCTCACCTACATACAGGCAGCCTCATAGGACACAGTGGCTGGATGTCATGTTTTCCTATCACAAGGCTAGACTCTCATTAGATACTTGTGAGAGAAATTACCACTGAGGCGTCTTCAGGCACAATAGCATTAATGAAGTTTGGAAATGACTCCCACAGATGTTTGACGCTCAATCAATCCTACTTAATTTAATTATACTCCTGAATGAAAGACAAAAGGTATGCTCTTGTAGTCCATCCCTTGCTTTTTCCTTTCTCATCCGCTTTTTCCCCCTTCTGATTTACTTAATCCTTGCTGAGAAATGTCAATGTAATTAACTCAAGTTATAGTTATTTACAAGTGGACTTTGTTATAATACCTTGTATCATTTTCCACTTCTCTTCCCCTACCAAACTGCAAGTACATGAGAACTCTCTATGTAAATAGAGTGGTGGAGTGGGGAGAAATTGTGCTCTTAGAACCCTGACAACTCATCCACTTCTTGCGTCTCTGTAATTAAGGGCACTGATGACACTGGCATGAACAACCTTATGTCTTGAAATTCTGTTCACCAAGAAATTTTCAAGGCTTATTCTTGAAGTTAAACAGATACTGGATTTTTTTTTTTACCAGTCTCAAAATGGTAGGATTACCTAATAAAGTACCAAAATTAAAACAGCAACTTACGCTACATGGCACTTTCTTTGTTACAAAGTCCATTCACTTATGTAAGCTTTTTAAAATCCTCACAGTGGCTTAGGAGGATCGATACAATTGCCATTTCAGAGATCAGAGACTTAAGGTAAAGAGAGGTTAGGTAATTATACCTGTCCAAGATTTTACAGTCAGTAAACAGTGACCCTAAAACTTTGACTTTCATTCCTTCGTTCATTTGAGTAATAATTATTGCCACTAAACCTGTACGAAGCACTAGGCCTGGTGCTAAAAAAGTTGGCAGATAAGATGACCACAATATCGTGTGGCGCTGCTTGGAGAGAGGCATGTGAAGGAGGCAATGGAAGTGATCGGAGGAAACTGACTAGGGCTGTGTGCCAGGTAGTGGCGCAAGTAGAACCAAGGGATTCGAAGGTGTCTGGAATTTATATTGAAGAAAAAGGGAATCAGGGATGGACTTTTTTCCCCCTGGTGATTAATGGGATCAGTTTGATTTTACAGAGGTAAGCTGGCTTTACTATGGGCCATGTCCAGAATGCCTCCCAGGGTGGATACAGCTGCCGCACACCAGCATTGCAAATGCAAATGCAAGAAGAGAAACAGAATTGGGAGAGAAGATTATAATTTCCATGGTGAACTTAACTTTCTTACCTGTGGGACATCCAGGAGGATATACTGGTCTGTAACTCAGTAGGAAAATCTGAGCTGGAGATATGCTTTGAGAGGTCTCAGTGTGGAAATGGGGCTTAATGCGTACTTTCACTGTTCTTCAATACCTCACAACTTACCCAGGATTGGTCTTCTTTGGGCAAATATCTATTTCCCAAGTGAGCTACAGAGTTTTTGTTATTTGCAGTCCAGATTTTTAAAGTGCTCCCACTCTGCAGAGGATGGAGGAATGGGTCACATGTTATCTCATGATATTTATCTAAGTCATTTGTTTATTATTTCATGATATTTTATTGTAATCATTTGTTTACATGCCTATCTTTTCTACTAGAGTGTGAGCTCCACACTCCATACCATTGTCTTTCTCAACTTCAGCTTATAGCAGATGTTGTTGTATTGAATTGGAATATTTTACTTCTTTGAAGTTTCTTTTTAAATCCTCCAATATTTTCTAGGTTCAAATACATCATGGTTAGCTCCATAATGTCAGGATATAACCCTCTTGCTGGTTTCACTTTCCAGTGTTCTCTAGAGTAAGGTAACAGAGAAGGGATGTGTGTTTCTATACATGGACTGAACCTTGCAGATGCTGCCTCTCAGATCTGCTGGCTCACTCATTTGCAAGCTCTCCAGTCTTTGGCAAAGGCACTTAACCGACCTTAATTTTCTTTTTTCCTAATGCAAGAATAAAAACATCATTGTTACAACACTTTTAATTAATTAAATAAACATTTATTGGATACCTATTATGTATCAGGAACTGTAATGGGAGGTAGATTAGAATACCTGTCTCCTCCAGTCTCCTATGAATCTACAAATGCTTTCTTATCTTGTCACTCAGCACCTATTAGGAAGGCAGCCTAAAGAGCAGAGCTTCCCTCTTCGTAGAGGTGGACAGCTTGAGACAACTTTTGACTGATATGGGGAGACCAGCGAAATCACTTGTGCTGCCATAAATTTCTTTAGTAAACTGTTCTATTTTACTATCACTGCAGTTACCTTGTGGAATGAGCCAAAAAGTCTAGATAAAGGATTTTGAACCTTTGTTCCTCCTATGAACAAAGGAAAGGCTTTGTGGAATTTTAAGACAGTAAGAGAAATGCTCAGACTTACTTTTTAACAAGGCCCCATAGCCTACAGAATGGATGAGAGGAGGATGAGATTTAATGCAAAGAGATAAAGTAGAAAGTACTGTAGCTTTCCAGTGAAAGTTTACAGTGGATTTGACTAAGGTGATGGCAAAGATAGAGGAAAGGTGTTCATGTAATACTTGGGAGAAGGAACTCAATGTATTTGGAGACAGCTTGGATATAGGCAGGGGTTAAGCGAAAAGGAATCATTCAAAGATGCTACTCTGGAGTAATTGGGTGGTTGTATACCTATTTATTGAAACAGACAGCACAGAAAGAAGAGCAAGTTTGACTTGGACATGATCACATTTATGTTCCTGTGATACGCGGAGATGGAAATGTTAAGTACTCAAGGTTTAAGGGTCTGGGTTACCTTTGTAATTTTCCAGGATGCTATAAAGCCAGTACTATTGTTTGGACAGTGTGATGAACTGATGAAGCATGAGAAGGAACCGGCACCCAAGAAGAGGGCCAAAGCCTTGTGGGCTGCTAATTTCAATCCTTCTATTGCTCTTTCTTGGGAAGATGGACCAAGAAGTGTTATCAAGTGCATGCCTAACTCCTAGATTGGGACTGCTAGATTGGGAATGGGCCTTACCAGCTCAGGTTTTCCAACTTCAAAATACAAGGGAAAAGATGAGAATTCTAACTTGGATAATCCAGAATTCCAGTAGGAGAATAGGGGCCAAATCTGGAGAGAAATAAGCCATTTGGTTTTATCAGTGCTAAATACAATTAATATTTGGGCACCTTGTGCCACACACACAACTCTGTGGTGTAGCAATATCTTACTTATCCTGCAGAAAAGATTTCTTGTAATTTCCTTCTCCTTTTCATTGCCATATGTTTTACAAACCTCTTGTCTTTAATAGAGAAACTGCAGATGAAACACTCTTCCTTAGGTGTTTGATTATTATATTTTGGCCATTCCTAATCATCTCATTTGTAGAAAATGACTAATTTTAGAAGGTAAATGTGCAACCAAATGTTAAAAATAGTGATAATTACTCCTCTCGTGTAGAAGTAAAGCCCCATCTATTCTGAAAATTGAGTGAAATTACACAGTGGCATCAGGGGACAAATCTGTTTTATTTATAAATCAAAAGTTGATAGGTAAGCCTTTAGCACCTGCATTGACTATTATGATGTATGACTTAGTGGCTGAGCACTGGGCTATTACTTTATTGTCACATTTGCTGGCACAATCAGGACTACTCTTACTTTTGGAGAGAAATAAAGCACAAGTGTGAGACTGAGGAGATTGATTAAAATATTGGAAATAATAATAATAACTTGAATGGGGCATGCAGTAGATTACAATGGCCTCAGTTTCTCATTCTTCTTTGTAACCACACCTTTTGCCATGTGGCTTTGCATTTTCTTCCTACCCTTATACGAGTTTGTTCATATGATTTGCTTTGATCAATTGCATGTAAGCAGGTGTGACATGGCCAAAAGCTTGAAAAATGCTTGCTTAATTGGACTTGCTATACTCTGGACTCACCATGAGAAGAACATGTCTTGGTTAGTCCTGTAGTCCCAGGGGGATGAGGGATAGGAGGGCAGAGCCAGACCACACCTGAGAAGCCCAGTTAGGAGCAGCCACTCCTCTGATGATCTTCAGCCACTGAATTCTGGTGTGGTTTATGATGCAGTAATGAAGTGACATTAGATAACTAATATGGGGAATTGCAGACTGAAGAGAAAGATCCTAGCTAATGTTAGCATCCGGGGGGAAATGAGAGTGAGAGAGAGGGGGAGAAAGAGAGAGGGACAAACACAAACACACACACAAACAGAGGTGAGGAGGGTGGAGAGAAAGAGAAGAAAGAGAAAGATAGAGACATTGATATATGATTAAAAAGTAATTCAGTACATGAGAAAACAATTGTTTTGAGGTTAACTGACAACACTGAGATAAGTCAAAGGCTTGGCACATAGGGAATGAAAACATGCATGTATCTAGACAAAAAAAAATTCAAGAGGATTGCAAGAGGATTCTATCTCTTTTAAGGCAAATCTTCTTCTCTTTCCCTGACCACTCTCTCACGTCAGCCCCTGAGACAGTTGTTATCCAGGGATAATTTTGCTCCCCCCACCATGAGACAGTTGGCAATGACTGGAGACAGTTTTGATTGTCGTGACTTGGAGGAGTCAGTGCTACTGGCCTCTAGTGGATAGAGGCCAGATGCTGCCAAACATCCTGCAAAGTGTAGGACTGCCCTCCTCCAACAAAGAATTATCTAGTTCAAAAGTCAACAGTGCCAAGCTTGAGAAACCTTGACATAATATGTAACTTATGAAGCCTGACTCTATGAAATTCCAGAAGCTTATATCTAGCAATAAAGAGGACTGAGCATAAGTCAGATAGTATTTAATTTTTGAGGACCTAGAATGCACCAAACACAGAAGTATGGATACAAAGCACTACAGATACAAAGATGAGAAATTGCTATTCTTGTCTCCATGGAATATATAGAGTAAGATAATAGGAGAAACAGAGAGAAATAATTTAAGAATTTTTACAAATAAACATAAAATTACAAACTGCTATGAAGGAAAAACATCTGGGCACTTATGAAAGGAATTTAACTTAGGTAGACTAGAGAAGGTTTTAAGAACAGGTAGCATTTCAACTGGTACCTGAAGGAAGAGTTGGCATTCACTATGTAAGAAAGGATGGGAAAGCCAGTCAGGGAGAGGGGCAGCATCCGCAAAGGCCCTATAACTACAGGGCACCCAGTACCTTTGAGGATCTGGAGGCAAATCAGTGTGGCTGAACTTCCTAAAACAAGGGCAGGTGGCCTGTGCTGTGGTGGAAGAGGCAACCAGGGGCCATATTATGCAGGGCTTTGTAGGCCTTTTTGGGGATTTAAATCCTTGTTCTAAGAGTAGTAACAAGCCACTGAAGAATTTAACAAGGGAATGATGTGATCAGCTTTGTAGTTTGAAGCATGGTTATGACTATGCAGTGGATTGGGATAGGCTTTGTAGTAGTGGGCAGAGAAACAACCAGGCAAAGAAAGATTGCTTGTTTCTATGGATGACCAGAAGTGACAGGCACTTTGGCATTTTGTGCAAAAATGAGGGAAGTCATTTGAGGTGTTTAGAAGAAAACAGGAAGCTGGAGAAGGGCTGACAAGTGAAGGCAAGTTAGTGAGAACTTCCTAATAACTGAGCAGGTGCTGGATGGGGCTCAGGTTGTAGTAGGTAATAGAAGTGGGCCAACCCTTCTTGCTCACAGAAGTCAATGCAGATGCTCCACTTAGTGCTTGTTCTCTCTAGCCTGAAAGTAGTAGCTTGATAACTGGGGAAATAGAGTCACCCCAAGCCACCCAGCTGTCCTGACCATCACTACACTTAGATAATAGTAGAGGCATTCATTTTACCTAACATCTTTTGCTATCCCCTCCTTTCTTCTCAGGAGCTCTAAGCACTGGCAATGCTCCCTTATCTCCTTTCTTCCATCGCTTTAGTTAACACATTTTCCATATAATCATCAGGTCAACTTATTTTAATAAACAGGTAAGAGCCTACTATGTATGTGTCCAAGGTGACATAGCATGAGCTATTGACCAGACGATCTATGTTCAGTGTTTTACTAGCAGCATGACTTTGGTAGATTTATTTATTGACTCTAGCCTCAGTTTCTGCATCTTAATATGGGAGTAATAATACTACTACCTCATAGGTTGTTGTGAGGATTGAATTAATTAATGTATGTAAGAACATTGCCTTGCAAATAAAAAGCTCTCAATCATAGTTAGCTCTTATAATAATTGCTTGTTAGGCACTGGAGGAAGAAAAGATGAATATAAATTATCTCTGTTCCAATGAATGCACAGTTTAGTAGAGGAGACAGGGAGTAAACATATAATTTCAGTAACAGGATTAATGTGACAATAGAAATAGATACAACTTGCTCTAGAAGTGCAGAAGAAATGCATCTACCATAGGGGTCTCTAGCCCTAGCCCAGATCATTCTTCTGAGCACTTACCTGTGTATCAGTCTGCTTTGTAGATATCACTACTGAATGTTCCAAAGGAAACCCAGGCAGTATTATTTATCCTGTTGCTGGAGGGAAAAGCTCGAGTGCCTTGAGCTCATTCTAGTGCCTCCACGATCAATCATCAGGTCTGGCAGCTTCTACCTCCTTAATATCTCTCACAGCCAGCTGCTTCTCTCCATGCTCACTGTCATAAACTTTGTTCATAACAACGTCATCTTCCCCTAAATTATTGCAATAGCCCCACCCAATTGCTCTGCCTTCCTCCAATATTGTTTTCTTTATCTTGTCCACACTGCAGGCTGAGAGATCTTTTCAGAGCACAGAACTGAAAGCATTATTCCCCTAATGAAAATTTAAATGGCTCCCATTTGCTGTAGTATGAAGCCCAGGCTCCTCAGCCAGCACAGGATGCTCTTTAGGCATGCAGCCTCTCAGTCTCACCTCCTGTTCTTACTGCCCTCTTTTCAACAGGCACTTCCTACATTCTGAACAGCTTGGCATTCCATGAATATAGCTCTGCTCTGCCTCTCTCACCTCTGGACCTCTGCAAATGTGCCTCCGATCTTTTTCTCCCTGCTTCGACAGAGACTTTAATAGCAACTTTTTTTTTACTAGTTAGGGATCTGGAAACCTGCAAAAAAAGACAAAATGCAGTAACTCACCCATAGCACTTTCATTTCTAAAGAGCATACAGGAGAGACCATTTCCTTCTTGTGCCTTCCCTGCCATTTACTCTTTTCCTTTTGGTGTGGGTGTGGGGACCCAATCACTTGAACGAATAACGTTTGAAATTTACACATGATAATAGATTTTAAAGTAAATATGAAAGATCTACAGTATAACAGAATTTTAGTTCATTAAATTTTTTTAAGTTGTAGGAAAGATATAAGACGTGCTTCAAATTTGTATTTTTTATTTTGAAAATATTATGCTAATAAATTTGAAAGGCACGCTATTAAAGACTTGAGCAAAAGTGCAATTACTGTATTCTATCTGAAAGAGCAGAGAGTATAAATGCCAGTCATTCTTTATTAATCCACCCTTTGATGATCTCAAATACAATATCCTTGGACCCATTATCTATGATAATTATGTATACTGTATCATGGTTCTCTTTCACATTGGATTATTAATAATCTCTATGACATGCTTATATGACTTTAACTGACTTTTTTGCTTATTTTGTAGAAGCTCTGATGATTATTGGTTATTTTGATTTCTAAATATCAAGGTAAACCTGTCTCAAAGCAAACCTACTTTGGAGAATATTTCAGAATACGTTTTAATACATTTTTAAAGAACGGCAATACCAAGAAGCTTGACTTTTATTTTTTGGACTTAACCCAATGGTCTGATTGGATTTATTGATCAGGACTTTTGATAAAATAATATTAAATCACACTACTACTTTAAATTTTGATGAAATGCTTAATTGAAAAAAATAAAGTACCTGAAAATAAATGCTAAAACTCCTCTATGGGTCAGAAATCTAGTTAATGAGAACCAGAGTCCTTTCTCTAAAGGACAGTTATCCTTAAGTAGCTTAGCTAAGTAATGATCATGGGAATAATACACTGGCCTATGAAAAAAGAGTTAATTGCATTTTCTCTCCAACTGAGCAGATACACATATCATAAAATCTACCACTGTACTTTTTTTTTTGGTGTTCAATGATATACCTCGGTTAAAAATCTTTTATGACCTCTGTTTGGATGTGATCATTGATAATTAGTCTCATATTTATATTGTCATGCAATTATTTGGAATTGCTTCCAAGGATTGTTCTTCATGCCATAATTATATTTTGGGCATGTTACAAGAATATAAGTCTAATAAAACTTTAGTAAATCATAGAAGTTATGTTTTAATAGTCATGTAACCCAGATGGCCAAGGGAAGATATGATAGCTTTGTCTAATTGCTCTTGGGAATGAAGTATCTGGGACACAAGACAGGGACTCTCTGATCTGTAGCTGGAAATAGATGTGTGTTGAGGAAAGGAAAATGGGGTCTCCACAGTGGGTTTTATTTAGTTCCCTCTTGAAATAGGACACAGATGATTGGTGATAATATACATTATTTTCCAAAGACCATTCTCTCTCATCTACATGAGTAATTTGTATTCTTCTGATTACCTGATTATATTTTTTTTGTGAAACAATATTCCCGGCCTTTTGTTAATAGTGCATTTCTCCCTTCTTGCTCTGCATTGCATTACAAGCTCATACATATTAGCTGAAAACACATGCCACTCTGCCCAAGTAACTTTCCTTTGCCTTAGATTTCTCTCCAGCCCTTACAGAAGTGTAGGAAAAATTTCAGTTTTTCTTACCACAATAAAAAGAAATACAGAAAAAAGAGGGGGAATAATAAGAAGAATTTTCTTTCCCCATGCAATTTGCCTCTACCCTCTCTAGCTGTTAACCACATTTTCATTTGTGTTTACTATTATAACATCAGTTCATTTCAATTACAATTATTATCATGCTGAATACTGTATTTTACTATTTTTTGAACATTCAGTGTTTGGCATAGCACTTAGTATATATTAGATACCCAACAATTTTTTTTTGACTGAACATCCAAGGTATCCTTGGAACCAGAAATATTATTGGCACTCAAGAAATACCTTAAAAATAAGAAAAATAACAACAGCTCATTTTTCAGCTCTTAGCATGTGCCAGGCACTGTGCTAAACATTTTACATAGATTTTCTCATTTAAATCTCATTAACACCTCTATGAGTTGGGTACCATACCCACTCCAGTTTGCAGATAAAGAGAATGAAGCATAAAAAAAAAGAAAGAAGCAATAAAAAAATTAAAAAGTTAAAAAAAGAAACTGAAGCATGGAGAGCTAAAGAGACTTCCTCCAAGTCATTCAGCTTGTAAGTGGTTGAGATTGGAGCTCCAGTGCCCATACTCTTAATCTCTTTTCCAGATAAATGGGGAGATGTAAATAATTGTAATACTATGAGTAATTACAACGATGGATCTATGTACTTGGCTCATTTGTGGCACAGAAGATAAATGATCAGATTTACTTGAACAGTCAGGGAAGGTTTCCCAGAAAGGGTGAAAAATATTGGTGGGCATATACCATGGTGAGAGTGTTTGACCGAGTTCTCTTTTTGATGTTGTTCCCACATTTCAGTAAATTAGGCTAACCTTGTACAAACCATCACCAAACTCACTTGTTTCTGTTTCTTTATCTGTAAAAAGTGATTACTAGATTAGATGATGCCTCATCTTAAATATTTTGATTGAAAATAAATCATTTTACTAGAGTATGTGCCTTGCATACAATCTTGGCTCATAAACATCTATTGAATTTATTTGAAATAGAGAAAGTACATCCAGTGGTATTGTGCTGAAGCTAAAACCATCATCTGTCTAGACTATTATTCTTTCGTTATCTTACATAGTTGTTGCACATTAGTGGAACTTGCCTGTAATATTTCCTCTTCTGAAATTACCAAACAAAAGAACATCATAATTTATTGTTGTTGAACTCCAAACTTAGTGGTTTAATATTTACTATTGTTCTTTCATTTCCAAGGTGTGCCTTACACTGGGGATTTGATATGATCATAATCTATCACTCCTGCACTTGATAAACTGAGAATAATCTCTAAGAAAGCTGGCTACACTGTATATCATTGATATGTATTAATGATGTATGAGTATGCATTCTCATAGGAGTATTTATATATATTTTCTCATAGGAAAATATGTATGAGTATATTCTCATAAGAGAGAATAAACTATGAACCCTGATTCAATGTCAGAAAGTGAATTTTCAGAGGGCTGTATGTAATCCATCTTTTTACCTTTAGGATATGAGGCCAGTCTCTTATCTATATCATCTTGGTGACAGGAAATACCATTATCTCTTAAACTACCTTTGGAGAATAGCCATGATCCTCAGATTCCAGTAGAAAAAAACTCATATTTGAGATGTTCTGGATGACAATAAACAGTTTTCACTGGGAAATGTGTAGTTTATACTTGAGCTTCAGGGACCTATGTATATGTGCATCTATATATTTTTCTAAGGAATAGATTCTTAGATTTCATTAACCATTCAAAGGGATCACTAACTACCCCTTCCTCCAAATGTTACGAAAAATAAAATTAGCCTGTGGTGGGCATATTTGAAATGCTGCTTTTCAGTTCTGTAACTTGGTGCAGAGTAAAGAATGCTTAATTAGGATTGAGGAAATCTGAATGAACCTCAATTTTATAATATAGAAAAGAGTAAAGATGGTAATAGATGACTTCTATGAAGGCTTGTAGCTCAGATGTTTTTATATTTTACAACTCTAGTCACTGGTCTCCAATAAACTTGTTGAACCTTGTGTGTGTGAGTCTTCACTTCAAGCAAGTCTCTACTGTTACGTAAAGTTCAACATCAGGTCCTCTATGAGCCCCTGATCATTATCCTCCAGACTTAAATAGTAAGTTATTTGTAAACTTATACTTCTGTAGGTAAGCTTTAATTTTTCCCATGTATCCTTCAGTTGAAGAGAGTGTATTTCTGACTACCTTATTCTATCATAAGCATTTTGAATTCTCAAACTTATTTTCATAGTACTGAATTTTGTGTAGAGCAGTGGTTCTCAAAATGTGATTTAGTTACTCATGAAAGTCTCAGTGATATTTTGGCGGTGGAGGTGAGGCCTGTGAGGTCAAAACTATCTTCATAAAATCTTTTTTCCTTCAGTTCACTCATTCTCTCACAAGTATAAAGTAGAGTTTATACCCAACAAATGGAATGCAGAAGCAACTGTCAGGATCCAATTGTCATTTATTAAGCCACACATTAAGGAGATCTAAAAATATATAAACTGATGCTACTGTTTTAAGTAATTTTTTTGGGAAAATATGTTATTTTTCATAAAACATAAAATTTATATTGATATGTGATGGTTTCATTATTTTTGTAAAAAATTAATAAATATTAAAAATATTCTCAGTTTTAAGTTTGGATGTAAATATCTACAAATAAAATCCACATAAACAAAAGCTTTTTGGGGTTCTCAGTAGCTTTTTTTAATTATTATACTTTAAGTTGTAGGTTATGTGTGCACAATGTGCAGGTTTGCTACATATGTATACATGTGCCATGTTGGTGTGCTGCACCCATTAACTTGTCATTTACATTAGGTATATCTCCTAATGCTATCCCTCCCCCCACTTCCCCCGACCCCACAACAGGCCCTGGTGAGTGATGTTCCCCTTCCTGTGTCCAGGTGTTCTCATTGTTCAGTTCCCACCTATGAGTGAGAACATGCGGTGTTTGGTTTTTGTCCTTGTGATAGTTTGCTGAGAATGATGGTTTCCAGCTTCATCCATGTCCCCACAAAGGACATGAACTCATCCCTTTTTATGGCTGCATAGTATTCCATGGTGTATATGTGCCACATTTTCTTAATCCAGTCTATCATTGATGGATATTTGGGTTGGTTCCAAGTCTTTGCTACTGTGAATAGTGCCTCAATAAACATACGTGTTCATGTGTCTTTATAGCAGCATGATTTACAATCTTTTGGGTATGTACCCAGTAATGGGATGGCTGGGTCAAATGGTATTTCTAGTTCTAGATCCCTGAGGAATCGCCACACTGTCTTCCACAGTGGTTGAACTAGTTTACAGTCTCACCAACAGTGTAAAAGTGTTCCCATTTCTCCACATCCTCTCCAGCGCCTGTGGTTTCCAGACTTCTTAATGATCGCCATTCTAACAGATGTGAGATGGTATCTCATTGTGGTTCTGATTTGCATTTCTCTGATGGCCAGTGATGATGAGCATTTTTTCATGTGTCTGTTGGCTGCATAAATGTCTTCTTTTGAGAAGTGTCTGTTCATGTCCTTCGCCCACTTGTTGATGGGGTTGTTTGTTTTTTTCTTGTAAATTTGTTTGAATTCTTTATAGATTCTGGATATTAGCCCTTTGTCAGATGAATAGGTTGCAAAAATTTTCTCCCATTCTTTAGGTTGCCTGTTCACTCTGATGGTAGTTTCTTTTGCTGTGCAGAAGCTCTTTAGTTTAATTAGATCCCATTTGTCAATTTTGGCTTTCGTTGCCATTGCTTTTGGTGTTTTAGACATGAAGTCCTTGCCCATGCCTATGTCCTGAATGGTATTGCCTATGTTTTCTTCTAGGGTTTTTATGGTTTTAAATCTAACATGTAAGTCTTTAATCCATCTTAAATTAATTTTTGTATAAGATGTAAGGAAGGGATCCAGTTTCAGCTTTCTACATATGGCTAGCCAGTTTTCCCAGCACCATTTGTTAAATAGGGAATGCTTTTCCCATTTCTTGTTTTTGTCAGGTTTGTCAAAGATCTGATGGTTGTAGATGTGTGGTATTATTTCTGAGGGCTCTGTTTTGTTCCATTGATCTATATCTCTGTTTTGGTACCAGTACCATGCTGTTTTGGTTACTGTAGCCTTGTAGTATGGTTTGAAGTCAGGTAGCGTGATGCCTCCAGCTTTGTTCTTTTGGCTGAGGATTGACTTGGCAATGCGGGCTCTTTTTTGGTTCCATATGAACTTTAAAGTAGTTTTTTCCAATTCTGTGAAGAAAGTCATTGGTAGCTTGATGGGGATGGCATTGAATCTGTAAATTACCTTGGGCAGTATGGCCATTTTCACGATATTGATTCTTCCTACCCATGAGCATGGAATGTTCTTCCATTTGTTTGTATCCTCTTTTATTTCCTTGAGCAGTGGTTTGTCGTTCTCCTTGAAGAGGTCCTTCACATCCTTTGTAAGTTGGATTCCTAGGTATTTTATTCTCTTTGAAGCAATTGTGAATGAGAGTTCACTCATGATTTGGCTCTCTGTTTGTCTGTTATTGGTGTATAAGAATGCTTGTGATTTTTGCACATTGATTTTGTATCTTGAAAGTTTGCTGAAGTTGCTTATCAGCATAAGGAGATTTTGGGCTAAGACAATGGGGTTTTCTAGATATACAATCATGTCATCTGCAAACAGGGACAATTTGAGTTTCTCTTTTCCTAATTGAATACCCTTTACTTCCTTCTCCTGCCTGATTGCCCTGGCCAGAAATTCCAACACTATGTTGAATAGGAATGGTGAGAGAGGGCATCCCTGTCTTGTGCCAGTTTTCTAAGGGAATGCTTCCAGTTTTTGCCCATTCAGTATGATAATGGCTGTGGGTTTGTATAAATAGCTCTTATTGTTTTGAGATACGTCCCATCAACACCTAATTTATTGAGAGTTTTTAGAATGAAGGGCTGTTGAATTTTTCAAAGGTCTTTTCTGCATCTATTGAGATAATCATGTGGTTTTTTTCTTTAGTTCTGTTAATATGCTGGATTACGTTTATTGATTTGCATATGTTGAACCAACCTTGCATCCCAGGGATGAAGCCCACTTGATCATGGTGGATAAGCTTTTTGATGTGGATTTGGTTTGCCAGTATTTTATTGAGGATTTTTCCATCGATGTTCATCAGGGATATTGGTCTAAAATTCTCTGTTTTTGTTGTGTCTCTGCCAGACTTTGGTATCAGGATGATGCTGGCCTCATAAAATGAGTTAGGGAGGATTCCCTCTTTTTCTACTGATAGGAACAGTTTCAGAAGGAAAGGTACCAGCTCCTCCTTGTACCTCTGGCAGAATTCGGCTGTGAATCCGTCTGGTCCTGAACTTTTTTTGGTTGGTAAGCTATTAATTATTGCCTCAATTTCAGAGCCTGTTATTGGTCTATTCAGAGATTCAACTTCTTCCTGGTTTAGTCTTAGGAGGGTGTATGTGTCCAGTAATTTATCCATTTCTTCTAGATTTTCTAGTTTATTTGTGTAGAGGTGTTTATAGTATCTTCTGATGGTAGTTTGCATTTCTGTGTGATTGGTGGTGATATCCCCTTTATCATTTTTTATTACATCTATTTGATTCTTCTCTCTTTTCTTCTTTATTAATCTGGCTAGTGGTCTATACATTTTGTTGATCTTTTCAAAAAACCAGCTCCTGGATTCACTGATTTTTTGAAGGGATTTTTGTGTCTCTATCTCCTTCAGTTCTGCTCTGATCTTAGTTATTTCTTGCCTTCTGCTAGCTTTTGAATGCGTTTGCTCTTGCTTCTCTAGTTCTTTTAAATTGTGATGTTAGGGTGTCAATTTTGCATCTTTCCTGCTTTCTCTTGTGGGCATTTAGTGCTATAAATTTCCCTCTACACACTGCTTTGAATGTGTCCCAGAGATTCTGGTATGTTGTGTCTGTGTTCTCGTTGGTTTTAAAGAATATCTTTATTTCTGCCTTCATTTCATTATTTACCCAGTAGTCATTCAGGGGCAGGTTGTTCAGTTTGCATGTAGTTGAGTGGTTTTGAGTGAGTTTCTTAATCCTGAGTTCTAGTTTGATTGCACTGTGTTCTAAGAGACAGTTTGTTATAATTTCTGTTCTTTTACATTTGCTGAGGAATGCTTTACTTCCAACTATGTGGTCAATTTTGGAATAAGTGCATTGTAGTACTGAGAAGAATGCACATTCTGATAATTTGGGGTTGAGAGTTCTGTAGATGTCTATTAGGTCCGCTTAGTGCAGAGCTGAATTCAATTCTGGATATCCTTGTTAACTTTCTGTCTCGTTGATCTGTCTAATATTGACAGTGGGGTGTTAAAGTCTCCCATTATTGTTGTGTGGGAGTCTAAGTCTCTTTGTAGGTCTCTAAGGACTTGCTTTATGAATCTGGGTGCTCCTGTATTGGGTGCATATAAATTTAGGATAGTTAGCTCTTCTTGTTGAATTGATCCCTTTACCATTATGTAATGGCCTTCTTTGTCTCTTTTGATCTTTGTTGGTTTAAAATCTGTTTTATCAGAGACTAGGATTGCAACCCCTGTCTTTTTTTGTTTTCCATTTGCTTGGTAGATCATCCTCTATTCCTTTATTTTGAGCCTATGTGTGTCTCTGCATGTGAGATGTGTTTCCTGAATACAGCACACTGATGGGTCTTGACTTTTTATCCAATTTGCCAGTCTGTGTCTTTGTCTTTCAATTGGAGCATTTAGCCCATTTACATTTAAGGTTAATATTGTTATGTGTGAATTTGATCCTGTCAGTATGATATTAGCTGGTTATTTTGCTCGTTAGTTGATGCAGTTGCTTCCTAGCATTGACGGTCTTTACAATTGGGCATGTTTTTGCAGTAACTGGTACCGGTTGTTCCTTTCCATGTTTAGTGCTTCCTTTAGGAGCTCTTTTTGGGCAGGCTTGGCGGTGACAAAATCTCTCAGCATTTGCTTGTCTGTAAAGGATTTTATTTTTCCTTCAGTATGAAGCTTAGTTTGGCTGGATATGAAATTCTGGGTTGAAAATTCTTTTCTTTAAGAATGTTGAATATTGGCCCCCACTCTCTTCTGGCTTGTAGAGTTTCTGCTGAGAGATCAGCTATTAGTCTGATGGGCTTCCCTTTGTGAGTAACCCGACATTTCTCTCTGGCTGCCCTTAACATTTTTTCCTCATTTCAACTTTGGTGAATCTGACTATTATGTGTCTTGGGGTTGCTCTTCTCGAGGAGTATATTTGTGGCATTCTCTGTATTTCCTGAATTTGAATATTGGCCTGCCTTGCTAGGTTGGAGAACTTCTGGACAATATCCTGCAGAGTGTTTTCCAACTTGGTTCCATTCTCCCCCTCACTTTCAGGTACAGCAATCAGACGTAGATTTGGTCTTTTCACGTAGTCCCACATTTCTTGGGGGCTTTGTTCATTTCTTTTTATTCTTTTTTCTCTAAACTTCTAGCCTCATTTCACTCATTTGATCTTCAATCACTGATACCCTTTCTTCCAGTTGATTGAATTGGCTACTGAGGCTTGTGTATTCGTCACGTAGTTCTCATGCCATGGTTGTCAGCTCCATCATGTCATTTAAGGACTTCTCTACATTGGTTATTCTAGTTAGTCATTTGTCTATTTTTTTTTTCAAGGTTTTTAACTTCTTTTCGATGGGTTCGAACTTCCTCCTTTAGCTTGGAGAAGTTTGATCGTCTGAAGCCTTCTTCTCTCAACTCTTCAAAGTCATTCTCCGTCCAGCTTTGTTTCATTGCTGTTGAGGACCTGCGTTCCTTTGGAGGAGGAGAGGCACTCTGATTTTTAGAATATTCAGTTTTTCTGATCTGTTTTTTCCCCATCTCTGTGGTTTTATCTACCTTTGGTCTTTGATGATGGTGACTAGCAAATGGGGTTTTTGTCTCAGAGGGGTACCCGGCCATGTGAGGTGTCAGTCTCCTCCTACTGGGGGATGCCTCCCAGTTAGACTGCTTGGGGGTCGGGGACTCACTTGAGGAGACAGTTTGTCTATTCTGAGATCTCAAACTCCATGCTGGGAGAACCACTACTCTCTTCAAAGCTGTCAGACAGGGACATTTAAGTTGCAGAGGTTTCTGCTGCCTTTTGTTCAGCTATGCCCTGCCCCCAGAGGTGGAGTCTACAGAGGCAGGCAGGCCTCCTTGAGCTGTGGTGGTCTCCACCCAGTTCGAGCTTCCTGGCCACTTTTTTTACCTGCTCAAGCCTCAGCAATGGTGGGCGCCCCTCCCCCAGCCTCACTGCCGCCTTGTAGTTCCATCTCAGACTGTTGCGCTAGCAATGAGAGAGGCTCCATGAGCATGGGACCCTCCAAGCCAGACATGGGATATAATCTCCTGGTGTGCCGTTTGCTAAGACCATTGGAAAAGCACAGTATTTGGGTGGGAATGACCTGATTTTCCAGGTGCTGTCTGTCACAGCTTTGCTTGGCTAGGAAAGGGAATTCCCTGACCCCTTGTGCTTCCCAGGTGAGGTGATGCCTCCCCCTGCTTCGGCTCATGCTCAGTGTGCTGCACCCACTGTCTGGCAACCACTGTCCGATAAGCCCTAGTGAGATGAACCCGGTACCTCAGTTGGAAATGCAGAAATCACCCATCTTCTGTGTCGCTCATGCTGGGAACTGTAGACTGGAGCTGTTCCTATTCAGCCATCTTGGAACTGCCTCAATAGCTTTTAAGAGTGTGAAGAAGTCTTGAAACCAAAAAGATGACATAAAGGAACTTCAGTTGGGCAGGAGCCACGTTTCTACTCCAAGCCTTTAACTTACTTCAGCTGTCATTTAGAGAAGAAATAATATAGTGCTCATTGCTCTTGGTCTCACTATTTGAGTATTAAAAAGTAGTCCAAGTCACCAAGGGTGCAATGGTCAAGTTAGCAGAAGAAGACTCCACGTAGAGAACTAGCTGGAAACTCACCTTGTACTTCCCCACTCTGCCAACTCTCTCTTCTCTCGCAGATAATGAGTGGGCTCAGTTTAAAAGTCCTTTATGCCAATGCCGATGTGAGAAGAGTGTTTCCTAGGTTGTCTTCCAGGATTTTTATAGTTTGAGATCTTATATTTAAACCTTTAATCGATTTTGAGCTGATCTTTGTATATGGTGAAAAGTAGAGATTCAACTTAAATCTTCTGCATATGGCCCGCCAGTTATCCCAGCACCATTTGTTGAATAGAGAGTCCTTTCCTCATTGTTTGATTTTGATGGCCTTGTCAAAGATCAGATGGTTTTAGGTGTGTGAATTTGCTTCTGAGTTTTCTATTCCATTCCACTGGTCTATGTGTCTGTTTTTGTACCACTGCCAAGCTGTTTTAGTTACTGTGGCTTTATAGTGTAGTTTGAAGTCGAGTAGTGTGATGCCTCTAGCTTTGCTCTCTTGCTTAGGATTGCTTTGGATACTCAAAGCAAAAATAGACAAGTGGAACCTAATTAAACTAAGGAGCTTCTGCACAGCAAAAGAAACTATCAACAGAGCAGACAGACAACCTACAGAATGGGAGAAGATGTTTGCAAACTATATATCCAACAAAGGCCTAATATCCAGAATCTATAGAGAACAAAGAAATTAACAAGTAAAAATCAACCCCATTAAAAATGGGCAAAGGACATGAACAGACATTTCTCAAAAGATAACATGGGGCCAGGCATGGTGGCTCATGCCTGTAATCCCAGCACTTTGGGAGGCTGAGGCAGGTGGATCATGAGGTCAGGAGATTGAGACCATCCTGGGTAACATGGTGAAATCCTGTCTCTACTAAAAATACAAAAAAATTAGCCGGATATGGTGGCATGCCCTTGTAGTCTCAGTTACTTGGGAGGCTGAGGCAGGAGAATCACTTGAACCTGGGAAGCAGAAGTTGCAGTGAGCTGAGATTGCGCCACTGCACTCCAGCCTGGGTGACAAAGCGAGACTCTGAAAAAATAAAAAAGACATATAGGTGGCCAAAAAAACAGGAAAGAAATGCTAAAACGCTCAGCTTCACTAATCATCAGAGAAATGCCAAGCAAACCACAGTAAGTTACCATGTCAAGCCAGTCAGAATGGCTATTATTAAAAAGTCAAAAAACATCAGATGTTGGTGAGGCTGTGGAGAAGAGGGAATGCTTATGTACCGCTAGTGGGAATGTAAATTAGTTCAGCCACTGTAGAAAGCAGACTGAAGATTTCTCAAAGAACTTGAAACAGAACTACCATTCAATCCAAAAATCACACTACAAGGTATATACCCAAAATAAAAGATTTTATTTTACCCAAAAGACACATGAACGCATATATTCATAGCTGCACTATTCCCGATAGCAAAGACATGGAACTAATCCAGGTGCCCATCAATGGTAGATTGAATAAAGAAAATGTGGTACATGGGAGGCCGAGGCAAGCAGATCACGAGGTCAGGAGTTCAAGACCAGCCTGGCCAACATGGTGAAACCCCGTCTCTACTAAAAATACAAAAAATTAGTCAGGCGTGGTGGCAGGCACCTGTAATCCCAACTACTTGGGAGGCTGAGGCAGGAGAATCACTTGAACTCAGGAGGCAGAGGTTGCAGTGAGCCAAGACCACACCACTGCATTCCAGCCTGGGCAATAGAGTGAGACCCTGTCTCAAAAAAAAAAAAGAAAATGTGGTACGTACACACCATGGAATACTATATAGCCATAAAAAGAATGAAATCATGTCCTTTGCAGCAACATGGATGGAACTAGAGGCCATGATCCTAAGCAAATTAACACCAGAACAGAAAACCAAATACTGCATCTTCTCAATAATAATTGGGAGCTAAACATCGAGCACACATGTACATAAATATGGAACAATAGACTCTGGGGACTACTAGAAGGTGGAGGGAGGGGAGGAGTGGGCTAAAAACTATCTCTTGGGTACTGTGCTCACTACTTGGGTGATGAGATCTGTATTTTAAACCTCAGCATTACACACTATTCCCATGTAACAAATCCACAGATGATCTCCTGTATCTGAAATAAATGTTAATTTTTTTAAAAAATAAGCCCAGGCCTGTAATGCCAGCACTTTGGGAGGCCGAGGCGGGCCGATCGTGAGGTCAGGAGATTGAGACCATCATGGCGAACACGGTGAAAACCCATCTCTACTAAAAAAAAAAAAAAGAAAAGAAAGTACAGGAAAATTAGCCAGGGATGGTGGCGGGCACCTGTAGTTTCAGCTACTAGGGAGGATGAGGCTGGAGAATGGCATGAATCCGGGGGGTGGAGCTTGCAGTGAGCGGACATCGCGCCACTGCACCCCAGCCTGGGCAACAGAGTGAGACTTCATCTCAAAAAAATAAAAAATAAAATAAAAATAAAAATAAATAAAAAATAAGCCCTGTATGGAAGTGAAATTATCAAGCAGCTGACCCATAGCACGTGGAACGCTACTATGAAATAAGTCCCGGATATCACCTTTTTTAGACAGTTACTAGTCCAAAAGGATTTACACCATGAATTTCCACAATAGACTACTTTCCCCTGGATCCCCCACCCCTGAAACAGTACCTTGTCCCCTGAAGTAGTTTCTCTGAACTGGACCTATACCTAGCATTTTTACAAATGTTTTATTGCGAAATATTTGAACCATTTCATGTAATCGTTATTTTAAGAAAAAAATGTCCTAGAAGCTTCCCCGCCAGACCAGCCCTATCTATAAGCAATGACTTTCAAGTTCTGAGTATAAGCAATACCCAAGGGTTTGTTGGAAGAAACATTTCTATTATTGTTAATGATGAAAATGTTTGGCTAGGGAGTATATCCATTTTCCTCTTTGTCATTTATAATCAATTACTCATAGTAACCCTAAGTGGAGAGTATATTTTTATGGCAGTTGTGCTTCAGAAAGAGAAGAGATATTCTGAGTGATTGGTTATTAAGTTTCGTCTATCTATAACCTTCAAGGCAAGGCAACTGGAAAAGTGGGAGGTATATTTTCAAAAATCATTTAGTTTCTCTGTCAAATTATTTTGACTGTATCTTAAAATAAATGGAATAAAAACCTGGAAAATGTGTTAGTACTAGACCTTAGAAACACAAAGTGATAATATGCCAGATATATGTGTAATGCATATTAAAGTGTGATAGATTGATTTTAAAAATTTGATCTCTTTTAGATGACAATGTTTTCTTTTGGAGCTGTGCCTGAGGAAAGTGCAGAAACTTAAAACTACCTTTTTACATATTTTTAAGAAAATTAAAGGGAAAACATTTGAAAAGTAATGCATCTCACTTGTTTTATTGGTTTGATATCTCAAGCTCTTGAACTCAAGAAATCAATTAAAAAACATTTATTTGTGGAGAAAGGACAAGCAATAACACATGCGAATGATATAGAGCACTGGAAATAAGTGAAATCGGAAAAGAAAGGGAGAAAAAAATAGAGGCAAAACTTAACAACATGCTACCTAGTGATGAAGATGTTTCATGTTGTTTGAAGATGAAGGAGATGGAGCACATCCTCATTATTGGTCACAAATTTTTTCTGGAGTTTTTGTGTATGAAAGTTGATAACAAGAAAACTTTAAAAATTGAGTGTTGAATCAGTGTGGTGAAAGCTGACTTTAGTTGAAAAGAGATTGAAATGTGAGGACAGATGTCCTTGTTATTAACACCCCGGGGGAGGGGGCTGGGTGTAGAATGCTGATTTCAATATGATTTCTGTTAAAAAACAAAACCACAAACTTTGTCATATAGAAACAGGGCCTGGAAGAAGAAACACTCTAAACATTTGAATGTTATCTTTATTAATAATATTGCTGGTTTTGGAGAATTAGTCTTATTTCTATAAGAACTTTACTTTTTAACGTTATGCATGCGTGTTTGTGTGCGTGTGTGTGTGTGTGCATGTTCTTTTTTTTCTATATGTCAGTACTAGTTGCAAACATGGAATCTGACAATGGTTGATTATCACCAAATTCAATTAAAGGCTTTTACACCAAACACAAGTCCCTGTTATAACCTGAAACAAATTGAAATAGCAAACCAAAGAAATATTTGTTGGCTCACGCCTGTAATCCCAGCACTTTGGGAGGCCGAGGCGGGTGGATCACGAGGTCAGGAGTTTGAGACCAGCCTGACCAACATGGTGAAACCCCGTTTCTACTAAAAATACAAAAATTAGTGGGGCGTAGTGGTGTGCACCTGTATTCCCAGCTACTCAGGAGGCTGAGGCAGGGGAATCGCTTCAGGAAGTGGAGGTTGCAGTGAGCTGAGATCACACCACTGCACTCCAGCCTGGGTAACAGAGCAAGACTCGGTCTCAAAAAAATAAAAAAGAAATATTTGTATAATAATAAAAGTGCTTGTATTGTGTCCTTACGGAAATATAATCCTGCGAAGAGTTAACAATATGTGACATAATTCAATGGATCCATTAGTAAGACTAAAATATACCCCATAACTTTAGGAAAGCAGTTTCCAAAAGCTTGGAGCAAATGTTGGAAGGTGTCTTTGGACAGATATAATAAATAGGAATGAAGGGCTCCTAAACAAGAATCTTGACTGTAGCATCATAGATGATCTCATAAAGGAAGTTGAGGAAAGATCGAAAAGGATTACTGTGTCTGTTTAGAGAGCTCTTTGAGCTCAGACATAAAAGATCACATACAAAAGAGGCACATGACCAAGGACAAGCACAAAAGAGTGGCACATATATAAAGAGTAGGGTCAGCAAGGCTAAAAGTCCAGAAAGACTGAGAAATGCTAATGACCACAAAAGTCCTAAAAACTACATGTGGAGCAAGCTAAGAAACAAGAAAGAGACTGACTCAAACTCAGAAAAACTAACATGATGTTAAAAGATGGCAGAGAAAAAGCAAAACTTTATAATTCCTTCTCTCCTTCTTTATTCTTTACCAAACACTAAACTTGTTTATTTGGCATCAATTTAATGAGCATAGACAGAGTTATTTCAGAGAATAAGTGAAATGATTTATGTACTGGTGCTGCTCTAACTTATAAAATTACTATGAAGATGTGAATTTCTGTGACTAAATAACTCTATCTGAGGATTTTCACATGTGCAAATGCTTAGACTCATCACACACATTGAAGAGTAATACTTGTTGCTCATCCCGCGGAGAATGCTTTCATAAACAGTGTCACAGACATCGCACCATTTGTCCACCAATATGTCCTTTTAGCTTTTAGTTTTATCTTCAACACAGACCCACATTTGGACTACTTTGCCACATGCCAATTTTTACCACTTCTCACTATGTCCACTGCTAACATCCTAGTCCCAAATAACATTGTCTTTCACCGGAACCATCTCCTAGCTTAATTTTTCTCACCCCTGCTTACTTCTGCAGCTTCTCACTCTTTCCCAACCCCTGTTCTATTTCTCTCTCTCTCTGTCTCTCTCTTTCACATATCCACATGAATGCACACAGACACACCCACACACACCCAGACACACACACCCTTATATTTTTCTATTCTCCACATAGCAAATCAGGATGATAATTTTAAAACAAAAAGCAGATTTAAGGAGGCACTCCCTCTCACTTTCATGCAAGTGTCCACAAAACTTCCAGAACCATTGGAAACATCCAGAACATCCAGTGGGACGTATAGACATAGGCAGGATAAAATGTTAAAATGTCGCCAGCCATCATGTTCTTTCCTAGTGCTCCCATGGCTGGTCCTTGGCACTCTGCCTCTCTGAGATCTCATTTAACTTCTCTGTCTTTTGCTTTATGTTTTCTACCGACACTGATACCAGTGACTCACCACAGGATCAGCGGGCCTTGTTGCACTGTAGTCTCCTAATTTCACCTTGCTATGAAGGTATGGTGAATTTCAACATGGTCTTCCTCATTCAAAAACTGCATGTGCTAAACAACAGCTAACATCATGATACATCATCATGGCTTCCATTTTGTAGTTCAGATAAGCTTATGGTTAATATTACTCTAGTAATGTTGTATGCAACCGGTTTGATGAAAAGGCATAACTTATGCAATATGATCAAAGCAAGATTTATTTTTATCTCTCACTACCCCTTTAAATTCCTGGATGAAAATATGGTCAAGTTCCCTGGCTTTTCTTGTCCATCTTGAGTAATAGTTAGTCTTACAATCTCTTTGATTATTCACATTAAAAATTAGAATCTTCCAAGCTGTTCTGAGGCTTAAAGAAAAAGAAATTAGAATGCCCTGCCCTTGATAATAAAACCCTGAATTTGATTCAAAGTCAAATCCTTTACACTCCCCCAATCAGGCCGACATGGGCAGGTCATTTACAATAGGAAAGGAAGGCAGCCCTTTTCTTTTTCCCTCCTCAGTCCTTCTACTCTAGCTGAGTAAAGATAGTTTCAGACTCCTCGGGGATGGAAACATGGGGAGACGAGAGAGGAAAGGAAGGTGTGGTGGTGGTTTCCAAACACGAACACAAATCCTTTGCTGTTCTCCTTCAGAGGCAGGATATGTGTGCCAGTACCTTAGGATCTTGGTGGACTTGTGACTGTTTTTCCCAAGAGGGCATAGTGGAAGTGACATCATGGGACTCGTGAGGCTAGGTCATAAGAGGCTGTGCTGTGTCTTCTTGGTGCTCTTGGGATAGATTATTCTGTTAGAATGCTGTCTCTCAGAATACAGTCATCATGAGGAGAAAAACCCAAGGTACATGAAAAGGTTGACTGTAATTGCTTCACTTAAGTGTCCTAGCTAAAGCCAGCTTTTGAGCAACCTGATGAGACCCCAGGACCAGGACTATGTCCAGGAAAGTGAGGCACTAAAGGCACACAATTTAGGGTGACATTCACTTTTAGAGTCTTCCAAGTGTAGCGTCGACCCTTGCATGAAAGTCAGAGGGAGTGCCTCCTTAAATTTTGCACCCTGGGCATCCTACTTGCTTTATCCTGGTCTGGTCTTGCCCAGCTCCTATCTGTTTGAAATACCCTGAGTCATTCCAGTTTTCCTGGATGAAGGTCCAGATACCATGGAGCAAAAATGCCATCCTCACTATGCACTGCTGGAATATCCAACTCACAGAATCCATGAACATAATAAAACTCATGTTGTGTTACGTTGCTAAATTCAGGGTGTTTATCTATCTATCACGCAGTAATAGATAATTACACAGGGCAAGGATTTTCTTACTTGTACTGGACTTGAACTTGTTAGTTCAGGTATTTTTGTGGTCTCTGGGCCTGGTAAATGTTTAATATTGACTCTTGCTCTCAGTCATTTTTAGAAGTTCCCTTTTGATACTTTCTAGGGGCAACTCCTATGACCCAAGAAGAGGGTGGGATCCACAACATAGTCATCTCCAAAAAGTTTTTCTCACAAATGTCCCTCTTCCCTGGTTTCCTCTCTTGACTCTTTTCTTAAAGTGGGTGAAAGGCTCCAGAGTGAAGAGCACAAGAGTCGAGAAACATGCTCCAAACATTTCCCTGTAAATTCAACTCTGGCAAATTTGCTCACACTCGCTTTGCTGCCCAATTGCTGGCACTTTTTGTTGAAACATAGAGTCTTATTTTAATATTCTATTAAATGGGATATAATTTGTTAATTTTATTTTGCTAATAAATTCATTTAATAGCTTTATAATTGGTAATCTTGTATTTATAGAATCATTATTGATTTGCAGGAATCATATAGAATGTTCAATTATGTTTGACTTGAATTTTTTCTATAGTTATATCTGATAATTTGAGGATCTGTGAAGGACTGAGTAGCATTTCTTGCAAATCTCAAGGACTTTCTGTATATCTAGGGGCAGATAAGAAAGCAATGATAGTGAAAAAACTGCTGTCTCTTCTATTTATGGTCTGGATTGCCTAGCAGTGCCATTCAAGGTGAGGAGCGTCAAGGTCAAGATGGACTATTTATTAATGTGGTGAGTGTTTTACAGTTAGGAGCATTCTTGTTGTCACCTCCATTTTTAACTGCTTAGAGCCTGCCTCAGTAGCTATAATGAACCGTTTCTGGCTCAGTGCCTGGAACATAATAGTTGCTCAATACTTATTTGTTTAATGGTTATGAGTGAGAGTTGTAGAGCAGAGGTTGGCAAACTTTTCTTCTAAAGGTCAGATGGTAAATATTTTAGGTACACGTTTTAGAAATCAAATATTTGGTTTCTGTTACAAATACTTAACTCTGTTGAGGTAGTGTGAAAACAGACACAGACAATATGTAAATGAATGGGCATGGCTGTGCTCCTATAAAATTTTATTTACAAATCAGGTGGTAGGCCAGATTTGGCCCATGGGCCAACCCCTTGCTTTAGAGTCAGACAAATCTAGGCTTTGAAACTAGCTCTATTGCATGCCAGCCATAGGACTTTTAGAAGGTCATGTAATTTATCTGTGCATAGGTTTCCTTATTTGTAAAATGACAGTAGTTATTTATTTTTCACTGTTGTTATAAGGATCGTATGATATATGCCATTTCTATGGCTGGCATGCAATAGAGCTAGTTTCAAAGCCTAGATTTGCCTGACTCTAAAGCAGGGGTTGGCCCATGGGCCAAATCTGGCCTACCACCTGTTTTGTAAATAAAATTTTATAGGAGCACACCCTTGCCCATTCATTTATATATATATATGAATATATTTATGTGTATATATATGAATATATTTATGTGTGTGTGTGTATATATATATATATATATATATGAGGCAGTTAGCATATTATCTAGGATATCTTAAGCATTCAGGAAAGTGGTTGTAGCTATCATTATTTCTATGCTTCCTCAAACCCATGAAGTATTGGCAATTTCTTTAGATTAGGTTCCTAGAATTAGTCTCACTGTAGCATTGCAACAGGGGAAGCTCTTCTGCAAAATGATGGTCTACTTTAATTATCTCTATCCTTGATTTTTCAGGATGCATTATCCTGAAGTTTCACTAGCTGCCCTCACCCCTCTAGGAATGTTTATTAAATTTTCTACTCCTTCCTGCCATTTATCGAGTTTACTTCTTTGTAATAAGAGTTTTCTTATTGTGCTTTTCACATGAAACTCTTAATTCCTGAATTCATTCCCTAACTTCTGCCTAAATTGTATTTTGAAAGTATACTATGATGTTACCTTTGTAATTAAGAAACATTTGATTATTCCTAGATGACTACAGAAAAAAGTGTAAATTTCTTAGCCTGTCATTCAAGATGCTACCTCTTATCCAATCTGCTTTTCCAGCTCTATCTCTCAATTTTACTCCTAATGTAATCTGTATTTTGCCCCTGTAAGATATTAATTTTTGTCTTTTGTTTATTTATTTTTTCGAGACAGGGTTTTGCTGTGTCACTCAGACTGGAGTGCAGTGGCACAATCACAGCTCACTGCAGTCTCAATCATCTGGGCTCAAAAGATCCTCCCACATCAGCCCCTGAGTAGCTGGGACTACAGGCATGTGCCACCATGCTTTCCTATATCTTTTTTACTTTTTTTAGAGATGGGGTCTCACTATGTTGCCCAGGCTGGTCTCAAACTCCTAGGCTCAAGCAATCCTCCTGCCTTGGCCTCCCAAAGTGCTGGGATTATACAGGTGTGAGCCACTGTGCCTAGCCACTTTTGTCTTTTTATCCTGAAAAGTGTCATGTTTTGCTCTTGTGCTTTTTATAATTATTTATATTTATATTATGATTAGTTGTTCAGAAATCTTTCTCTCCAGCTAAATTGTGAGGTTCTTGTTCTTGACAGTAGGGCTATCTCCTAAATATTTAAATTAATGAAAAAAATTTTTTGGACAGTCAAAAATGTAAAATGGAATGGTTTTTTGCAATAACCTCCTTGGGAAAAGGCATGTTAAACACTGTAACTGTCCTCATGATCGTCTCTTTTAGTACCTTATTTTCCAAAGACAGAGTTGAATCCTGAGTCATTCTGAAAAACAGGGAATTTTATATGAGAAAAAAAAGCATACCATACATAGGTTAAGCTGTGACATCTACAAATCTTTTAACCATTCACCCCACACAGGTGGAATTTTTATTTCTATTTACTATGTTATGTGTAAATCTCTATTACAATAATTCTCAGATTTCATTGTAATTATTGTTGACTTATTTTTCCCTATTAGATTTGGAAATCCTTAAGGGTCAGAACCATGTTTTATTATCTTAGTATAGCATCTCGTAGGCACTCAAAAAGTTTGTTGCATAGATAGATGAATGAATGAATGAATGAATGAGTGAATGGTTACATCTTCACCCAACATCTCTTTTAATTAAATATATTAAAGCCACACTGTTTTAGTTAATATGTTGAAAATTCTTTCTGCTTCTAAGTGTGAAGTGAGAATAAAAGCTATTTTAGATGACAAACGTCTTCAAACATTGCTTCATACTATGAATAGCTTTTAAAAGTCCTGAAAACTAAACAAAAAAGCAATTAAGGGGAACAAATTGACATGAAGCTTTGAATTTCTAAGAAAATAATGGGAGAACTATTTTATATGTGTAGATGTTTAAGGCATAAATGTTGGTGTCAGTAGCTTGTCACCACTCTGCTCAATTTGGAGCACTTGCAATGTTGAGAAGTACAAGATGTTAGGAAACAGTAGATGGACAGATGAACTACTGATATGTTGTTTTAGAATGATGTTCTCAGATTAGCTGAATGTGATAGTTTAATTATGATTAGGCTTGTTCACTTCACATTTGACAGAAGTAACATATGCTTGAAAATGTCAATTCAAAATCTACTTGCCTTTTTTTCTGCAAAAATGCTGAATGTTAATGTTCTATGCATTTTAGTCCATAAAGTATTATTTTTGGCTGCAACTGTTATTAAAAAATATAACTTATTTTGCTTCAAGTGTATTCTAGCCTTCAATTCATGTCATCACTCTAGTAAGTCTGTTCTTCCTTAAGAAAATTGCAGACACACTGTGATTAAAATGCTATCATCAGTTAAATAATTTTAAATATTTATAATATTTTTTAGGATAGAAATATCAATAGATATGCTTTTATGGCATTTGTGTTAAAGATTTGAAACAACTCAATAACAAAACATTTTGTTATCTCTCCTTTGTTCTTTATAGGAGATTATTTTTTCCTAAGTTTAGGAAGTTAGGCTTTCTAAGTGAAAAGGTTTTAGCAGTTCTTGAGTCTTTAGGGGCAGCATATAATTTATTCTAGGCAATATGTGATGTTAAAAAAATTCAAAACAATTACAGAAAAATATGGCATTTTGGATATTGATAAAATAATAACAACAACAAATCCCCACAATACGTACAAATTCCAAATTTCTTTGATGAACATGTTGGAGATATTTCAATACACTATTTTTGTATAAGGACCCAGTTGTATGATTATTAGTGCAGGTAAACAAAGCAGAAATCCACACCTGGATTTTATATGAAAACTCATTGCACACCTGCCAATTAGGGCTTTGCTGAATTGCGTGCTGTTGTCTTGTGATGAAGCTGCATCAAGAGCATTGAAAACATCATACATTCTCTAAAAAAAAAAAAAGACCTCAGTCACGGTCTTTGAGGTAGAACCAGGGAGATCAAGGAACTAAAATTCCGAGTCAAGGACTGAGGTTGAGATAATTAAAAAGTGGAAGAGAAGAGAATGCAGTCTCTTAGCAGAGACTGCGTGTACTGACACAGTGCTTTTCTTTGTCAAAGCACCACATAGACACTTAACTTTTTGATCCTTACCCTGTCTTTAAAAACTAATTGTTATTTTCCTTTTTAAGAATGGTGACTAAATAATGTATGATACTAAGTTAATTTCCAAGGCTTCTTCAGGGGTCAATGAAAGCCACAGAACTATAGGTTAGACACCTAAAACTTCTAATATTAGGCCCCAGTACTTTCTCTTAAAAAGTCCCTATAAAAATAACAAAAATTACCTCTTTTTCAATAAAATGGCGTAAGCTTTTCTCAAATTGTCTCAATGTTTTTTAGAGAAGTCATAAAAATGTTTGTTTCAAGTGTGTAGATAAAATATTATATTAATTGTTTGTAAAGACCTGCAAATAAATTATAGCTGAACTTCAAAAAAATCATAAACTTTAAGGTTGGCTAAGGACAAAGTTGTGAAAGGTATAATTTTCTGCAGTGTCTTCCCACATCTCTCCCCACCTCCCTTCTCTCTCTTTTTCTTTAGCAATTCTCTCCCTATAGGTCAGGATCTCTGCCCTAGTAACTCCTGATCTTATGCTGTGTGTTCAAGAACTTCTACTGCTAAGCCATGCATAGTAGTTATTCAGACGTTTGATCGGGAGGAGGCAGATCAAAGTCTGAAAAATATCTGGCCCTTATAAGCTGAGTGACCTTGACAAATTTCTTTTTGACCTCTCCAAGTGTCAATTTCCTCATCTGTCAACTGGGATAATAACCGTGTTTCTCTCAGACTGTGCATGCGAAAAGACTTGGCCCAAATATCTGAAATGTTTGAAATAGTAAATAAATTTGAGTTATTTTTCATGCCACTTCTTTTTTTTTCTCTTCTATTCCTCACTCTCTTCCTGTTACTATTTCCTCAAACTCTCACAACTTGCTCTGATAATTAAATCTTACCTTGCTGTTAATGAAGATTTCATGGTAAATATCTAAAGATGTCTTCATTTAAAAATAAACACTTCCTAGTTTGTGGTGATTTAACCCTTTAATTCTTTTTGAACCTCAAGTGCAGAGGTTTGATTTAATTCATTTATTATTTAATTTGTTATTCTGTTTGTGTTTTTGTAGACTGTGTATTTCTATTTTATTTGCAGGTATCTTAATTTATGTAAATGGTAATACTGTGTGTTAGATCTTAGTCTTTTTCATGCTTCTTTCACTCCACAGGCTATTTTTCAGATCCAGCCAAGTTGTTAAGTGTATGCTGGTCTCTCGTCTTTAATTGTTGTGTAGTACTCGCCAGTGGGCATCAATTCAAAGCTTTTAAACTTTCACAAAAGAACTTCTAAAGACTGAGGAGAGTGAAGATACATCCCCTCAGCCTCTCAAAGGGGAGCCCAGAGCTCTAGGCCCATATTCCTTTGAAATAATTTGATTTATTATTTAAAAAGAAATCATGATTTTTGCATCCTATTTCATAATATGTCCATGTTTGGTTACTATAAAAACAACATTGGGGTTATGGCTGAGTTGTTTAATTGTTATTTTCACTATATCTAGAAAAATGACACTCTAGGAAAATGTACCAATTTTTTTTTTCCTGTTGAGTGTCCATATTCCCTGCGCACTGCCACATATCCCAAGTTTGAGAAGCATGGTCTTAATCTAAAATAAGCAGTTTCTAAAAGTAGGATTTCAGGAAACATTTTGCTTGGGAGACAAAGAATAATACTTAAATTGCTTCTTATTAGGAACTTCAGCTCTGATCAATATACTTAGCACTAAATACTTGAAATATGTCACTTCCCACAGTAAATAGTCGAGGCTACTGTCTTCCACTCCAAGTTAACCATTTGGAATATGGAATAACTAAATGTGTTCCTAAATAAATGCTTTTGAAAGAAGCTAAGTCTTTAGGAGATTTGCCATGGGGTACCTGTAGAATGGCACCATGGGGAGTCTTATATAGGGTTTCAATGAATCTCCCTTTATTTCCATTAACAATTTCCCAAGCCATCTAGAACAACCATATAATCCAAGCAATAACTTCAGATGCCACCCCTTCCAGCCAGGTGGTTTCCCACAACTATTTCCTAGACAGACATTCTAGAGCCACCACATTTCTGTCTTCGTGACTTTGGAAATGCTGTTTTAAGTCTTCCCTCTGTCTTTCACTGATCATTCTTTGTGGTTCAGACAGAGGCTTACCTATTCTATGGTACTTTCCCAAATTCCATTTATTATTGTGTTTCTCTGAACTTCCTTGTCACTTAAAGTTTCCTTAACTTATTCCTTATAATTTACCCTGTTGCTTGTGTGCTTAACTTGATTGTAAACTCCTTGTTGAAAAGAACTATATTTTATATATTTTTTAGAATTTCCCTGGGCACCTCGCACAGAAGTGGACATATAGTAAGCTCTCAATGAATACTTATTATTTGATTGAATTGCCAGCCCTTAGCATGTTTGGTTGAATTTCAATTGTACATGCTGTAAGCCTTGGTACTCAAAGTGTGGATCACAGGCTAAGAGCATGAGCATCACTGGGGAGCTTGTTAGAATTGTAGAATCTGGGTCCCACCTCAGACTCACTGAATCTGAGTCAGCATTCAACACGGTCTCCTGGCTGATTCATATGCACATTAACCTTGAGACATACCTAGTGTTCTTCCAAGCTCGCAGTGTCAGTAGGTTAACAAATTCTATAAATACTCAAATGTCAGAATCATTCAATGTCATCTAAAGCTTAAAGAATATAAAATAACATGTTGAAGGTTCAGAAAATCTTCTAAAACTTGATATCTAGGCTGTATTCCTGGGTGAAATCTGGCACACTCCTTGTTTTTTGTGTAGCCTTTTGATATGGGAGGGGGGCAGGGAAGTGCTGGGTAGAGAAGGGTGAGGTCCTTGGTGAGGGCTCCACCCTCAGGCCTGCATCTGTCGACCTAAGTGAGAACAGGTACTCCTGTTTTCATGCCCGACTGTTGCATTTTCCCAAACCACTGTGGCCTGCCACACTCCCACACACAAGTGGCTGAACATGGAGAGGAGCAGCGGACAGCAGCAGTGAGCAGCAGTGCGGGATGGCAGAGAAGGAGGGAAGAAGCACCTGAATGTCAAGAGGAGTTCGCAGAGAACAGTCAAACTCCAGGGTATGATTATCTCTCCCACCCCTTCACCTTCCGGCTCCCCATCCATCTCACTGAGAGCCACCTCCACCATCAATAAAACCTTGCACTGATCCTTCAAGCCTGCACGTCACTTGATTTTTCCAGGATACTGGGCAAGAGCTCAAGATACAGAAGGCTGTCACCCTGGCCCTGGGTCCTTGCAATAAGGCAGAGGGTCCATTGAGCTGATTAACATTCAAGCTGTCTTCAGATGGCAAAGCTGAAAGAGGTTTGTAATACTGGGGTTGCAGGCACTCACTCCTACATACTACCACAGGGCCGAGAGCCCAAAGCCCTCGCCCAGGCCTCTGCACCTGCCTGCCTGCATGCTCCCGCTAGGGGTTTGAGCTGCCCGGAGATGGAACAGGCAAGCCACACCCCTGCTACCTGTCCCACGAAGGGAATCAGAGAACTCTCCCATTTCACTATGAATTAAGAATTTTTTTTTACATTTTCAAATGGTTAACAAAATCAAAAATAATTTCATGACACATGAACATTATATAAAATCAAATTTTAGTATCTGTAATAAAGTTTTATTGCAATGCAGCCACACCCATTGGTTTACACAATGTCTTTCACTCTACAACACCAAAGCTTTGTAGTTGTGACAGAGACCATATGGCCAGTAAAGCTGAAACTATTTTCTATGTGGCCCTTTACAGAAGAAGGTTTGTTGGTCTGTGATCTAGATTCATGCTTATAGACTGTGATCTAGATTCATGATCTAGATTCTAGCTAAACTTGTGGAAAACGAACCATGAACTTTAGACATTCATCGCCTTTTTTTTTTTTTTTTTTGAGACAGGGTCTCATTTTTTTGCCCAGGGCAGAGTGCAGTGGTATGATCATAGCTCACTGCAGCCTTGGACTCTTGGGCTCAAATGATGTTCTCACCTTGGCCTCCCAAAGTGCTGGAATTACAGGCATAAGCCACCCTGCACAGCCTATTTGTTGACTTTAATATTCTATGTATGCATAACATAGGGGGATGCACAAGCTGCATTATACAATTACCTGCTGTGGAAAATTCTTTTGAAATATTTCAAAGTCATTGTCTTGTGGAATAACAGCTTTCTTTTCTAACCAGTCACAGGAAGTAAGAGAAATAAAAGTGCTTGAAAATATCCAGTATGTCATTGTCATTTATAACTCAGTAAGCTATTACAGTTTTGTCAGGTCCAATCTCTAAGGAGGTGAATGAAAATATATATCTTGGGCAATTTGACCCCTATCAACATCATGCATCGTGGTTACTCTGACATCCGAAGAAGAGCAATTCTGCTCTGTTAACTTGAAGACTCGAAGTTAGTGGTAAAGGTCACTCCCTCCTTCACCTTTAGCTACTGGATATCAGATTGAAATTAAAGTGAGGAGGTCTGGAGAAGGTGTTCTACATCTTCTGTCAAATTAGCCTAATCCTCATTAAGTTGTCTTGCTAATTCAGCATGTTTGAAGGGCTCCTGACACTATGAGAAATGTCACCCTATTACTTTAAAGGACTTAAAGGATATGAAGCTTCTTGGTTTGAGTCAATTCCTCCCGGATGCACCCTAGGGCTTAGGGGTGTGTGTGCCCTTCTTAGCTGCTTGCAGGATTGCTGTGCATCCTTGTGTTTAGCAATACAGAATGGCAGCTACATTGATTGGCTGAATAAAACATAAGACAGGAGAAATCCGAAGGCTGCCTGAAGTACTTGTGTTCTTACATCCTTCACATGCAAGATTTGTTAAAGCAAATAAGTGATACTGTAAAAATAAATGTAATGTAAAAGGTGATAGGTTATCAAATGTTTGCACTCTAAAATTTAAATAAAATCCCACCAGAAATATTTAAGTGCTGAATTTCAAGTTCCTGCTTGAAACAATTCGTTTTGAAAAGTGTATTGTTTAGTTGACAGCTTGCTGGATGACACGCAGTAAAGTGTGGGTTATGCTCTCCTCACTAGTAAAATACGTTTCGAGCCATTCTACTTCTGGGTAATTCATATTCTTTGCTGTATACACTGTGAATACCTGGCTTCTTTCAAATCACTTTCTCTGATGATAAGCAGCCACCACAACACTGTAGGGTTTACTTTAGATGAGGGACTGGAAATGAAATTAGCCATTTAAATAAAACACAAACAATGAAAAAATGTGAACCCGTAACTACTTTACTTTTCTTCCATTCACGTTTTGGGAAGAATTAGAGTGAGTTAAGAAAGAGAAGCTCGACAGTGGGTATGATATCAAGCTTGAAGTGAATTGGAAAATGTCACCCAAGAGTCTCTAGGTTTCACCAACCTGGGGTTGCAAATGGGACCATGATAATAGTAGCCAGAATGTTATTATTTCTTGCTCCAAATTTTAATACTGAAGCACCAGGCAAAATCCTCAGCCTGGTGCCGGTGTCCTCCTTCCTAGCCCTATTGATTTTTCCAGACACTAAGGTCTCAGAGGGCACTGCTTCTGTTGGGCCAGGCACCACAATTGATGCGCCACAGTCCTCAAAGTGCCTAAATTGGGCTGGGTGCTCAGTGAATCAGGAGAAAATGTCTCTCTCCTCTTTGATAGACTGTTCTGGAGGTCCCAGTATGGTGCTCTTGTGCATCAATATTTTACAATGCAAAGAAATCCTTGAAATGTTTACTTACAAATCTTTTTTTTTTTTTTTTACATTTTAAAATATATTTATTGATATTTTGGGGTAGATGTGATATTTTGATACACGTATACAATATATAATGATCAAATCAGGGTAATCAGGATACCCATCCCCTCAAACATTTATCTTTTATCTTTTCTTTGTGTTGGGGACATTACCCAACACAATTTTCCTCTTCTGGGTATTTTGAAATCTATAAGATGTTATTGTTAACTATAATTTCCCTGCTGTACTATTGAATACAAGAACTTTTTTTTTTTTTTTTTTTTTTTTTAGGCAGGGTCTCACTCTGTCGCCCAGGCTGGAGTGCAGTAGCGTAATCTTGGCTCACTGCAACCTCTGCCTCCTGGGCCCAAGCAATCCTCCCACCTCAGCCTCCTGAGTAGCTGGGATTACAGGCACGTGCCACCATGCCTAGCTAATTTTTGTATTTTTTGTAGAGACAGCATCTTGCCATATTGCCCAGGCTGGTCTCAAACTCCTGAGCTCAAGCGATCCACCTGCCCCTGCCTCCCAAAGTGCTGAGATTACAGGCGTGAGCCACCGTGCCCGGCCTGAATACAAGAACTTATTTCTTCTATCTAAGTGTATTTCTGTACCATTATCCAACTTCTCTTTCTTTTTTTTTTTTTTAATTATACTTTAAGTTTTAGGGTACATGTGCACATTGTGCAGGTTAGTTACATATGTATACATGTGCCATACTGGTGTGCTGCACCCACTAACTCGTCATCTAGCATTAGGTATATCTCCTAATGCTATCCCTCCCCCCTCCCCCCACCCCACCACAGTCCCCAGAGTGTGATATTCCCCTTCCTGTGTCCATGTGATCTCACTGTTCAATTCCCACCTATGAGTGAGAATATGTGGTGTTTGGTTTTTTGTTCTTGCGATAGTTTACTGAGAGTGATGATTTCCAATTTCATCCATGTCCCTAGAAAGGACATGAACTCATCATTTTTTATGGCTGCATAGTATTCCATGGTGTATATGTGCCACATTTTCTTAATCCAGTCTATCATTGTTGGACATTTGGGTTGGTTCCAAGTCTTTGCTATTGTGAATAGTGCCACAATAAACATACGTGTGCATGTGTCTTTATAGCAGCATGATTTATAGTCCTTTGGTTATATATCCAGTAATGGGATGGCTGGGTCAAATGGTATTTCTAGTTCTAGATCCCTGAGGAATCGCCACACTGACTTCCACAATGGTTGAACTAGTTTACAGTCCCACCAACAGTGTAAAAGTGTTCCTATTTCTCCACATCCTCTCCAGCACCTGTTGTTTCCTGACTTTTTAATGATTGCCATTCTAACTGGTGTGAGATGGTATCTCATTGTGGTTTTGATTTGCATTTCTCTGATGGCCAGTGATGATGAGCATTTTTTCATGTGTTTTTTGGCTGCATAAATGTCTTCTTTTGAGAAGTGTCTGTTCATGTCCTTCGCCCACTTTTTGATGGGGTTGTTTGTTTTTTTCTTGTAAATTTGTTTGAGTTCATTGTAGATTCTGGATATTAGCCCTTTGTCAGATGAGTAGGTTGCGAAAATTTTCTCCCATGTTGTAGGTTGCCTGTTCACTCTGATGGTAGTTTCTTTTGCTGTGCAGAAGCTCTTTAGTTTAATTAGATCCCATTTGTCAATTTTGTCTTTTGTTGCCATTGCTTTTGGTGTTTTGGACATGAAGTCCTTGCCCATGCCTATGTCCTGAATGGTAATGCCTAGGTTTTCTACTAGGGTTTTTATGGTTTTAGGTCTAACGTTTAAATCTTTAATCCATCTTGAATTGATTTTTGTATAAGGTGTAAGGAAGGGATCCAATTTCAGCTTTCTACTTATGGCTAGCCAGTTTTCCCAGCACCATTTATTAAATAGGGAATCCTTTCCCCATTGCTTGTTTTTCTCAGGTTTGTCAAAGATCAGATAGTTGTAGATATGTGGCATTATTTCTGAGGGCTCTGTTCTGTTCCATTGATCTATATCTCTGTTTTGGTACCAGTACCATGCTGTTTTGGTTACTGTAGCCTTGTAGTATAGTTTGAAGTCAGGTAGTGTGATGCCTCCAGCTTTGTTCTTTTGGCTGAGGATTGACTTGGCGATGTGGGCTCTTTTTTGGTTCCATAGGAACTTTAAAGTAGTTTTTTCCAATTCTGTGAAGAAAGTCATTGGTAGCTTGATGGGGATGGCATTGAATCTGTAAATTACCTTGGGCAGTATGGCCATTTTCACGATATTGATTCTTCCTCCCATGAGCATGGAATGTTCTTCCATTTGTTTGTATCCTCTTTTATTTCCTTGAGCAGTGGTTTGTAGTTCTCCTTGAAGAGGTCCTTCACATCCCTTGTAAGTTGGATTCCTAGGTATTTTATTCTCTTTGAAGCAATTGTGAATGGGAGTTCACTCATGATTTGGCTCTCTGTTTGTCTGTTGTTGGTGTATAAGAATGTTTGTGATTTTTGTACATTGATTCTGATACCAAAGCCGGGCAGAGACACAACCAAAAAAGAGAATTTTAGACCAATATCCTTGATGATCATTGATGCAAAAATCCTCAATAAAATACTGGCAAAACGAATCCAGCAGCACATCAAAAGCTTATCCACCATGATCAAGTGCAAGGCTGGTTCAATATACGCAAATCAATAAATGTAATCCAGCATATAAACAGAGCCAAAGACAAAAACCACATGATTATCCAATAGATGCAGAAAAAGCCTTTGACAAAATTCAACAACCCTTCATGCTAAAAACTCTCAATAAATTAGGTATTGATGGGATGTATTTCAAAATAATAAGAGCTATCTGTGACAAACCCACAGCCAATATCATACTGAATGGGCAAAAACTGGAAGCATTCCCTTTGAAAACTGGCACAAGACAGGGATGCCCTCTCTCACCACTCCTATTCAACATAGTGTTGGAAGTTCTGGCCAGGGCAATTAGGCAGGAGAAGGAAATAAAGTGTATTCAATTAGGAAAAGAGGAAGTCAAATTGTCCCTGTTTGGAGACGACATGATTGTATATCTAGAAAACCCCATTGTCTCAGCCCAAAATCTCCTTAAGCTGATAAGCAACTTCAACAAATCTTTATCTATCTAAACTAGAGCCCAGACATGTCCATGGGTCCAGTCCACAGATGTTTGACTAATTGCTCCAGTAATATATTTGCAATCAACGCTCACATCCCTGGCTTTGTTGCCAGACCTGTTTGTTGTGCTTTCCTCTTTGTCTCCTTGTAATAAATGACCATCCGTGAGTTTCTTTAGCCCCCATGAAAGTTGACTTGAAGGATGTCAGTTGCCAAGTCACAATGTATGTTCATCTTCAGATTCAGCAATGAGGCTACCAGCTTCCATGCAAACATTCCTTTGTTGGGCTACCCTTCTAGTCCATTAGACATTCCCAGACCTGTCTGACCCCCAGCAGTGGACAAAACCTTGGCTCAAGGCAGGTGGTTAGTGTGAGCCAGAGAGTTTCTTAATGCTGTGTATCCTATTCTCACATGGATAGTGGGATCAGTGTTTCTTCCTGCTCCCTGGGAAACCTGGGAAGATATAATATTTGATATGTCAAATAACATATTTAGTTGAGGCAAAGAGTAGATCTATTTGAAGTGGCGGTAGGACAAGTTCTTTTGCTCACTGAGTATACCCGCATGTCAGGCATTGTGCTATGTGTTACCTAACTTAATGATCATAAAAGTCTGCTTTGTTTTTATAGTTTATATTATTACTCCAAAACAAAGACAGAAACAACCCCTCTTGAAACTCCTGATATCCAGAGTTGTAATAACTTGCCCAAGTTTATTAGGAATCAATTAGAAAATGGTAGGAGTTTCAAACCTTTGTCAATCAGACTCCAATGCCCATTAACTTCTTTCATTCTAATATATTGAAGGTATTTGTATATCCTTCTTATTTATTTTTGAGACAGGGTCTCACTCTGTAGCCAAGGAGGGGCTGCAGTGGCATGATCACAGTTAACTTCAGCATAGACATCCCAGGTTCAAGTGATTCTCCCACATCAGCCTCCTGAGTAGCTGGGATTACAGGTGTGTGCCACGACGCCCAGATAATTTTTTGAGTTTTTCATAGAGATGAGGTTTTGCCATGTTGCTGAGGCTGCTTCCTATTTATTTTGAAAAAATATAAAAGGAATCTAAATCCCTGTTTATATTTAGATTCTCCTTACAAATTTCCTCTAAATACATTAGCCTAAACTACATACTCATCCTTATTCTTTGCCAGAAACTTTTCACAATAATCTTTTTCCAGAAGAGTTGTTTCAGTATATCAGCACGATAGAGAAGGAGCCACTATTAAGACAAACAAGTCTAAGCAATGCTATCATGTGCAACACCTTGTAGCTGACAAAAATTAGCTACTCATATTACTGGAAGCATAGACTTGGATACCTGCCATTTCATCAGTGGAAGAAGCTTCCTCCCAGTGATAAATTGATTCCAGTTATCTAACAGCCTTCAGGCATCTACCACACTCAGCCAGGAGACCATCAACCCCTTTAACAAAATGAGAAGGAAGAGCAAAGCCAATGCCAAAAGAGAACAACAGGGTGTGAAATTTGGTTTATTGTACTCTAAGTCTGTGGACCAGTCAGATCATGTCATAAATATGCTCCTCACAGTGCTCTGCCTGGAACTTCAATTACAGAGATAATAAGTACATCTCTAGCACAACTGCTTTCTGTATTTCTGTATTGTTCTAGACATTGTAACAAAGAAAATAAGTAATTAGCGGCTTTTTGTGTTAAGTGCTTTAGCTGCAATTTGGCTGGAGTATTTTAAATTTAATTGTTTCAATATTAATCATGCATTATTTTGTAAGCAATACTTTATCAACTAAGGAGACTCTTACTGATAGAATGGATGAGTCTGTTCCATGTTTTCTTTGTAACTGTGAATATTTCCTAATCCCCGTGTATACGTGACTGGTTTTAACATTTTAACTATTAGATTTTTAAAATATATGTATCAGAATCAAATGCATGAAATCGGTTAATGGGATTGGTAAAAAAAAAAAAGGATGTTAATAAAATACACAAATAAATTTGAAAATTTCAGCATAGTACATATTTGTCTCTGGAAATTTCTATTGATATGTATAAGTAATAAAATATATATTATTTTTATGGGAAAGTTTTTACCTGCTCTGATTAAGTCTAAAAAGTTAAGAAATAAAGTAAGGCATATGTTACTATGTTACATTATATTCATCATATGAATCTGTACATGGTTAAAGATGACAGTTTTTTTAATCCTTTAATGTACAGTGTGAAGAACTTTTCATAATTCTTTGATGTCAGATAATGTAATATATTGGTAATTATTCGATGATCCTTTATTTGCTACAGGAATACAACTTACATATTTTATTGGTGAAAATTTTACATTAAATTATAATTTCCTAACAGTTCATTTCACTCAAGAATTTTATTGTGTACCTTCGAATTGGCAAAATGTTTGAAAGTTCTCCATAAGAAGTACTCTCAAATTATGTGGCATATAAGCTATCTAAACTATGGGATTTGAAATTCTATGATCTGTGGTTTAGTTTTATACATAACAATAATTAATAAAGCAAGGCACAGTCTCATAAGTAACAGATAAACCACCATGATGTACCAAGGCAATGATGAATGTCCATCAGCCCCTTTCATTTGTGGGTTCTGCATCTGCATATTCAATCAACCACAAATCAAATATAGTGTGAAAAAACATAATAACACAACAATATAAAATACAAAATAACAACTGTATTTATATAGCATGTATATTGTATTAGGCATTATAAGTAATCTAGAAATTATGTAAGGTATACAGGAGGATGTGCAGAAGCTATATGCAAATATTATGCCATTTTATATAAGGAACTCGCGCATCCTTGAATTTTGACATCTGAGGGGATTCTGTAACAAATCCCTCATGGATAGTGAGGAAGGAGTGTACTTTTGTCAAAGAAAAAAAAGATACTTTATGTCTGGCACTCATATTCTTACATTTATAAACTAATTCAATTATTAGTATTGCAATTTTATTATTTTTTGATTCATTGTTGAGAAGTATTAAATTTTCTTCCTTGCACAATAAGAATATAGTCCAACTTCACTTTCATTTTTTAAAATAAGAGTGTTAGAGATCCTTAGAGAGCATATAATTATGGGCTACAAATTTAAATCAATTCAGGTTCCAGGCAGGTAAGCTAATTGGAGAAAGCCATTGAGTTGTACAATAACACGGAGTGGTGAAGTCAAGTCAATAGAGACTTGGAGAATGTATTTCTCCTACAAACGCATTAAAAACAGAATACAGCTCTCACTGAGCAAAACCTAACTATAGGGTATTTACCTAAGGGGGCCAATTTGCACCCCTGCAGAGGTCCAATGATTTGCCATGCAGATGATCAGAGGCAGAGCAGAAGGAGGCCTTGCACATTTATTAACTTTTAAAAAGACACTAATTTATTGAAAACCTACTCTGAACAAAACTTTGGGCCAGGGAGGGGGTATTCAGCATTGAAACTAACAGAAGTGACAAATCTTATCTTAAGTTCATTCTGTGCTGCTATAAGAGAATATCTAAGACTGGTAATTCATAAAGAACAGAGACTTATTTCTTATAGTTCTGGGAGCTGGGAAGTCCAGGGTAGAGGGGCTGATCTGGTGAAGCCCTTCCTGCTGCTTCATTCATGGCAGGAGGTGGAAGGGTGAGGGAGCATGAGAGCGAGAGCAAGAAAGAGGCAGAAATGGCAGAACTCACTCTTTTTGTCTGGAATTGACTCTCATAATAACGAATCCACTCCCATGAGAATAGCATCTATTCATTTGTGAGGGCGGAGTCCTTATAATGTAATCGCCTCCTAAAGATTCCACTTCTCAACAATGTTGCCTTGGGGATGAAGTTTCCAACACCCTAAACTTTGGGGGACACATTCAAACAATAGCACCTATGTTTTCAAGTCACTTATGTCTCTTGACTCAGATGATTCCTGATTAATTCCAGTAATGCAGGTTATGATACATTGGGAAATGAAATCCTAAAGGTTTTATATGACTGTTCATGTTCTAAGAATTTAAAAGCTAGATATCCTAGTAATATACTAATATATCTACTTAAAAAATCCAAATATGTATGTGTAACTTTAAAAAAAAATCCCCACAATAATACTAATGCCTACAACTTTATCTATATGTTGACAAAGCATCTGTTAACAAAAGAAAGGCAGAAGAATAAAAATATATATTCTCAATTCACTCACACACATAGACATAAACTCACACACACAAAATAAAATGCTCCAAACAAAGGTAATTTAAAAAGACAGCTCAATTCTTTTTTGTATACTTCTCCTTTAGTATTTAGATAATCAGTCTTGTGAAATAAATTTTTGGAGAGCAGATCATGTAGATTAAATTGGCTCTAACCTTTAACACATAGAACAACCTCAGAAGCAGAAAGCTAAAATGCTTTCAGTAAAAGGCACTAAATAAAAATATATGTGAAGAGGCGGGTATAACAAAATAGGAAGTTTGTTGGGATCTGTGAGTTCTTATTGAACTAGAGTGTAGAAATTGCTCAAAGACATCAACATTCTTCTTTTTAAAAAATATGTTTTCTGCTAGCTAAAACAAAGCACTTTGTTCTGAATCCCTCCCTAGTCTGTTTAACCTAATTCTTTCCATTGCTTTCCTAAAGCAACTATCTTGAAAAACCAGTCATGACTTTAAAAAAAAATTACCAAAATCTTCTGGTTTTGATATGGAAACCATTAATTAAAGGAGCAGATTCACTCCAGAATTGCAGCACTTGAAACCAAATCCATAACAAGTTTTACCAGAACAAGGTTTTCTTCCTATGGGTAATCACTTATTCAATTAAAATATACTTCACACTTTCATTACCTGAACAGAAGAAAATAGAAGATAATATGTTATAGCTAAAAAATTAAAACAGACACAAAGGAAGAAGAGCACAAGTTCACATCAGGGCTTGGCTTTTATATTTACTGGAAAGAAGTATTTTCTTTTTTCTTTCTTTTTTTTTTTTTCGAGATGAAGTCTTGCTTTGTTGCTCAGGCTGGAGTGCAGTGGCACAATCTTGGCTCACTGCCACTTCCACCTCCCAGGTTCAAGTGATTCTCCCACCTCAGCCTCCTGAGTACCTGGAATTACCAGTGCCTGCCACCATGCCCTGCTACTTTTTGTATTTTTAGTAAAGATGGGGTTTCGCCATGTTGGTCAGGTTGGTCTCGAACTCCTGGCCTCAGATGATCAGCCTACCTCGGCCTCCCAAAGTGCTGGTATTACAGGCATGAGCCACTGCTCCTAGCCAAGAGGTATTTTCTTACTTTTTAAGGAAACAGGTCCCCACAGTCTTTTTAAAACCAGAGAGAAACATAGCTCCTCAAGCTGGCATTAAGACTTTTTGGTATTTGGAAATGCAGTGTTTTAAATCTTGTTGCTTTAAGTACAGGAGATATAAGCTAGAAGAATCACTCATGCTGTCAACCCTTTTGAGAAATAATACCAAAATCTCTTCCTGCGTCATTAGGTGAAAGCATTTATCATTTAAAAAAATCAGACAGCGGTCGCTTTGCCATAAATTTTCATTTCCTTAGAAAATATAAAGATCAAAGCATTTCATTTTGTAAAGCATGCATTAATGACCATTACGGTTATCAAAAAAGATTTTAAACTGCTGTGTTCTTGTCCTTGACAACTTACAAAGAACCACTTTTTGTGAAGTGGTTCTCCCAGGAATCTGGGATACAATCAGTAATTGATTTTGTTGAGAGATCTAATTGTTTGATAAAAGCATTATTTCATTTTTTAGAATGGTAACCTTGGGGGAAGAGGTCTTAACCTTTCTTTTTTTTTCACAGTCCTGAAGAGATGTGTCTCTAGATTGAATGGTACTGCAAGGTTGACTGAATTAATTGATTGGTCAATTCAGCCAAGTAGCCAATTTTCTTTTCTTTTCTTTTCTTTTTTTTTTTCCTCATTTGTTTCCTTAGAGTTGAGTTGATTTTTGTCATTAGACTGAAGAACTAGGCTTCAAATAGACCAGGAAAAGAATTTACACTTTGCCAAACAGAAGCAAATTACTGAAAGCCTTTGAAACACTTGATCAAAACTGTTTTCATAAAGGCATATTTTTAAGAGTGCGAAAACTCTTATAAAAACTGTCCTTAATTTAGTATCTCCAAAAGTGAGCTTCTAGTTTTTACCTTCTCATCTGTTTCTTCCACAATTTTCTACCATCCATGATTCCCATGTTGTAACTGACTTCTGGTGACATTACTCCTCTACTCAAAAATACTCATTGACTTTCCACTGCTCGTGAATCAAAGTAATTCTAGATTCCTTGAAATTTGGTGGTGACTTTCTTTCATCCACTAAGAAGGTACTTGAACACTTTCCAAAGCAACCTTTAGACTACTTGCTCTTCTCTGAAATAATCCTTCCTCTATGCCTTTGTATATCTTGTTCAACTGACGCAAATGCAGGTTTTCTGTTAATCATCCCGATAGTTAACTGAATGTAACTTCAGTTTATGTATTTGTGGAGCTCCTCTAAGCTACTCCTGGGGAGCATCTCTTTTCCCTGTCTTTTTTTTCTTGTTTCCTTTCTTCCACTCTACCCATAACCACTAGTTCACATCACAGCTCGGTTTTTCATGGGGCACTCAAATCTGCTGCCTATGTTCAAGCCTCTGTGTGTTCATGAGGAAAAACTGAACTAACATTGAATGCATGTTACCATTTATCCTCTACGGAACTGACTACACTTTTCCTGCAGTGCTCAAAACCCTGTGGATATGTGTCAAGTGTTAAGTACTCATGCTATTACCAATGCCAAAGGACTGCAGAGGTGGAAGTTCCCTGCTGCAAACTATACAAGGGGATACTGGCCTTAAAATAAACTGCAACACAATCATCATCACTGATAATAAATCTAAAGTGGTCGTTATCTTGGACATGAATGAACTAATTTCTCTGAATTGTTTATGCCTCTGGGGCACAGTGTAGAGAACAGAGGACTATTGGACATCTGCAGAGATCAGAAGCACATATTCCATTCAGAAAAAAAGATGACTCTCTTTACTTGAGGGCATGATATGGCCTTGACTCAATGTTAAATTAACCGCAAATCAGCAAATATCCAGTAGCCATCAGGCTCAACTATTTTTTTTCCTTAAAAAGAAAGAAATGGACTTTTTACAATGTCTTGCTTATGTCTGAGGCCCAATCCTACCTATTGAATATATACCTGAGCCCCTGTAACTGAGGGCTGAAAATATTTCCCTCAGTGATGCAACGCCAATCTTGTCAAGTTGTTCAAATAACTTGACTAGGTTGTGGGTGGAATTATCTGTAAAACTTAATGCATCAAACAAAATTAATCTTAGAATAATAAACTGGATTTAAGTCAATTAGTACTTAATATGAAATGGTATATAAGACAATAATATTTTTCATCTCAAGTAGAAAAAATCTCTAATCTAATACATTAGGGTTAACTTAGTGATCCAGCAAAGTTAGCTACTATTGAAATAACTTGATCTAGGCAGAAATTTCTATTTTTACAGTTATTGTCACCTTTAAAGCAGTAGAAAATTGAGTCTCAGAGCATTTGCTTATTAGGCTTGCACTGAAAGGCTAAATGAATTGTACTGAGTTGATAGGATTTTGGTGTGGCTTTTGAGAAAAGATTCTCTTCCAATTATTCATAACTTCCAGTATGCCAGTCTCAGAATATTTTCAGGCTCTCATTAGGAGATTTTGGTATTCTGGGTTTGGGTAAACTGCTTTTTGGGTGGTACAATGAGGAACATTTTAATTTTTTCAATTTGGTTTCTACTTATTCCATATGTGTATCATTTTGGCTAAAATTTATCAAAGAAACTTACTCTTATAGTCAAGAGACAGTAATGAAAGTATGGAATTTAAAATTACCAGGCTAAAAACAATTTTGAGGAGTCAAATGCTGAGTTTTAAAAACCCCAAAGAAATAGAAGATTGTTACTTGAGTAAATGTTGGCCTTCTCTGAATATGCAGTTTATATCAAACTCTAGATTTCAATAGCTGTTGATTGGTAAGGGGTCTTGTCAGTGAGTTGAATGTCAGAGGAATACATCATTGTCTATAAGGCAATTGTATTAGTCCATTTTCACACTGCTGATAAAGATATACCAGAGACTGGGTAATTTATAAAGAAAAAGAGGTTTAATGGACTCACAGTGCCACATGGCTGGGGAGGCCTCACAATCATTGCAGAAGGAGAAAGGCATGTCTTACATGACAGCAGGCAAGAATGAACTTGTGCAGGGAAGCTCCTCTTTATAAAACCATCAGATTTTGTGAGACTTATTCACTATCATCAAAACAGCCAGGGAGATACCTGCCCCCATAATTCAACTACCTCCCGCTGGGTCCCTCCCATGACATGTGGGAGTTGTGGTAGCTACAATTAAAGTTGAGATTTGGGTGAGGACACAGCCAAACCATATCAGCAATTTAAGTTGTTTCTAAGGAAGACATTCTTGTTCATTTAGCAACAGTTGGTGAAATAATATATAAGTAAGAATGCATTAAGAATTGTAACATATGGTAATACAAATTATGATTTTAATGGACACTTTATGATTTTACTTATATACTTTTCCATAGTTTATGTCGCCTTGATACAAAAAGTCCATATTCATAATGAACATAAGCCTGGGAAGCTCATATTTGCATAAAACATGGTCCAGAACCAAAATTCATGATTCAATGTGTCAAAAACTGTAAATAAAAACAATCACAGAGCTGTGTCAAATCTCACTAGTCATGTATCTACACACACAAAAATATTTTTATGCATTTTAGGGATTCCAGCTTCTTCTGAGTATGACAGTAATGTGCTGTCCCCGTTCTCACACTTTCCTATCACACCTCCACCCTCAACATTCTTGCTCATGTCCCTGCAATTTTGTTGAAATTGCTCTTATTTTAGCTCCTAAAGACCTCTTCTTGCTGATTTGAAAGGGCATTTGATTTTTCTGAAACATTTTACATGGAGTGTCATCTTGAATCATTTTCTTTCTCTGTCTTCCTGACAATATATTCTCTACATATTCTTTTGGTTTGTCTCTTACCCCTTTGGTCATTCTTTCTCAGCCCCCCTCAAGGTGACCTTTTCTCTGCCAAATTTTATTAACTTTAAAACTTAAAGCTCTTTTTCTTTACCCTTCTCCTTCATCCATACACATCTTCCCTAAATGATCTTCATCTTCTTCCGTGGCATCATTACCATCCACATGCTGATGACTCCCAAAAGCCAGCATCTCTCTTGAGCTCACACTTAGATGTCTGTGGTAAATATCTAAGGGATTTTCTGTTGAGGACTCATTTTCTAGGAAAGACCCTCCCTTTCCATCTGCATGTTGAAGTTGTGCTATTGTATGACTTTTCCTTGTACCACAGTTAATCTGTCCAGGCGTGGGCACTTGATTCAAGCTTGGCCAACAAATTTGTGTCATGAGATTTTTGGGTTAGAGACTGAGAGTCAGGTCAGCCTTTCTCTGAGATTTTGGACTGGAATCAAAGTGGTTGCTCAGGTCAAATGTGCATCAGTGTTGTGAAATAATCCCATCCATTCAGATTGGTGGTTGAATGTTTTAAATGTCACCTCTAATTGTAGGGTACAAAATTTGGGAATTGTAGGCAGCCATGTGTACTTTCATGTATACCATGTAAGCAGATAGGACCAGTCTATAAATGAGAGATGGTGAAGTTTATTCTATGTGAATTATATCTTAATAATAATCAACTTTTAAGCTTAAAAAATTAATCATAAGTAGAGAAAAAGAGATGAGAAGTGCTAAGAGAATCCTGAAGGTATTTAGGTCCCCAAATTCTCTGGTTACTGAGGTACAGATGCATCCTTATCCCATTACATTTATAGTACATTGTACTCTTTCTTAAAGCTAGCTTGATTAAAATCTGTCACTTTCAACAAAAAAGATCCTAGTTAATAAAACATTCTTCTACCTATTGGACATTTCTACTTCTATGTCATGTACCTCTAATTCTCTGCTCTTCTTCCACCAACACTAAGCTCCAGGTCTGGCACTCCCTCTGTAGCTCAGTAAGTGCTCTTTACTTATCAAAACCATGGAGCTGGTCATTATCTTTGATTCCTCCTACAATCTCATGCACTCCCTTCCAGTCAGTCAAATCCTGTTACTTATCCACCCATTTATTTCCATTGCCACTCTACCATCCTAGTCCTCACTACAATTGCCTTATTTGATCACCTTATAACTGGTCTTTCTGCTTCTAGCTTTGCATTCTCCATTAGGTTCTTACTCCAGAAAGATTTCTTATTTCACTTCACAATAGGACCCCATAATCAGAGCTCTTAGTGACCAAGTTCATTGTTGCCTCTTTAACTTCATTTCTTGCCACCACCTTTGTATCATATGCATGAACCAGGCTGAAATATGCATAGTTGCTTGATATGAAATGACTTTCCTTCTTTTGTCCTCATCAGAGCACCCTGTATGGTAAATTGCCCATTTATCCCTAGTTTGTAAGCTCCTTGCAGGCAGGGATAATGTTCTTTGTTGCATTACTATTATAATACAGTGCCTGTCTCATGATAGGCATTCAGTAAATGTTTACCGAACAAATGCATTTGTTAAATGAATGAATGGCTGCTGGATAGAAGCACAGAGCACAGAAGCAGAGATTTGAACTTGTCAGGCAAGGACGAAGTCATTTCCCATGAACTGAATGTTGGAAGGGAAGAAAGACTGTAACTCTGGGTTCAGTGTTTCATGAATTATCACTTAGCAATCTTAATAATCTTGAACGTGCAGCTCTTCACGCACTAGTTCATGTTCATCTCTCGGGACAAGCATTGATTCTTTGACATGTAGCTAGTCAGGTAGAATAGATTTTACTGTCTACAGCTGGTGGCATTTTTCTATGTGCTTTGAGTTTTTAGTTCCATGACATTTTTAAAGGTATTGCTGCTTTGATTTTTCCAGGACACTGCAGTATAAGGACTATTTGAATGTTAAAAGCTACAGCTGTGCACATTCTAGAAAAATTAACTACTTAATTGCATTAATAGGTGTCTGTTGAGGCTCAGCACTGAGTTGGTACTGGAGTAATTGGATAGGCTGGATGACTATAAGTGGGGTAGCTTATTAGAGATGTACTGGTATGCATGATTTTAAACTACCTAGGCTTAAAAATAGGAGGGTGCACAGAGATGTTTGAAAGCAGATGGTTAGAACTGTAGGACTCAACTCTTGAAAAGGCTCATAAGTCTTAGTTCACGCCAGTTCAGTTACATAGGATGAGTAATATATTTGTAACCAAAATGTGAGCTGGAGTTACCTTGCCCCTTTGGATTTAGGCAAGACCAAATCATACCCTCAATCTTTGTCTTGTGGATGCCCACTGCCTTTTTAAAGATTTTTGTAAATTCTCAAAAGACTATGTTTTCATGGTCACCTGCCTCCAATGTCCTGCCTCCACTGACTTCTTGTCATTGGTTTGGCCTTAACAGTTTCTCTATCTCTGACCACCCATTGTTGCCACTGACCCTAGTGGAAGCGCAGCCACTTCTTGATTCCTTATCAAAGCAACCACAGGTACTAGGCAGGTTGTGTGTAGCAGAACTAAGTATTGAAAGTGTATTATGGGAAGTTAGAATCCCATGTAAGTCATTCCTGGTCTTCATTCCATACAGGGAGTTCTCACTGGCCTGACTAGCCACAACAACTACTGAGGTTCCCACTTCTGTCATTTTGTGATACTTTTCTTACCCCTGTCTCCTGGATTGCCTCTGGGGAGTCAGAATTCCAACTCAATTGTGTGGCACAATTCAGTTTTCTCCATCTCTGTGCCCCAAATCTGCCTCCATTGCGTATATAACACCCATCTAGTTATTCAGGCAAACAAAAAAGACAGGGACTCATTTAGAAACACAAAAGATATCCTGACATTTTATTATTCCTTTATCAAGGCTCATCCTCCTTATAACCCTTGCGGTTTAAAATCATCCTTTTCTCCCACCGTTAATATAATACCTTAATTCCAAAATGGACATAGAGAAGGGGGTTTCTGGTCTGTTGGTGAGGAGGTAAAACTTAGTCCTCATCAATAAGCAAGTAGTCTTTCTTTGGAATGTTTTAACAGTGAGATATCACAGAATCCATTCCTACTGATCCTCAAAAAGCAGAAGACACAACACAGCTTCATCATAAGTCCTTTTTACTCTGCAAACTAGGAATCACTTGAGTGAGGAAAACTTTTTTCCTATGGTGTTCGTCTTCCTGAACAAGGACGGGTGACACACAAAACTTATTTGCTTTATCTTTCTGCCAACTTCCTAGTGAGGCTTTTTCTGACACAAAGAGTTCAGGCAAGGGCAAAGGAGAATGGAAGCATGCAGCTATGAAGCGCAGAAATACCTGTACATCTGTGGAGAGATTGTCAGTGCCTGTCTTGACATATCTTACATTGGTTTACTCTTTGCATTCTCTAGGCTGATCACTGTTCCCTTAATGTTATCTAATTTTAAGAGAAATTTGCTCATTTAGCTAAGGTTTAACTATTTAGTAAATTTTAAACCTGTTATAGTGGCTACCAACCAAATAATTTACCAAGTTATAGGAAGATAACACAAATAAAGAAAGGAGCTGATTTTAAGTTGAGAGCCAAGGCAAACAGGAGAACTTATGGCATATCTAGGAAAAGCAACAGGTACTCACCAAATGCCAAATGCTGAGTGTGACACACAGGCCAGGACACCATGCTTTTTTTTTTTTTTCACATCTGAGATCTGTCCTGTAGCTTGGTCAAAAAGGGTTGCCTTTTACAATTTGTTACCAATTAATAAAAACAAACAAAACAAAATGTGCTGTGAGGCCAATACTGTGAGCTTCAAGCAAAACAAAGCTAAGGTGGAATCTGACCTGCAGGTTGGAACTGTTTGACTGCCTCTTTTTGGTATAACTTTGGAACTTCTGTATGTACTTTGTTCTTCTTTTCCTCCCTTTTATTTGTAACTCCCTTCTACAACAATAAAAATTCTGGCTCCCATTTTCTTCAATATATGTAATCATTTGTTCAAGCCTAGAATGTATAGAATATAGTTTTGGAATTACTAACACCTACCACTGAAGAACTGAAACTATGCCTACAAGCCTGCATCTACTATCAAGACACAGAGCATTTCCATCAACCTAGAAAATTCCACTGCTTATCCTGCGTAAGCATAGTTTTTCTTAGTGTCTTTCAGCCCAATTCCCTTCTCAAGTTTCCATGGACCCGGTAATATGGGAAAGTGCACTGATGTGCTTCACAATGAGCTAAGGTAAGATTTTAGATCAAAAGAATATTAAAATGAGGGACATTTTACAAACTACCTGGCCAGTACTTCCTAAAACTGTCTGGACAATGAAAAACAAGGAAAGTCTGAGAAAGTGCCACAACCCAGAGGAGATGAAGGAGACATGACAACTAAATGCAATATGATATTTTGGATGGATTCTGGAACAGTAAAAGAACATTAATGGAGAAACAAGTAAAATCTGAGTGAAGTCTGGAGTTGAGTTAGTAGTAACATATTCATGTTATTGTTTTATATTTGACAAATGTAAAGTGATAACATTAGGAGAAACTGAAACCTGGTTAAGGGGTACACAGGAATTCTTTGTACTATCCTTGCAACTCTTCTGTAAATCTAAAGTGATTCCAAAAAATTATTAAAATTATTCAAAACATTGGGTATGAAAAGACTCATATAGGTTTGGATGGTTAAGAACCTAGGACCTGGGTCAGATAAATTTGAGGTCAAATATTAGCTCTAAGACTTGCAAACATAATTGGTAGTGATTTTGACTAAAGTCAAGTCAAAATCATCTGCTTTCAAACATCTCTGCACCCTTTTAAGCAGCAATAGCAGTTTTAAATAAAGTATAGCAAAAAATTTACAAGCTTGGACACATTATCTTGAACATACATATCTTGAACATATTAACCTCTCTTAACTGTAGCTTTCACATCTCTAAAATACAGTAATTCTTATTTCTTACAATTGATATGAGGGCTAAATGAAGAAAATCCATGTAGAGCAGCTTACGCATATCTTAGGGCCAGGAGTCCTTTTCTTGTTCACCAACGTATATCTGAAACTAGCATGACTACATATAGTAAATGTATAATGAAAATTTGTTGGTAAATAATCTTCTTTCCTACAAAATAAAAACATATTTCAAATTATTTTTCCAGAATCTATTGTCATTTCAGATTCTCTTCTAATTGTGACATCTCTGCAGTATCATGATATATGTGAGCTATTTGACTGCAATTTTTTGAGCTCCTCTTGATATAAATGTAGCCATTCTGTGCATTGGGATAATATTTTTTCAGGCTCTGGAGGTAACTCCCTGATGGCATGTACAACTGCATTCTCATTTTCAGTTTCTTGATGTGGGATGATTCTGTTCTGTGTTCTTAATGACAAAGGTCATTTGGGCCCCACCATTGGTGACATTAAAGTTACTGTGTCTCTCCTCAAATTTTAGGCTTGAAAACATTGAAACAGATGGTGATACTTGGAGGGTAATTAATTTTCCTTTGGAGCAATAATGGCTTTCCTTAAAAATAAATTAATGGCTCCCTCTTTTTCCAAGAGGTAATGGTTTAGTAAATTGAGCAATGAACTGGGCTGCTCTTGAGCAGGACTTAGGGGAAAGGAGAAATATTTTGTGATTCTGCCCTGTCTGGTTGTGTGAATTTGGGAGTCTCATGCTTTTGGCTGATTGGAAGGATTAAACAAATCAGAGCATTTAAAGCACTTTAAGGTGTGCCTGATGCAAAGTGAGGCTATAGAACTGTTAGCCAATATAATGATTAGAGGTAGAAAGATGGACACTGTTAACTGATCTTTCTGATTTTGTGTGGACACTGAAAGTCTTATGAGGGTATTACATATAAAGCGCCATAAGGTTCTGGTACAAAGGATCCACTTGCACAGGTGGTATTTAAAAAACTAATTATTGATTAATGACCAAATTGCCCTTCTTGTTTCATGTTATAGTAAGTTGATTGGAAAATATTTGAGTTTCCCTCTTCTGTTTGGACAGCAATGTATATAGTATGTTAACTACCTAAGAGATATCATCAAATGCAATCTCACGAGAAGCCCACGTTTTAATATTCAGACAACGTTCTCAATATATTTTTAAAGGTTTTTTGAAATAAAGCTTCCCACATGTCTGTATTTCAAACTTTTTATATTTTTAAACTTTGAACTTCTAGCAATTCTATGACACCAGGTATTTTGTGAAATAACATACTTTGTTTTGTTTATGTCCACAAACACATATGTAGTTATTTACCATTTGAATTCTTATAGTTATTTAAATAATGTAACCTAATGATACTGGGCAGAAAGTCATTGTGTGATCATTCTCTTGAGCTTCTTCTGGTTTAAGCTTCTGCCAGGGGCATATTTGTTGGGTAGGAATTATCATGGTTTAGCATAACAGGAGATGTATTTTAATACTTCATTCAAAACAAGAAGTGATTATTTATGAAAAAATACATTTTAAATTCCCTTTCTCTTACCAGTGTATGAAAGAACACTGAACTCCTACAGAGAGAATTGCACTGGTAAAGTGACTGCAAAGATATCCACACACCCCTCAGCACAGATTGCCCAGGGCTGCGGCAACAACAGCCCTAATTCGCCTTTTGCAGAGTATTGGAGGGGAAAATGCATGTTTTTTTCACAATTAGTTGACAAAGAGTACTTGTTTAAATATTTGCTCAATCCGGTGTATAAAGGAAGGCAGATATAAAGAACCAAGCCCAAGTACAGATCATTTTGCACAGTGTTAGCTTGTGACACAGGACGGGACCCAGAATGAAGCCAAACCCCATCTTTCAACACATGAGTTAAGTTTTATCTCCCCTATGTGGACGAATTGAAAGTTGATGTCAGATCACAATGAATATACTTTAGAGCTCATTTTTATAGTGGTCTGCAGAGTAAGCTGAATCTAATTCTCTTTGTCTTTTTCCAAACTCTGGGACAATAATTCTCAACAAATAGTAAATCAATACTATCGGTGATCTTAATAATGTTCGGAGTCAGGAAATCCTTTCAGATATTGTTTTATGAGTATAACTAGTACCTTGAGCAATAAAGACTTATAAAAAGCAGTCAAAACCCACTACTTGTTTTATTTTAATGTCTCCTTTTCTTTAAAATGTATTCAGTGGGGAAAAGGGTGTGCTGGGTCTTGGGATGAGCTTTTAGGCAGTCCTAGCATATTTCTGATTATTCTTAGAAAGTATAAATTAAATTGACCTGTGGTCAATTTAAGATGGGAGACACAGTCATGACTTCAAAATTAAATTTCAAATCTCATATATTGATTAAGTCTTCAGTCTTACTTCAAAGGTAATACTCCTGAGCCCCTTCCCCAATGAGACCCAGCAGCAGATGATGTCTTTGCCTTTGGAGAGTTGGTGGGTGTTTCTCTCACTCCCATTCTCTTTTCACAACGTGTTAACTGAGGATTCTGATCTTATCATGTTTGGAGCAGGAGAGGGAGAAGGAGAAGGGGCATCCAAGAAAGTCTTATGGATTAGTATGTCAGTAAGCTGGCTTTGTTCTTGCTGGCCTGGGTGATAATTTACACTTCTCTTTCTTTCTTGGGTGATTCTCAGAGATTTTTTTGGAAGTTCCACAGTGGAGCCAGTCACCAACCACTCCTGCCAAATAGCCAGCTCCTTCTCTTCTGTTGCTTGCGTTTGGTTTCCCAGCCACCTCTGCTTTTCTGGTTACCCTTCTATGAAGACCCTCCATTGCTGTCTCTTCACCCTCTGGCTGAGGCACCCTTGTCAAGATCCCTTTTAAAATTAACATAGACCGACACTTCTACATAGTTGTCAAATGGGCCAATGTTGAATAGTGACCTCAAAAAAATTATATCAAAATTCTTTTTTTTCTTTCCCCTTTTTCTTTTTTTAACTTTTAAGTTCAAGATTATATTTGCAGATTTGTTACATAGGTAAACTTGTGTCATGGGGGTTTGCTCTACAGATTATTTCATCACCCAGGTACTAAGCCCAACACCCAATAGTTATTTTTTCTGCCCCCTCCCTCCTCCAACCCTCCACCCTCAAGTGGACCCCTGTCTATTATACCCTTCTTTGTGTTCATGAGTTCTCATCGTTTAGCTCCCACTTATAAGTGAGTACATGCGGTATTTGGTTTTCTTTTTTTTTTAATTTTATTATTATTATACTTTAAGTTTTAGGGTACATGTGCACAATGTGCAGGTTTGTTACATATGTATACATGTGCCATGTTGGTGTGCTGTACCCATTAACTCGTCATTTAGCATTAGGTATATCTCCTAATTCTATCCCTCCCCCCTCCCCCCACCCCACAACAGTCCCCGAAGTTTGATGTTCCCTTTCCTGTGTCCATGTGTTCTCATTGTTCAATTCCCACCTATGAGTGAGAACATGTGGTGTTTGGTTTTTTGTCCTTGCGATAGTTTGCTGAGAATGATGGTTTCCAGTTTCATCCATGTCCCTACAAAGACATGAACTCATCATTTTTTATGGCTGCATAGTATTCCATGGTGTATATGTGCCACATTTTCTTAATCCAGTCTATCATTGTTGGACATTTGGGTTGCTTCCAAGTCTTTGCTATTGTGAATAGTGCTGCAATAAACATACATGTGCATGTGTCTTTATAGCAGCATGATTTATAGTCCTTTGGGTATATATCCAGTAATGGGATGGCTGGGTCAAATGGTATTTCTAGTTCTAGATCCCTGAGGAATCGCCACACTGACTTCCACAATGGTTGAACTAGTTTATAGTCCCACCAACAGTGTAAAAGTGTTCCTATTTGTCCACATCCTCTCCAGCACCTGTTGTTTCCTGACTTTTTAATGATTGCCATTCTAACTGGTGTGAGATGGTACCTCATTGTGGTTTTGATTTGCATTTCCCTGATGGCCAGTGATGATGAGCATTTTTTCACGTGTTTTTTGGCTGCATAAATGTCTTCTTTTGAGAAGTGTCTGTTCATATCCTTTGCCCACTTTTTGGTGGGGTTGTTTGTTTTTTTCTTGTAAATTTGTTTGAGTTCGTTGTAGATTCTGGATATTAGCCCTTTGTCAGATTAGTAGGTTGTGAAAATTTTCTCCCATTTTGTAGGTTGCCTGTTCACTCTGATGGTAGTTTCTTTTGCTGTGCAGAAGCTCTTTAGTTTAATTAGATCCCATTTGTCAATTTTGGCTTTTGTTGCCATTGCTTTTGGTGTTTTAGACATGAAGTCTTTCCCCATGCCTAAGTCCTGAATGGTATTGCCTAGGTTTTCTTCTAGGGTTTTTATGGTTTTAGGTCTAACATGTAAGTCTTTAATCCATCTTGAATTAGTTTTTGTATAAGGTGTAAGGAAGGGACCCAGTTTCAGCTTTCTACATATGGCTAACCAGTTTTCCCAGCACCATTTATTAAATAGGGAATCCTTTCCCCATTGCTTGTTTTTGTCAGGTTTGTCAAAAATCAGATGGTTGTAGACATGCAGCATTATTTCTGAGGGCTCTGTTCTGTTCCATTGATCTATATCTCCGTGTGGATCACAAATTCTAACTCCTAGAACTTGTGAATATGACTTTACTTGGAAAAAGAGTCTTGACGGATGTAATTCAATTAAGATCTTGAAATGAGATAATCATAAATTGTCCCAATGGGACCTAAATCCAATGACAAGTGTCCTTATAAGAGAAGTGCAGAAGGAGAAGAGAGACAGAGGAGAAGGCAGTGTGAAGGCAGAGGTGAAGACTGTGCCTACACAGCCACAGGCAAGAAAATCCTGGAGCTACCAGAAACTAGAAAAAGCATGGAAAGATTCTCCCCCAGTGCCTTTGGAGGAAGCACAGCCCTACTGACACCTTGATCTTGGGCTTCTGGCCTACAGAACTGTGAGAAAATAAATTTCTGTTGCTTTAAACCACCTCATGTGTGGTAATTTGTTATAGCAGGTAACCAATAGACAACATCTTGGCTGGACATTATCAGGTCCTGCATGATTATGATTTGACACAGCCTTCTACTCTGCTGACATAGGCTACTTTAGCCAGGCTCTCCTCTCAGATTCCTCAGGCTTTCATCAGACACTCTAGCGTGCACCCCACACTCCAGGGAGCATATCTCAAACCCTCCAAGTGTTTTCTTTGAACATCCTCTTGCTACACTTGAGGTAAGAAGAGAGGCAGCCATGGTCACCAAATCCATTTCCTCGAGGTGGATCTTATAGCACAGCTTTATGCAACGAAATCCTATTCAAATCTTTTTTCTGTCTTCTTTTCTCAATTACTTACTTATTCACTAATTTATCTGTTGTTTTTTTTTTTTGAAATGTCATTTAAATCATCAAAACTATTTGTGGTCACCAACTTTGAAAATTCAATTTACTATCAGTTGTCTGTTGGTCACTTAGTTAAAACTGCCAGCTTAACATCCTGGGTTACATGCAGATATTGGCAATGTATGGATCCTACCTACCCATCAAAACCCTGGTGCTTAATCAGATAACACAGGTAACCAGAGCCCTTACAGAATTCTAGAATTTTATTTTAAAGAGGGCTTTGTCTTGGTGTTGTACACTTTACAATACTTTCAGGGAACTGTTTTATTTGTGATGTTTGTCTAAAATTTTCAATGCAGCACCTGAGCTCTGTCTGCAGATGTCTCAGAACTTACAGTGATCTTCATTCTTTGTCCCAGGTGATGCCCTCTTGACCTAAATCTTTTCCTTTAGAGAGCCTCTCCCCCCATTAAACTACAACTCCTGGCTCTTGCAGGAGAAACATTTCTTTCTCCCTTCTTGGGTTCTATCTGCATCTCAGCCTGCCTCAAGTTTGGGTAACGCTAATTTGTGGTTGTGCAGGAAGCTCGGCAGACCCTTGCTGCCTCTAGGGCAGCTGGGGGAAGACAGTAAAAACTGCTACTACCTGCCAAGCTTTCTTTGTTCTCTGTTGGCAGAGGGAGCAGGCAGTTTCCTAGGAAGAGAGATGCCACAGGAAAAGAGCTCATGGAAAGCAGAAGAATTTCGTTCACACTGAGGTGTGGGGAGCTGTTAAATAGCTTGACTGATTTCTAATCCCAGAGGCAGGCTTAAAATATGAGAATCCATAATGGAACAACTTATAATTGCTCTCTACTATCTTACTGTAGTGGGCTTGTGTTCTTCACTTGTATACAAACTTATTCTGCCATTTCTAAATATGAGTTAATACTGAATCAACATTCTTAGGCATCCTTAGGACATTGGAAATCTTACCACCTCCCATCTCTCTTGGAGGTTTCCTACTAAAAATCTACATGAGTGAAATATCCAAATGCAGACAAAATTCTCCCTTGGGCCGGACAACATTGCTTAGGCATTCCATAACTTTCCCTGAAATCTAAGTAGTAGGCCAATCCCAGATACGTTATCATAAGGAAGCAGGAGTTCAAATGAGAAAGATAATCAGAATTATTGAAATGGTAAAGCAGAGTCAACCAGGTTACTACTGAAACCTGGCCCCCCAAAAGTTCTGGGTTTTGATGAATAATATTACCGACTCTCTTCACTGGGGTAGAGTATGGACATTTTACTATAAATACTATAAATAGGAGATAATGTCAGGGTGAAACTGTGGGCTGAAGAAAAATACTCGTTTTCCTTCACAATGATCAATGCTCTTCCTGAGTGCTGTAGTCCCCTAGAATCTCAGAGGTATCACTAGCTAAAGACTTCACCTTCTGAGGCAGAAAGATTAATTCTTATCAGAGATATTGTCATATCCATGTATAAGGATATTGTGGAGAATCAGCTGTGGGTTCAGCTTGGCCCTGAGATGAATCCCTTCATCCGCTCTACCCAGGGGATGGGATGAAGTTTATTTCTTAACCTCTCAGAGTCTCAGTTTCCTCTGTAATGCAAAGCATGAATAATATCTGGTAAAGTTGGCTTGATAATTACATGATGGGATCATGCATGTAAAGTGAACATAGAATGTTTGGCACAGGGTAGCAATTCAATCCATGATAAGGTTATAGCTATGACTTTATAATAGATGTTGGTATGCACAGCCTTTGGTTCCCAGATTCCCGGTTGTCTCCTGTGCTACTTCTAGGTAGCTTACACCTTTCCTCTTACATTATTTGGCAAAGTCCTATTTCAAGCTTTGGTTTTGTTAGTCCTCTGCCTTCCAGAAACAATTCTTCCCCTTCTTAAACGGACTCATTATTTTTCTTCCTTCTTTCATGCAGGGAGATTCTGCAGAATAGCCATGGGCTGAGAACAGAACCCTTGGAAACCATAATGTTTAAGACGTAAAAGAGGAAAAGCATCTCATCAGGGATTCAGCGAAAGGCCAAGAGGTAAGAAGAAATTCAGATATAAAAGAGCAGAGATTCAAGACAAAGTATAATACAGAACAAAATGCATTGTCAAGGTCTAGAGAAAGGACTCAAAGAAAATTCTTTATTCAGATCCATAGATGCTCTCCTGCCCATGCCTGCCGAGACTAGTCCCACACATTCATGTGCCAGTTGGTGGGTGCCCCAAGAGTCTTACAGCAGAGAATGCATAGAAACAGTTCCCTGACATGAGAACTCCTCTAAACCCAGTGAGGGTAATGGCTCAAGTGAGTGCAAGGCCTCATACACTGGGCAATGAAGTATTGGCATCCAGCAGCATTTTAGATTTGTGTGTTTGCTGTACTTGCAGGATGAAATGGGCAGTTCTGATATAGAGCCTTCTCTTTACAGGGGAAAGCAAAGGGGTACAAAAAATGCCCCCCCACGCCCGGGGCCCAGGATTTCAGAGGTTCCAGAGCTTACGCGGAGCCACTCAGTAAGGCACACTGTAGGAGGAAAGTAGGTCACTTCTTAGCTTGCTCTATAAACACCCTAGATTCAAACTCATGTATTCCTCCTCCACAGAAAATCATGTATACCAGTCATCATAAACTAGTGCCTCAAGGGAGGGATCTGTTCTTCCATAGGGTTTTATAAAATTGAATTTGGTCATGCATTCTGCCTTTTGAGCCATAGTCTCCACCACTGCCTACTCAATTTGCATTACTTGTTTATGGGCCCTATCTAGGCCCTAGAAACATCAAATCAATTTGCAAAGCTTGACCTAATCAAATCTTATGATATACCTTTGCCTCTGCAAGCTGCAAGAAAAGGTCTTTTGCTTATACCCTTTACTCTTCAAGTCTGCCTCCAATACTCATTTTAACTTGGTTTCATTTAGATGAAATGCTAGAGGTTAAGAATTTTGCCCTTACAAATTGTGACTGGCCTCAAGAGGATGCATTTCTTACCTCCAGGAAGTATTCACATAGAAGAGGTTTATCACCTCTTCTTAGGCAGAAACATGCCTGACTACCAAAGCTTCTCCTGTGAAAAGATGCTGGCACAAAAATCTTTTCTGTTTTAGCAAGAATCTTGCCTTTCGCTTTTTGTGCTGTTTCTTTTTCCTGCTCCTTGTCTTCATAACTGCCATGGTAACATGGGTCTGGGTCTGACTATTTCTTCACATTCAGTTGTGAAATGGTTTTTTTTTGACCTACTGCTTTTACAGAAGGCAGCACTTATGACCCGATTTCAAGTTACATAGAGTCACAGGAAAATGAAGCCAAACTTCAGTGTCTTTATTTGTTAAGCAGTGAACTATGTCACATACATTGTTTGCTGAGCAGGTCAGGGACTAAGAATGCCTCAGTCGGGGTATCTCAGGGCCTTCCTTCTATGAAGCAGAAGAAAAGGAGGAAATGAGACTTATTTTCCTAAGGGCCAGGCTTCAAAGAATGCAGGAGCTCTATATACTGGGGCTGGATGATGCTGACTTCCACTGCTACTTAAAGACTGATGTTTCTTATGCAGGAAGATGAAACAATGTGGGACATGAGGCTATTTTGCTGTTCCCCTAAAAGGCACCAATGGCTACCAGTGTTAGCACAATGCCTGGCACACAAAAATATTTGTGAGTTAATGGATTTATTTTTGATATTTTCATTAAGAGATTTAATATATAGGGGTGGGGGGTTGACATTAAAAAGCATCTTTTTCCAAAGGAAAACCAACTATGACAAAGTTGCTCAGTAGTAAATCAGGAGCTCTGAAAACATGATGTGAGACTGTATGAGAAAACCTGAATGTTTCAGTAATTATCTTCCCTTAAGAGCTGATGACAGATCAGATAACTTAATCAGTCTGGATTAATTAATAGGTTAATTAATAGATCTCTCACAGAAATATATTTAAACTTGCTGCCAGTATTATTCTTGTTAACTCCATATTTTCTACTAATGAAAATATGAAAATGTATAGTTTGCCATACTATATATAGAAATGGCCATATCTTTTATCTGCATGATGCTATTTATTTGAATTTTGAACTAATGTTCTCAACCTGTTAAAATAAGACAAATTACTTCCCCTGGCTACTAACAGTTTCTCTTTCCTATCTATCTATCTATCTATCTATCTATCTATCTCTCTCTCTCTCTCTCTCTCTCTCTCTCTCTATCTATCTATCTATCTATATGCAAGTTAATCAACCATCTTACCTGATTAATATGTAATTTTAATGTGTTTGGATGTTTGGATGTAGATTTGATATTTCAATGGATCATGATCCCATACAGGTGAGCTGTATGACACCAGCCAAGGACCTGAATTGCTTTTTCATATTCTTAAATTCTTCTTGCTGCTAGTAATTGGTCACTTTCTTGTCTCTTACTTTTCTTATTCTCCTCCTTTTTCTTCTCCTTCTCCTTCTCCCACTTATGCTACCTTTTTTTTTCTCTACAAAATTGGCATATGTTTAGATTGAACTGCCTAGATTAGGGAGAACCTCATATGTCTTAGACATTGTGCTCCTGTTGATAAAGAAATGCACATGACAAAGCTACCATACTCTTGAGTAAGTGCTTATAATCCATCTATAATATTTTCCTTATGTAGACACCTTTGGGAAATAAAACAATCCTGCCGACAAGAGACCCCTCTGTGCCAGTGTCTATAGGAGAATGAACACACTTTATTACAGAGGAAGCATTATCAGAGTTACATGCACGTAGGGTAGCATGAAGGTGACTACAAAGTCTGGATATAATTTCACCCAAATGTTAACAATGAAGTAGAAGAAAGAACAATGAAAATCTCTCTTGTCTCCTTGAGAGTTAAATGGATGCCCCTTGTATTTCCTGTATACTTCATGCAAGAGTTAATTTTGGAGGTACATGTTTATCATTTCAAGGGTCAGAGGCCCTGCAACCTTGCACTATAAAAACAAAGTCAGACCTCTTATTGAGTCTGTTATATTTTCAGGGAGAAACTCAAGGAGGGGAGACTGAGGAGGCAGCCACTTCATTCCTCAGAGAAAATTTCATTATTTTATTCTTGCGACCCCCAAGTTAGGTTTGTCAGGTGCTTCTTTAAGTGACTTTGATTAGTCACCAAGGTAATTCATGATGCAAGTGCTATGATTTAGAGAATGCCCACGTACTCTATTCTGCGAGTTTCAGTTGAACTAATTAACTGTGGTGGTGTGTATGATGGCGTGGTTTTCAGAGATTCAGATTGAAATTCATTCTGACCCCATTACAAGAAGGAAGATGAATAAAATGTTAGATTCGAATCTGATCTTAGTTCTGTGAAGTTGCAATGCATATAGATTCATCTAGTTGTTCATGTACTGAAGTCTCCTTGGCAAAAGTTTACCTCTTGTCATTTTTGTAGTATCATTTTTATACAGGTCATTGACTGAACTCATGATTACACAAAGATTAAGTCTCAGGAAACTCGGAGCTTTGTCAGAGCTGCCAGGGATTTATCTTGGGGGATGCAGACCAAATAATCTAATCAGAAAATTTTTCAAAGAAGACCTAGAACAGTCATATGTGATTATTGGTTGGAAACCTTTCTTTTGCTTATAGATACTAATCAGAAAATCCAGAAAAGTTATGAGTAAGAAGATAGAAGCATTCGTTAATTAATTAATTCATTCATTCAACAAACTATTAATATTTTGTAAGAGGTTGTAATGATGAAGGTCAAAGATGAAATATAATGAATCCTTATTTCTGGCCAGGTGTGGTGACTCATGCCTGTAATCCCAGCATTTTGGGAGGCTGAGGCAGGCAAATCACCTGAGATCAGGAGTTTGAGACCAGCCTGACCAACATGGTGAAACGTCATCTCTACTAAAAATACAAAAAAACTAGCCAGATGTGGTGATAAGTGCCTATAATCCCAGCTACTGGGGAGGCTGAGGCAGGAGAATCACTTGAACCTGGAAGGCGGAGTTTGCAGTGTGCTGAGATCATGGCACTGCACTCCAGCCTGGGCAACAGAGCAAGACTCAAAAAAAAGATATTTCTATATCTATATCTATCTATCTATATATATATAAAAGATATATATATATGATATGTATACTTATATATATATAGAGAGAGAGAGAGAGTCCTTATTTCTTAAAAAAAGTTTATAACTTAACAGTGACTATGTTCCATATATAGATAAGTATGAAACAAGAAAGGTTGTCAAAGGTCAGTTCCTCAGTAATGACACATGGGTGGTCAGATGAAAAGATGACCTTTACCTGGTATTAGGAGAGGCTCTGTGGAGAAGGAGGCATGTAGGCACTGAACAATGGGTAAGGTCTCCATAGATTATGACAGTGGTGTGGGAGGAATCATGAGGACACGTTCAAGGAATGGCCCAAAGTCATTTTGACTGGAGCATGTTCAAGGGGTCCTGGAAGATCAGATCAGAGATATATTTTAGAGCTACATTATGAAAAACCATAGGCAAGATTAAAATGAAATATCATATATCAGGATCATTTCTAAAGAAAGGCAGTGGGAAGGGCATAGGCTTTGGATTCAGAAAGCCCTGGGTTCAAATTGTGTTTCCTTCTTTTTCTGTTGATAGAGTCTTGAGAAATTACTGAGATAAAGTTTGCTTATCTTTAAAACTGGTGTAAAATTGCCTACCTTGCATCTTGCTATTATGTTTGGAAATGCTGGCAATTTATAAAATGCCATACAAAATTTGTTATGTGATTTAGACATTCTTCTCTGAAACTCCCCCCTCCAGAAATTTATTACTATTCTTTACTTGAGAAGGCAGAACTGGCCTGATTTATTGATTTGAAGATGAATCATATCAGAAATCAGCACTTTGCAAAGATCACCTAATGGTGTCCATTAGGAAACTAAATTTCTTTTGAGTTTTTGCAATTTCAGCTGACATCTTACATTTTGATCCAGGGTATTTCTTCCTATGTGTTAATACTGTTCTTATTGTGTCTTAACTAATTTTACTCCTCACTGTTAATTCTAATGTGGTGTTACTTCTACTTTTTGTTTTTCCTACAAGTAGCTATTTGAGCAAATTGACTTTGGAGTGTGCCCAATTACTTTATTTACCTCTTAATCCTTTCATGTCATTCTGGAAGTACTGCCTCAGGATGAGGCCCTGCAGACATGGCATTTCAAGCAGCCTATGAGGATTAGATTTTTGTTTTTTGCTTCTTGTTTTTTTTTTTTTTTTTTTCAGCATGCAAACCCAATTTGGGGAATCATCACCTCAGGCATAAGGATGATAGTTCCGGAAATGTCACTTAGAAAGGCATGTGGAATAGCCCAGCTCCCTTTTACAAATAGTTTGGTGGGGAGCAAAATACCAACTCCATCAACTAGTCAGTAGGTGGACAGACCTTTGGAAATGTCTGTAAAACCCTCTGCTAGCTGCTAATCTTCTCTCTGTAATTTCACTGACATAAGCAATAAACCCTGTAATTATATGGCACTAATCAAGAACACTGACAATAATGGAATATCAATCACAGCACTCATATGTAAACCCAGTTAGGTTCAGAGTTTAGTTTTGGCACCATCTGTAGTTTCAGTTATAACTAAACTAAAAGGAACTGATGAATGCAAGCTGGCTGAATCACATGCAGCTAAACTGTTTCTCTAAGCTATCTTGAATATGCTTTTCCAAGTGCATTATTCATTAAATTAAATGTTTTGCACTGATGTTTGAGCATGTGCAATTTCCTTCATTTGTAGTTTATAACAGCAATAACATCCCAGGCAGAGGGCATTTCCTGAGGATTAACAGCCAGCTGGGGTTAATGGCTGAAGGTAGAGCCAAAGACCATCAATTCCTTCCCTCTAGCCATTAATTCTTAGGAGATGACCTGTTCTTTCATCATTATCGCTGGCGTGTTTCTTCATCTGACCTTTATATGAAGTGATGTGGCACCACAGGAATTAATCCTTACATGGGGGTTGCAAAAGATGCATCCACTGAGTGTCTCTTAAACTTGTTTATAGGACAACAACAATTTACCTACCCACTAAATCACAAGGGATGCCCTAAATCTGTCTATCAAATAAGCAGTTTGTTCAGAATGAGCCATTTACTTTTTTTCTGTTTTTTAAAAAGCTAGCTTTTTTAGCTTCTAGCTTTCTGATGAGGAGTCAGAACTGATATTTCTGTGATTTTCCTGTTGTTTGATCATTCGTTTCTAAAACGTTCAACTCTACCAGGCAGCTCTTTTTTGGAGAAATGTCTCATGAAATGACATTTCCATCACTGTGTAGGAACTATTACCTGGTCTCTGCAGAACATTTTTCAAATGTGCACAAAGACCCCTTCTTTGGGGTTTGTGTGTGTGTTTGGGCTGAGGGGGTGGAGGCAGTGAGGAATAAAGGGATATTAAACACAAACCGTGCATCTGCTGAGAGCTCTTGGAAGATTTTGTTATTTTCAGGGACAAGGAGTCTCTTTTTCTAATCAGCTCTTCATTATTGTCTCGGTAATTATCATGTTCCCTGAAGATTTTTATTCTTGTATTTTCCCTTGAAAGAATAATAATGGTTAAATTATTTAATAATGTTGCTTTGTCTTTTATCTGGTCTCTCACCTGAGAATCTCAAGGTGCTTTAAAGAGATTAATTATGATTTACAAGACTCACAAAATGGATCTTAATTTGAAGCATTTTGAAAGCTGTGAGGCCTTGATAAATTAAGGTAATAGAAGCAGAAACCTGAAGTTGGGGTTCATTTGTTTGATTGTAGATGAAAGAGATTTCCTTCTCAGGAATCCTGTGACATTTTTTTTTTGTTCCAGATTAGGATAAAGGATGTAAGACTAGATTCATGAAAGCAAATTAACTTCTCCTAAGCACTGTGAATTAACTTTTCCTAAGCACACTACCTGTGCTACTTGTCACCAGGGGAACAGTGCTACCTCCTCAGAGCAGTGCATTAATCAGGACTTTTCAGGTCATAGGTGACTGAAGCCTGACTAATAATGGCTTAAGTAAGAAAAAGAAATTGGCTGATGTAAGTGAAAAATTCAGCCGTAGTTTGTCTTCAGCTAGACTCAGCAACTCAGATACGTTCATGAGGAGTCTACCTTTTGGCTCTGCTTTTCTGGTGGGGCTTCATTTTTCAGGTGGGCTTTCTGCATACGATGCTCCCAGCAGCTTCAGACTTACTTACATTCTACAAGTTTAGCAACCCTTGTCCAAAAAGCTTCTCTTTCCTAAGAGTGAAACATGTGCATTCATCTGGCTTTGATCATGAGTTCACCCCCGAACCAATGACTTCAATTATTGTGTCCAGTGGGATGAAATATTGATTAGCTGGGCTGGTTTATGCTACTGCTGTTGAAGCTGAGGATTCAGTGAGCCACATCCAAGCCAGGTTGGTTGATTTGGAGAGTAGCGATGGTTCCTGAAAGGAAAATCAAGGTATAATTTCAGGAAGGAAGTGGAATGATTGTTGGAGAATGAGAAAAAACAGATATCCACAAAAGGTAGCAGGATTTCAGTATTTATATTTACTTCTAGCACAAATAATTGAAGACCTCAGAGATAAAACTCAAAATCTCAGTCCTTTATAAATATAATTTTTATTAACATACCACTTTCAAAATGTATGTGCCTTGGAAACCAGTCTCATGAGATATTTCTTCAAAAAAAGCGTTCAGTGATTACATAAATTTGAGAAACACAGAAAACTGTAACCTTCCTTGGATATACATTAAGTATTAAATAAGCCAGTATGCCCTTATAACAAGTTTCACTGATGCATGAATTTAACATAGACATCATTTATTCATATATATGTGTGAGCATGATTCCAAAATTTATAATGTCGGTGATCAAAAATGTGATTGATAGACGTTGTGATGGTCTTTTGAGGCAGTATGGCACTAGGAGAGAGAACAGACCACTAAACAAAAGTAGGCCATGGTTCTCAGGTCCAACTGCAGAAACCAATATTGGCCGTTCAACTGGTTATGACGGGAAGTTTCCATGGAAAGTCACACTTCCTAATATAATTAGTACCAGATTTCCCAAGAGCATGTAGCATTGGATAATCCGGTGATCAGTCTGTGGTTGTGTGTTAAAACATACTCAGTAGATTTAAGCTATAAAAAATCTGTCTGTCTGAGAAGACCCCAGATATTGTTTATGGTGCTAGTTCCAGGGGATTGGATTAGTATGAATGAAGAAGAGCAGCAGGACTCTCTTCCCCTAGTTAGAAGTCCAGGGCAAATCTCCAGACCTGGAACTAGCCGTGGAGGAGAGCGGTAGCCCAGTAGGCAGAGCGAAGATATAGGGGTTGTGAAAAAAGGCTGAAGAAGCAGCCAAGGAAAAAACAAAACAAAACAAAAAACCATTGGTGGTGCATATTCAGGATAGGTGTGTGAGTGTATGGGAAGATACCTGAGAGACTAAGTGGCTTTCTGGGAATATAGCTTGACACATGCGTGAAATTGACAACATGTTGAGAATATTGCCATGATATAGCGGAAGAACTTTAGAACAAGAAACACCAGAGTGAGAATACCAGCTTGCAGAAATTACAAGCTGGGAAAGCTCCTTAATTATGCGGAAACTTGGTCTTATCTGTAGTGGAAATAATAATATTTTCCTTGGAGGCATGTTGTGAATATAATAGGTATGATATTTTACCTTTATGATATTGGGTATTTAAAAAACATTTTGTTCTTTATTTCTTTATGACTGAATGTAGCTTAACTCAAGAGTATGTGTTTCTTCTCATAAGTGAGAAATATGAAGACATGCTGCTGATGGGAAGAGAAGAGTTTAGTTGGTATTGCTGGTTTCTGACCCTGGTAGCATCTGTTGAAGTATAACTTTGAGAGGTGAAGCCAGCTGGACTTCCAGGTCAGACGGGGACTTGGAGAACTTTTCTGTCTTACAAGAGGATTGCAAAATGCACCAATCAGCACTCTGTAAAATGGACCAATCAGTATTCTGTAAAATGGACCAATCAGCAGGATGTGGGCGGGGACAAATAAGGGAATAAACGCTGGCCACTCCAGCCAGCAGCGGCAACCTGGTCCTTTACAGCTTTGTTCTTTTGCTTTTCACAGTAAATCTTACTGCTGCTCACTCTTTGGGTCCCTGCCACCTTTAAGAGCTGTAACACTCACTGCGAAAGTCCGTGGCTTCATTCTTGAAGTCAGTGAAACCAAGAACCCACCGGAAGGAACCAACTCTGGGCACAACTTGACCAAACAGACCCTAAGTGTTGCCTGCTGGTCCTACTGAAACTGCTTCTAATGTCTTTGGACTTTTCATGGCCTCCAGTTTTGGAGTCCACTAGCCCCTTATGTTAACTATGAGGGTCTTTCTGGTATACCAACTCTCCTTTTTACTTCTGTGTCCCTCTGAGGGGTTTAGGAGACTGCAGTTTCTTTTCTATCAGGTTCCTATCAGGCTCATCCTCTTGGACTCCTGTCTTAGTCCCTGCTACTCATATTGCTATGTCAGACATAGAGTTTTTCTATAAAGCATAAATACCCTTAGGATATACCCTGGAAAGTTATGTAATTAACCTTTTTTTAGAAAAAATTATAAATTTTGGTAAAATATACCTAACATAAAATTTACCATCTTACCCATTCTTAACTGTAGAGTTCAGTTGTGTTACATGTGTTCATGTTATTGTGCAACCAGTCTTCAGAATTCTTTTCATCTTGCAAAACTAAAACCGAATACAGCCCATTGTCCCATAGAACTGATGTTTACAGTCTTTTAAAATAAACATAGAAATTGATCCTCTTAGTCTTAAAGCTTGAGACGTAACATATGTCTTATCTGAGTTCTTTCCTCAGGGAACTGTTCTTCAGGCCTCCCCAGTAGTATCAAGGAACTGAAGCTCGCCAGATCACTACATTCCAACAATGTGAAGCCAGATCTTTCATCCCTCATGATTTCCTTTCCCCACCCTAATTCCTGTTTACCTACATGTGGTTATTATACATTCTTTCTCTTTTATATAAACTTCCAATTTTAGTCAGGGAGATGGATTTGAGAGTGATCTCCCATCTCCTCAGCAGCAGGACCTGATTTAAGCCTCATTTCCTGGCAATACTTGATGTCTCAGTGATTGATTTTCTGTGCAGTGAGCAGCAGGACATAAACCCAACCGCTGGTGTTTGGGTAACAAAACTTTATACTCATTAAACACCTCCCTTGCTTCCCCTCCTCCCAGCCCCTGACAACCCACATTCTGCTTTCTACCTCTATAAATTTGACTACTCTAGGTATCTCAGGTAAGTGGAATCATACAGTGTTTATCTTTTTGTGACTGGCTTATTTCATTTAAAATAACGTTTTCAGGGTTCATAATATTGTAGTATAGGTAAAAATTTTCTTCCTTTTTAAGGCTGAAGAATAGTTTGCTGTATGTATATACCACGTGTTATTTATGAAATGATGATCTTTTACACTTTCAGGGCTCTCATAACTTATCTGATGATCTATCACAGTTTCTATCATTTCACTGTTTTTCCTAGCTGAAATTAACTTTTTGGCATATCCTTGGCATAAGACCCTGGGGAATAAAGTTCTTATATAATCCCACATTTTATTTCGCTTCTAGTCACTCTATGGTTAATGGGTAAATTCTCAGCTTTGACTGTCTTAGATTTGGCTGCCGATAAGTAAAGCGAGGTGATTAGAAATTGAAAGAAAGAAAAAAAAAAGCAAACACAACATTTTTCCCCCAATCACCTGGATTCTGCAATGGAAAAGAATGGCTTTTAGTGCTATTGTCTCTGTTAAATATTTATAAAAGTCTGTGGAAGTGCTTGACGAAAGTCATGAATTTGACATGAATTTTTCTGTCCATATTAAATTCTAAACCAATGGCAGTATGTATAGATGACCATTGCTGCTATTTGAAAAATAGGAGGAAGCTCATGAGTAAAAGGAATGAAAACAAAACAACCAACAACCTATATCCATATCAAAGCATTACCCTGGTATGTAAGAATTAGAGCTAATGTATGTTAAGCATCTGACACATAATAAATATTTTTAAAATGTGGCTATAATTATAGCATATTCACCCTTTTTGGTAAGATTTTGAATAAACGTTGACAGTAAATTTTAATTTGCTTCAAGGTTATACCCTCAAGTAAAGGCTTGACAATTTGGAATTTTGTGCTGGTGACTGAGAGAGGATATTTATGTGCTTTGAATAACAGATATGGTAATAGAAAGCTGATGCTCTATTTTCAAAGTTGAAAGAATGGACACTGTCTTCTTACAAATGGAAAGGGCCACCCTATCGTCTTCTATCTGAACATGGTAATTTACACTTACATGTAACATCATACTTTAGAACAATTGTTGTAAGCATAATAAATATCCATATATCTATATAAGATTAATTATGTTTAGTCTTATACCAGTAACTTAGATAATCCTTATGTAAAGAGAATATAGTTGGGCTCATCTTTCCCTCATTTAAATGGAACCTCAGGCTGCACCTAAGAGGCAATAAATGTATGGGTTCAAGGTATGGGCTTTGAACCCATAGGGAGCTATGCGTTCAAACCAGGCTTTGCTGTATGCTAGCTGTGTGAGCTAACGAACATTATTTAACCTCTTGCCCAATTTTGTCTACCTGTAGATAGGGATAAGATAGTACCTACATTTTAGAGTGAGCATTAAATGAAATAATAATCAAGTATTTACTATTTATTTTATTATTATAGATAAAGTCTTTACAACGGTAAAGTATGTGACACATGATAGGGGACAGCTAAAGTAGCTGTTATCATTCGTAGCTCCTACCCTCGTTTGTGCTGTCAGTTCCACCTTGCAGTTCTTAAAAAAATGTATTATCTTTCATGGCAATTTGCTATTATTTTCTGAGTATCGTTGGGGTTCTTATTTTCTACCATGAGAGCCATCTTCAGTTTCTTCTATGTAGTCATCCTGAGCCCAATGGCTGAAGTTTCTTGTCTTTCTTATAAGACATCATTGTTACAGCCAAGACCAAGGGCCTATAAGGTCTCTTCTGGTGAGGAGTGAGTGCTGCTTGTATTGATTTGCCTCTAAAACCATTCCTCACCCTGGACTGGCTTCCCTTGCCTGCCCAGTTGTCTTGATTCTGACTACTCAAAGGTGTGACTGTTAGAGAGTGCTGTTTCTCTGAAAAATTTCTTTGCTAGAATGTCTTTTGCAAAACAGAGGAACACTGTATGTTCTTCCTTTGCAATACAGCCTCGTGTTACTTGATTAGTTTCATCAGAACCTATATTTTATCATCCGGCTCTTACTTTTATGTTTGAAAGAAATCCTTCCCTTCTCCTAATCATTTAAAGAAAATCAGAACAAATACACCAACAAAAGCAGTTAATATATAGCATTTCTAGTAGGTTCTTACCAAGAAAGGAAAGTCTACCAAGGACGTTAAACCATTTATTAATTCTATTTTTATCTAAGGGGGAACTATTCCCTGATCTTTAAACTAAGTTAGATCTTAGAATAATTAATCAGTTGAAGACCAGCAATAGCCTGGGAATTCAAGCTTTTGATAGGTACACAGCATCGTTAATGGAATTTTTATTGTAAAAAAATCATTTCTTGAACATACACTATGCAACATTGCGGCAGTTGCTGAAAACTGTTTTAGAGGAAAATAAAATATTCCCCACCATCATGATTACACCCACATTTGGCATCTGCAGCCATGCACGTGTATGCCACCAGCCCTCCTGTAGCTGTGCACGTGCACACTACCTTTCACATGCATCTGGTCCCTGCAGCTGACCATGTGCACGCTGCTGGCCCTAGGCGTCTACCCCCGACTGCACAGTGGGTTTGAAAAAGTATGGAGAGATACAGAGTTATCTCAGTTTGATTAGAATTTGGCTTTTTTTTTTGGCCATCTACCTAATTATACCTTGTTTTAAGGGAGAACAATGGCAAGAAGGAGAGAACAAAGAATATAAGGTTAAGACTCAATACTGAAGTTCAAAATCTGTCTCAATGATTACTAGCTGGGTGATCTTGGAAAAGCCACTTGGTATCTATGACAATTCTATGATAATTCTATTGGATGTGTGTCAAATTCTTTACCTTCCTTCTATATCTATGTGACTGCAGCTGGTCCCAGTAAGAGGTACTATCTTGACTGTGGCTTTGGCTTTGTAATTATTTTGGCCTAAAGAATGAGAGGCCAACAGAGTGAGTGACTGCGTGGCATTTCAGAGCCCAGACGTCTCATCACATGCAGACAAGAGACTCCAAGAAGGATAGGTGTTCCCAGCTGACAACTGGCCATGCCCTAGAAGTAGCCAGTCTCCTACCTGAAATACAAGGACAGCAAATGCTTGAGGGAGCCCAGCAGATACGAGAAGAATCTTGCAGCTGAACCCAGTCTCCATTATTGAATAGTAGAATCATAAAATAAATATAAATAATTGTTGTTTTAAATCACTAAATTGATTTAGTGGATATCTGAGATATTCAGATTTATAAAATGAAATTATTGTAGCTGTCCCCAAAGGTTGTTATGAGAACTGAAGACATGAGAAATGCTAAGAGCCTATTACTGTGGCTGGCATATAGCATGTGTTTAATTCAACTCAGTTCCCATTTACACCTCTTTTATCAACTCCATCCCCAACTTTTCACCCCATCTCTTCTGGAAACTTTTTCTTTTCAAGTCAAAATAAGAAATAGTCAACCTTTTAAAATAATTTGATTATCACAACCTTTTGAATAATTTAATTGCTAAGGTGTTGTCAATATGTAATAATGAGGAACGCTCAGCTCACATTTAAAAACCAGGCATGGTAAGTGCACCAGAACACATCTTGATGAAGTTGTTTGACCCACTTGTTTTTTTACTGGCTACAGATCAAACACTGAGGTGTATGTGGTTGACTGACAGGCTCTGCCTGACTCAGGGAGGGATGATCCTGGAGAGGCTCGTCTCATTAAATGCCACCCATTCACATTTGGTATTTCTGATTCAGTTAAATATTGAAATTGCTTTTATTAATTTGCAAGTCTTATTTGGCTGAGCTAACTTGGGTGTATTTTGAAAGCAAATCAATATTAGTTGATTTAATCAATAATAAATAATGTATTGAGAACCTAATACGTATCATGAATAGGGATACCGTATGAACACATAACTTGTCCTCATGGAGCTTAACTATGTTCTATGCAGGTTTCCTCATCCCTAGAGACTATGAGATCAATCATTTCTTTAAAAAGAGAGACTGAAGTTCATTGATTCAGCAGTGAATCAATCTGGTGGTTATATCTGTTATAACCATATGAGAAAGGCTGAATGTAACTGAGTCTAATCTTCTTGGGACTAAACTGCAATGAGATTGAATAATGCCTCTAGGGTCTGAATAATACGTGTTGTCCAATGACTGTGTTATGCTGATACCTGCTGTTAGACAATTCATCTGCCTGCACTGCTGATTGCCTGCTGTTTGGAATTCTCTGAGATGCCCTGAATCTTTGATTTATTTTCATTCATTTATTTCTTTAGTCATTTATTTAGTAATTCATCAACTTACCAAACTCATGTGCCTTCAACGTTCCAGACACATCGTCTTTGCTCTAGAGGAACTTCTAGTCCAGTGAGTTAAGGCAGACACATAAACAGATAACTCGAACAAACTGTTACATCAGCTGGGTGTTTTAGAAGGTACTTAGGGGCAGGAACAAAGAGTCGAAATGGCTTGAACCTAGAGCAGCTTGTTCTGATCTGAGGCAGATTCTCCCCTCCCCGAGAAAACATATCATAGCTCTAGAAAGCAAACTCTACAGCCAGTCCTTTTGTTATTTCCATATCCTAGTACTAGGCTTTTTTCAAAGTGTGATTCTCTGCCTAGAGTTCCTGAATGTACCAATTATGTTCCCCTGAGGCTCAGTTATGACTCCAAAGGCATGAAATGCTTCCTGGACTTATGAAAATAAGACACATACACAACCACAGGATGTGTTAGTTTCATTGTATAAGAAATTCTCTTAATGATGTTTTCATTTTGTTACAGGAGATATTTATGAAAATGCAATATTTGTAATATCAGCATTTATATTTAGAAAGTGCTTACTGCCATGAATTTAGGAAGTCAGTAGTTGTATTACTTTGATAGGACTTCCTTAACAAAGCTAGACAAACTGGGTGGACTAAACAATGGAAATTTTTTTTATATAATTCTGGAATATAAAGATCTGAGATCAAGGTGTTGGCAGGGTTGTTGGCAAGGTGTTGGCTGAGCACTCTCTCTTTGGCTAGCAGATGTCCATATTTTGATGTCTTCACATGGTCTTCTTTCTGTGTTGCCTGTGTCCTAATCTCCTCTTACATGAACATCAGTCATACTGAATTAGGGCATACCCTAAAGACCTTATTTTAATGTAATCACCTCTTCAAAGACCCTATCTCCAAATACAGTTACAAATTCTGGGATACTGGGGACTGGTCACTGTTAGGACTTCGACATGTGAATTTTGGGAGAATACAACTCAGTCCATTACAGTTTTCATCAAAAGAATTCATTAAAATTTGAACATTCATAGCCAGCAAATATACTGTCATTTTGTTTTTCAACATAGCTCATAAAATGCATCCAGTTCTTTTTAAGAGGGAACAGTGCTAGTGCAGGAAAGAGAAAGAGAGCGCATTTGCTTTGGATTATCATATGTCAACTCTTGCTATCCATCTGAAAATTCAGAGAGAGAATTACCTAAGGGAAGAAAAGAGGATTTATTTATTGAATTTATTTATTGGATAAAGAATATTTGTGGTGTGCTCTGAATATCTGAAATTATGCTAACACATTAACATGTGGAAGAAACTAGCAGAGCTTTAGTCAAAAGCAGTGCTGATATATATAAAATGATCATGTGTGAAGAGTTAGCTATGCCTTGTGTTACTTTTTTTTGTTTTTTTTGAAATGAAATCTTGCTCTGTCACTCAGGCTGGAGTGCAGTGGCGTGATCTCAGCTCATTGCAACTTCTGCTTCTGGGTTCAAGCGATTCTTCTGCCTCAGCCGCCTGAGTAGCTGGGACTACAGCTATGCGCCACCAGGCCCGGGTAATTTTTTTATTTTTAGTAGAGACGGGGTTTCACCATATTGCCCAGGCTGGTCTTGAACTCCTGACCTTGTGATCTGCCCACCTCAGCCTCCCAAAGTGCTGGGATTACAGGCGTGAGCCACCGCGCCCAGCCTGTGTCACAATTTAATGGAATATTAGTAAAACTATTTTTTTTCCGATTTGGGCATACATGAAAATACCTCATAGATGTACACACCCACTCTTGGAACTTTCCTCTGATTATTTTTCCATTTTCTTTAAACAAGAGATATAGAGCAGATGTTTCATTATCAATGCAAATAGGATGTTGAAAGGCATTTATCTTCTTTTAATAACCATATCCCCAATCTATTGAACACTCTTTCTATTGTTCAGCCCTCCACAGAGGTTCGTGGATTAAAACCTCTTTCTTATTATGCTTATTGCATTGGGTCATCTGGAGTCATGGATTCACAAGATAGTCTTGACCTTTACCTGGGTCTTAGATGTTTTAGACAAGGCATGATAACTTTGCATGAACTTTATTTAGACACTGTGACCTACACTGAAGTGAAGAAGTACCTCTAAATGGCTTCAGCAATGCCCTCATTTTGTGCCTGCGTGGATACCTGTAGTTTATTGCCTTCAAGCAGTCTCTTTGAGAAAAGAAACAAAACTCCATAATTTTAGCCCCTTTTGCAGAGTGTTAGCAGAGAAGTTCTCTTCCTTAATAAATTTCATTCTATATGCAGATATAATCAATATCTTATATGCTTTAAAAATAGTTGTAATCTATATTTCATACTTCAAATACATTTCTTACCATAACTTACAATGTCAAACAACATACTGTAAATGTAGATATGACTGTTAATGTTTGTGTATTAAATTATATATAAATAAATGTTTTGTGCAGCCTCAAAATATGGGCTCTGACATTGGTTATAAATGCCTTCTTCATCTCCTGGATTTCAAATACTTTTAACTTGGGCAACTGAATGTTAACTTTTACATGTGAATTTAGAACATCATTAAATACAATTCTCATCTTACCAAGAGACCTACCATGGCTTACCAGATTGACATGGCCTTAACCTTACTCCCAGTTTTAAACTTAGGACTTCAGAACTGAAGACCCAAGGTTGGCTTCCTGCTTTCACTCCAATGGTAGGAGGAAGAAATTCAGTTATTTATGTAATTAAAATTGTTTTGAGAGTATATTTTATGTCAGTCATTATACAAGGTTCTGGAGATACTGTTATGAATAAGACATGGTTTTGGTTATAGGACAGTGAGAGGTACAGAGAAGTAAGGAACAATTGTTATGAAGTAAATGTTTGTTCCCACTAAAATTCATTTGTTGAAATTCTAACCCTCCGTATGATGGTATTAGGAGATGGGGCCTTTTGGAGGTAACTTGGGTCATGAGAGGTGGAGCCCTCATGAATGAGAACTCCTATAAAAGAGACCTCTGGAGAGTTCTCTAGTCTTTTTTTTTTTTTCTTCCACCTAAAGATGCACCAAAAAGTTGGCAATCCAGAAGCTAGAAGAGGGTACTGGCCAGAATCTGGCCATGCTGGGGTCTTGATCTTAGACTGTCAGCCTCTCAAGCTGTGAAAAATAAATTTCTTTTGTTTATAAGCCACTCAGTCTATGGTACTTTGTTATAGCAACCTAAACTGACCAAAATAGCAATTAAGATGGTGTATGAGCGTTCTGATAAGGTAATAAGGAATATACTATATGAATGCATATCCAGCCTGGCCTGAGAGAAGGAAAGACTGAAACTGTAGAAGCAGCAGGAGGTATTCTTTAGAAGTTGGAGACTTTGGCCAGCCGCGGTGGCTCATTCCTGTAATCCCAGCACTTTGAGAGGCCGAGGTGGGTGGATCATGAGGTCAGGAGATCGAGACCATCCTGGCTAACACTGTGAAACCCTGTCTCTACTAAAAATACAAAAAATTAGCTGGGGGTGGTGGCATGTGCCTGTAATCCCAGCTACTTGGAAGGCTGAGGCAGGAGAATCGCTTGAACCTGGGAGGCAGAGGTTTTAGTGAGCTGAGATCGCGCCACTGCACTCCAGCCTGGGTGACAGAGCGAGACTCTGTCTCAAAAACAAACAAAAACAAACAAAGAAAGAATTTAGATACCTTTATCATCCAGGGGCTTTAATTCCTACCATTATACTTCTTTGACGCTGGTTACTTAGGGATATATGCATCTGTAGCTGTATTGGTAGCTGATGCAAAAGGTTATCTCCATAAAGTTTCAGGCAGAACTAAAGGATGGATAAACATGCTCCATAGTGTTCTACTGATATGAAGCGCTGAGCAATGGAATAGATAACTGACATTCTATTATTTAGTTCAAGAATGTGGGTCAATGCTAGACTCTTCCCTGAAAACATGTTTCAATATCTTAATTTCTTCTTTCACTCTCCCTAGTCTAGGCCAATGTCCCCTTGGACTAATAATCTACTTTCATTTTTTGTCTCTCTTCAGTCAAGTCTGTTCTCTTTCACGCTCACCACAGTAGTCAGACTTACATTTCTAAAAGTTAAATAGTATCATGCCATTCCATTGTGAGCTGCCATTTGCTGTCCATTGCACAGCTAGTGAAAACTTCTCTCTGGCCTTCAAGGCCCTGCACTATCTGCTTATCTGGATGTCTCCACCTGATAATGTTTTTCCCAGAACTCACTGCTTCATGCTGTTCAGACTCCTCTCAGCTCCTAGGACAGAACAAGTTCCTTTTACCATCAGGGTATTTAAATATATTGCTTCCTCTGTCTAGAAATATTTTATCCTGCATTTTTTTTGTTCTTGTTCATTCTTTTGAAGTCAGCTAAAATATTTCCTCCACGAAGTGACCATCTCCAGCCTCTAAGTAGAGACCAAAGTAGGTCTCCTCCATCTTGCTCTGTCCCAGCATTCTGTTATTTTATTGCTTATTGCAGTTTTTAATTATTTCCCTTAAGTATTTGTTTTTTGGTCTGCCTGTTCAAGTAGACTTCAAGTTTTATGAGAGCAGAATTCTTGTCTGCCTTGTTTTCCATTGCACACTCCAGTGTCAAGAACAGCACCATTAAATAAATAATTATTTGTTGATGGAATGAATGGCAGAATATCACTCAGTCTAAAGCAAGACTGTGTGTATATATGTGTTTGTGCATGTGATGTTTTAATTGGCAAAGGGGGAAGACAATTCTATTGAAATTTATGTTGAGTAATAAAGATATGACTTACTAGTAGCTACAGCAGGGAAGATTTAGCACTACAACTTCTGTCCTGGTATGAGTAGCCACCAAAGACATTGAACTTGACTTAATACTGTTTGTAATCATCTTAACATCCTAAAAATTCAGAAATGAGCAGGCATCAGTAGTACCCTGGTGGCATACTTCAGCAGCAAAGCTGCTGATTATGGCATTGGTAATAGCAAGAGATATTACTTTGGCTACTGAAGCATGAAACGAAAAAACAAATAAGTTTTGTAAAATTGTTAAAAGTCCCAGTCTTCTGAGAATCACTCCCTGGGGAGTCCTGGAAGTGCCTAGAAAAAAAACTGAAGAATTGTGTGATGAGAGGGCACAGAACTAGAGGTGTGTGTGTGTGTGTGTGTGTGTGTGTGTTTAAAATGTATGACTCTATTTGTCCAGTTTAACTGATGTATCTTAGAAACCATATATTAGCTGTAGGAAGAGCTATCATCTGAACATTATATAAATGTTTAGGATGACAATATTTTCTCTAGTTGTTGTAGTTATCTCTTACTGTATAAATCTATTTTTGCATGCAGCAGAGTGAGAGGTGGAGAGAAGTAATAGGTAATTAAAATGGAATACGGTAAGTGCTATGGTAGGGGGGAATCAGTGTGCTACAGAACATAGGATGGGCATCCATCCTAGCCTGAAGGACAACCAGAAGATGATCTTTGGAAGCTTAATTTAATGGCTTGCCACAACCACCATTTAATCAGCTCAATGTTTTCTGGGTCTAGAATTTGAGCAGGGCTGCCTTAGTCTATTTTTGCATTGCTATAGAGGAATAACTGAGGCTGGGTAATTTATAAAGAAAAGAGGTTTATTTGGCTCACAGTTCTGAAGGCTGTACAAAAAGCATGGCATCAGCATCTGCTTCTGGTGAGGGCCTCAGGCTGCTTCCAATCATGATGGAAAGAGACGGGGAGCTAACACATCACACAGTGAAAGAGGATGCAAGAGACAGAAGGAGATGTCAGGCTATTTTTAACAGCCATATCTCACAAGGACTAAGAGTAACAGCTCACTCAATACTATGAAAATGGCACCAAGCCATTCATGAGGGATCTGCCCTTGTGACCCAAACACCTCCCACTAGGCCCCACCTTCAACATTGGGAATCAAATTTCAACATGAGATTTGGAGGGGACAAATATCCAAACTATATCAAGGATACTTCTGAGCAGTTTTGCTTCATGTGGCCTTCAGTGAGGTAAAGGGATGGCTGGAAGGTTTAAATGACCTTACTCACATGCTGGCAGTTGGTGCTTGCTGTCAGCTGGATCTCAGTGGGGGCTGTAGGCTGAGTCTCAGTTTTCCATGTGGTCCACCCCACATGTCTGCTTGTGCTTCCCCACAGCATGGTGACTGGGTTTCCAAGAGAAGCAGTGTTAGCAGTAAAGCTGGAGACTGTGCAAACCTTTTAAGGCCTAGCCTTATAAGTTATACAATATCACTTCCAAAACAGTTCCTAGTTCAAAATATATTACAGGAGCAGCCCATGTTTAAGGAGAGAGGAAATAGATTCCACTGTTGATGGGAGAATGACCATATTGTAAAAGAACATGTCAAATGGGAGACATTGCTGTGACCCTCTTTGGAAACACAGTCCATCATACTGGTATAAAATCTCTTGGTATTTTGCTTGTTCTTTTGGCCTTGAGTTTGGAAGGCAATGGACATTTTCTTCTGGATAATGACCTTTCACATTCTTGAGGAAAGTCCTGAAGAAAATTATCTTTATCTTCTTTTACTTTCTCCTTCAACTCTCTTCTTCCACGAATACTTGCTTAAATTTTATTTTGTGAATTGAATTTGTTCTTTTCTAATTTTGGAAGATGTCTAATTTCTTAATATCTTTTAAGTCAGTACATTATATGAGATGTGAGATACCTGACTCCCAATATAAATGGATAAATATTAAGTAAATACAAAAAGACACAATCTCCAACATGTACTCGTAAATTCATTCCACTATCAATGTGATATTTTGAAATGGAGAATATTGTTGTAGCTGGGGACCTGGGTCTAGTACTAGCATTCCAATTACTGACCTGTCATACTTTATAAAAATCACATATATCTTGAATTCAGCTTCCTCTTCTGTAAAGTGAATGCTTTGGACTTGACTATACAGTATCAAAGAATCATTCTAACCTTAAAATTATTTATGTTTTCAGATAATTTAGTGAGTGTTAAAAATTTCTGATGACTACTCAAGAGAGTGTGCTTAGTAATTCAACTTAGAAATAAGTTACTCATCTACTTCTTGTGTCTGTTTCCGTAAAAGGGCATAGATATGCAAAATATGCTTGTTCACATTAAATTTGGCTATCAATTATTTCTGGCTAATATTAAATTCAGACTTTGGTTCTTTTAAGTTGTTTCTACTAAGCATGAAACATACTAAAAATCAGAATTGTTGCCTTCAATTGCTAGTTGGTTTGAGTTTGGTCAAGGAAGCATTTTAAGGTGTATGCAGATGATGGAAACTCTTAGACCTTATAGATTTTTGTAGTAGAAACACGTTTGTGTGAATGTTGCACCATTTGATTATTTCAGCATTTGCCTCTGTTCTCATCCAAAAATTTGCTATGTGCCATCATTTGTCAGACATTGTATAATTGATTACTCTCAGTAACTCTATGAGTTAGCTGGCATTATTATTCCTATGCTACAAGAGAGGAAACAGAAGCATAGAGAGCCCTAGTAAAGTTGAGCAAGGTCACGTATCTCACAACTAGTAGAGCTGGGAATTAAACTCAGGTTTTGATTTCAGTGTCTACCTCTTAATCCCTGTGGCATGCATTTCTTTCTAATCTAAGTATCATACAATGTATACATAAATTTTTTTTTTTTCAAAAATTCCTCCTATAAATTCAACAGGGTGGTTCCAGGAATGAGGCTCTAATACTAGGGCACTAATTTTAATGCATCTTGGAAGTACTGAATCATTTGTGTAATGAATCCCAGAGTGAGTGATCAGACAGATATCACAAGGTTTGGGGGCTTAATGGGCTTCATCTCCAACATGTTTGAGAACTTTCCCTTGTACATCTGTCATCCTTTCACAGTCCTGTTAAAACATCGTTATTCTGCTTGTACTCCTACCCACTGCCTGGCTGGAAGCTTTTCTTGCAGTTCAGTTTTTCATGCTCAGTGTTGCTTCACAGAGGTAGGATGATAAAATAACTGAAGTCATATACAAAATCCAGCAACAGACTATTAAAAATAGTGCAGATTGCATAGAACTGCAAGCATGTTTTATCTTAAAAATCTATCTGGAACATTTGCTTAACTGGAACAATTTTGCATATTCACTTCCATCTGCCTGTGAAATATTCCCTTAGATAAAACTACTCCTTGTTCTGAATATTCAACATTAACTTTTCTCTTTGGCTTTTAAATAAATTCACGTTTATTACAAACACAAATCAGGCAGTTTATATTATGTGTGTGTGTATAATCATTTACTTAATACATTTTTTAGTTTAACCTGCCATTTATTCACATATATTGAAACTGCATATTAATAACTCATCTAAAACAGTTTCTAAAGCATTGTGACCAATATAGTTAATCAGTTTATGGACTCATTTTAATGGTTTACTGTCTCTTATAATGTGGGAACTAGTGTAACACACTTTTAGAATGCTATTGATTGGAATTGTTTTCTTGAATGAGTTCATAGAAGATAGAGGTTTTAGTTTCTTATTTGTCCACTTTAGTTTAAGTTTGTTACATTAGGTAACATTTTACCTTAGATTTGGTAAAGATGTAGAGAGGGTTGATATTGTATGTGAAGGTACCTTTACAATTGTCTGACTATCTTTGTACTTTTAACAGCTCCTCCTACCCTGGATCCTGAAGTAAGAGCTGCTGTAGTGCAAGGCTCCTGAACCTCAGATTCCTGGTAAAGATAGAGTTCCATATTCTGCTTCTAGTGGTCTGATATAATCCACTTGCTATGCCTAGACTCTCCCCCTTTATCCTCCTGTCCATGACTGGCTTTTACCCACCTTTATGCCGAGACTCCTGGATTTAGCTCTCTACGGGATGAATTTTGGACTGTCTGCCTGGCAATCAGTTTTGGATTATCTCTGATGTTACCCTTTGGTTCTACCTTTACTTTACCTTTGGCTCTTTTGAGTTTGTGCCAAATCTGCATACGAATGGCCCAGAATCTTAGAACCCTAATTACTATCTGAAATCCCAGGAACTGCTTATCTAGGAGAGAATTAGATAGGCACTGTGCCTTGGTGTTGGTGCAGCAAAGGACAGAGATCACAATCTCTGCCCCAAGAAACTCGTTTGCCTTTTGTAGTCAGGGGAGCAGAACTATATAGACTGTTCTGGGGCAATAATGTTGTACAAGTCCATACAAAGAATTTTATGAGAACACACCAGAAGACCACAAAAATCATGCTTCCCAGTTACAAAAGATAATTTGAAAGACATGTCCCTTGAAATGAGTCTTAATGATATAAAGCCCGTAACTAGGTAAAGCATGTATTTAAAAGGGAAAGCATTCTCATTTTAAAATAAGTCATAGGTTATAGAAACAGCATAGTGTTAATAAAGAGGTACAAGTGTTTGGATATTGCCAGAATGTAAAATGCAATGTAAAGAGGCAAGAACAACACAGGAGAAGGCAGAGGTCACATCATGGAAACTCTGTATACTATAGTGAAAAATGTGGGCCTGTCTTGTGCTGATGGAAAACCAGTGCTTGTAATCCTTTGCTGTTTTATCTATTTATATGACATCTGGCATCTGCTTACTCTTCTCCTGTAACTAGCACTATAATTTGATTTTGTAGTCTCCATCACTCCCTCATTTCTTGTCTATGGGATTGTGTGCTGTTGGGTCCACTCCAAATTCAGGCACATTATGCAGGCCATATGGTACTGGTAAGAAGATAACATTCCCATAATGCGAACAAAGCTAGTCCTTTTTCAGCTCTCTCTCTCCCTCTTTCTTGTTTTTTCCTTCTAAATACTTGTAGTAATCATGGTTACTAAGGTGTGTGATATTGTTAATCTTTGTGTCCCCAACCAAATCTCATCTTGAATTATAACCTCCATAATCCCCATGTGTCAAGGGAGAAACCAGGTGGAGGTAATTGAATCATGGGGGTGGTTTTCCCCATGCTATTCTCACTGATAGTGAGTGAATTCTCATGAGATCTGATGATTTTTTGAGGGACTCTTCCCCCTCTGTTCCACACTTCTCCTTCCTGCCTCCTTGTGAAGAAGGTGCCTTGCTTCCCCTTTACTTTTTGTCATGATTGTAAGTTTCCTGAGGCCTCCCCAGCCATGCTGAACAGTGAGTCAATTAAACCTGTTTCCTTTATAAATTACACAGTCTCTGGTAGTTATTTATAGCAGTACGAAAATGGCCTAATACAGTACATTGGTACCAGGAGAGGGGTGCTGTTATAAAGATACCTGAAAATGTGGAAGCAACTTTGGGACTGGGTAACAGGCAGAGGTTGGAACAGTTTGGAGGGCTCAGAAGACAGGAAGATGTGAGGAAGTTTGGAACTTCCTAGAGACTTGTTATATGGCTTTGACCAAAATGAAAAGAGTGATATGGACAATGAAGTCCAGGCTGAGGTGGTCTCAGATGGAGATGAGGAACTTCTCAGGAACCAGAGCAAAGGTGACTCTTGCTATGCTATAGCAAAGAGACTGGTGGCATTTTGCCCCTACCCTAGAGATCTATGGAACTTTGAACTTGAGAGATATGATTTAGGATATCTGGCAGAAGAAATTTCTAAGCAGTAAAGTGTTCAAAATGTGACTTTGTTGCTCTTAAGAGCATTCAGTTTTATTCATTCACAATGAGATGGTTTGGAATTGGAACTTACGTTTAGAAGAGAAGCAGAGCACAAAGGTTTGGAAAATTTGCAGCCCGATGATGGAATGGAAAAGAAAAACCTACTTTCTGAGGAGAAATTCAAGCCTGCTGCAGAAATTTGCATAAGTAATGATGAGCCAAATGCTAATCATTAAGATAATGGGGAAAATGTCTCTAGGGCATGTCAGAGGCCTTCATGGCAGCCCCTCCCATCATAGGCTTTGGGCTTAGAAAGAAAAAATAGTTTCTTGGGCTGGGCCCAGGTCCTGCTGCTTTGTGCAGTCTCAGGATTTGGTGCCCTGCATCTCAGCCATGGCTAAAAGGGGCCACCATACAGCTCAGGCTGTTGCTTCAGAAGGTGCAAGCCTCAAACCTTGGTGCTTACATGTGGTGTTGGGCCTGTGGGTGCACAGACATCAAGAATTGAGGTTTGGGAACCTCTGCCTAGATTTCAGAGGATGTATGGAAAGGCCTGGATGTCCAGGCAGAAGTTTGCTTCAGTGGCAGGGCTCTCATGGAGAACCTCTGCTAGGACAGTGCAGAAGGGAACTGTGGGGTTGGAGCCCTCACACAGAGTCCCCACTGGGGCACTGCCTTGTGGAGCTGTGAAAAGAGGCCGCCATCCTACAAACCCCGGAATGGTAGATCCACTGACAGCTTGCACCATGCACCTGGAAAAGCTGTGGACATTAAATGTCAGCCCATGAAAGCAGCCAGGAGTGGGGCCATACCCTGCAAAGCCACAGAGGCAGAGCTACCCAAGGCCATGAGAGCCCACCTTTTGCATCAGTGTGACCTTGATGTGAGACATGCAGTCAAAGGAGATCATTTTGGAGCTTTAAGATTTGACTGCCCCACTGGATTTCGGACTTACATGAAGCCTGTATCCCCTTTGTTTTGGCTAATTTCTCCTATTTCAAATGGAAACATCTACCCAATACCTGTACCCCACTGTATCTAGGAAGTACCTAACATGCTGTTGAATTTACAGGCTCATAAGTGGAAGGGACTTGCCTTGTCTCAGATGAGACTTTGAACTTAGACTTTTGGATTAATGCTGGAATGAATTATAAATTTTGGGGGACTATTGGGAAGGCATGATTGGTTTTTGAAATGTGAAAAGGGCATGAGATTTGGGAGGGGCCAGGAGAAGAATGGTAAGGTTAGATTTTGTGTCCCCACTCAAATCTCATCTTGAATTATATTCTCCATGAACCCCATAATCCCCACATGTCAAGAGGGAGACCAGGTGGAGGTAATTGGGTCATGGTGGTGGTTTCCCCCAGGCTGTTCTTGTGACAGTGAGTGAGTTCTCATGAGAGCTGATGGTTTTTATAAGGGGCTTCTCCCGCTTTGCTCATCACTTCTCCTTCCTGCCTCTTTGTGAGGAAGGTGCCTTGCTTCCCCTTCACTTTTCACCATAATTGTAAGTTACCTGAGGCCTCCCTAGTCATGCTGAACTGTGGTCAGTTAAACCTCTTTCCTTTATAAATTACCCAGTCTTAGGCACTTTCTTTATATCAGTATCAAAATAGGCTAATACAGTGTGTATGTGTGTAGGATGTGGAACAGGGATGGTTGAGCTGGAGGAGACAGAAGGAAGTAAATATCTCCTAGCTGGCTCAAAAAGAAGTCTTACAGAATAAGCAAAACTTCCCAATACCTGGCTTGCGAATGTTCTATGGTTCCAAGGATGTAAGAATACCCCATTTTTCCTATTTGCTTTCAGTGTTGCCAATTTTTTTTTTTGTTTCAGATGGTTAAGTGTGGCTAGACCATGAAACTGTATTTTTTCCACTCTAACATTATTAATTTTAGAATTATTGCTAATTCTTTCAATATTCTCACAACATTGAAGTTATGTCTTTATAATTACTGTCTTGGGAAAGTAGGAGGATCCAGGATACCAAATAGATCTTTTCCAAAGTATTTTTTATGTAACCTAAGAGAGTAGTTTAATATTTATAATATGACTTACAAATAAGATTTCCCATATAATAAATTATTTTATTTGTATATTAATTTTGTGAAATAGGTAGCATAAGAATTTTCATCTTAAAGAAGAGAAAATATTGAGGCTGTCTGAAACTACATGACTGGCCATTGTTTACATAGCAGGATGAGCCATGAATGGAAGACTTCAGAGTCTGAGGCCTTTGTCTGTATCACACTATCTCTCTAGAACTCTAACAGTAATTTTGGAAGATGACACTGGGAAGCTGTTTACCTCTTCCCCTTTGCTAATAAGCGAGCTGTAGTATAAAGGAAGACAAAATAGTGGCTGGAGTTGAAACAAGAGCCAAGCACAGGTCTTCTGACTTCTTAACTTGCAAGCTGTCAATGTCACACATGACTTCTTTTTGAAAACTGTATAACCAGTTTCTTGACACATACATAACACGGATTGGTTTTATTACTGCCGAGCTATTCCTCAGTGATCATTTGTCTACTACTCGGACACAGTTAGGAATCCCTTTTGCAGTGTATTATCAGCCAGGATAGGAATATGAATTCCTAAGCCACAGAAGAAAAATGATAGCTATTTATTAGATTCAGAATCTGTATATCCAAATTGTATTTTATCTGTAAGTTTCTTGTGGTGAGTACCCCAAAAACACATCATGGCACATGTAATGATAGCAATTCGACAAATAATTCACATATATAGAGCTTCTAAAATGTACCTAAATCGAAATGGTTTTGGAACTAATAATTATAAGCAGAGGCCTCCTTGGCTTTCATTTCACCTTGGGGTCATAATTTTATATTTTGAACATTCTCTCAGAAGAGTATTACCCCTGAATGGGCTTTCTTAACTGCTTTCCTGTTGAACTCTGGCAAGCCTAAAGTGTGTCAGAAAAATGTTTTAACTCCATTCCATTTCTGCTTGGCTAGAGAAAGCTTTTAATCACTGGAAAGCTCACATTTTGTAAATGTGGGTTGTAAAAGTAGTTTCTTTAAGAGAAGAAGAATGTCATTGCTTTCTAAATATGAAAAAATTATATGGCTTGGATACATTTGGCAGTTTGTATCAACACACCCATCTCTGGAAAGTGCTTATTATTGTATGAATACTGTGCCTTATCCGAGGTTCAATGTGTAGATTCAATGCGTATCAGAATGTTGTGTATAACATTACTGAGTGTAATCTTTTTAAAAAGAGCTAATAGAAGTACTAAATATTTGAGTTTCAAATACTTATATTAATGTCTATGATAGCAATATCTGAGGGTGCAACTTATAATGAGAGGCCAATTAAGCATGTTACCATTTTTGAAGGGTACAGACTTAATATCTTGCCAACAGAGCACAATTTTACCCTTCCTGTTTCTTCCTTAGATATTATGTGGTTACTGATCTTGATGTATTTAAAAATTATTTTTACCTTGTATTTTCTTATTTAGAATGTTTATCTTTAAGTTACATTTTTTTTCTTTGTGCATAGAAACATTTGAAAAAGAAAGCAGCAGCAGCTGCTTTTGAATTCAAATCCTTTTGTTATGATCATCAGGTTTTCTCACTGGTTAGTGGATTTTTCTTCTACAGAAGAAAAGACCTCGTTATTTATGCTGTTTTGCTTGATAACAAGAGGCATACCATTTTAGAATGTTAGAATTGGTAGGGACCTTTGTATTGGTCTAATCACTGATCATAACTTACATAAAAATACATTTTATTTTGCAACTAAATACACATACACAGACATTTCCCTCCTCCCCCACCCCATACTCATTTGCATACAGTAAATAAAACTAAAGCAAGAGTTTCAGGAAAAAATACCTACACTTTGTGTTATATATTCAGGTATTTTCTCTTCTCATCTAGTTCATTAAGAGAAAAATGCTGATCTCAATCCACCAAACTGATTTCACCACAAAGACCAGCTACATACTTTGCAGGGTCCAAACCAAAATAAAACTTTAAGGTCTCCTTATTAAACAATTATTAAGATTTTCAAGATAGCAGTGGTGGATCATTAATTCAAGGGTGGGGCCCTTGTGCTCAGGCCGACTTCTGAGCAAGTGAGACTGCACAGGTTGTATGCCCGTGATGTCAACCCTGCTCCCACACCTGCAAATGAGTTGTGGACAACAGTTAAGAAACATAGATCTAGAGTAACTCTCTGATTTCACAGATTGAAAGACTGAGACCCACTGAAATTTAGTGACTTAAGATCAAAAGATGATTTAGTGCAGTAGAATGGCAGTTAAATGATTTATATTCCAGTGTTCTCTCTCACCACTAATCTTAACTAGATTACTCTGAGGACAGAATAATGAAGTTATACATTTTCTGAGTTTTCTTTTGGTGAGTTTTATGATCACAAACTTAACGAACTTTTTTTTTTTTATTTTTTAGACAGAATCTTGCTCTGTTGCCCAGGCTGGAGTGCAGTAGCATGATCTTGGTTCACTGCAACCTCCATCTCCTGGGTTCAAGCAATTCTCCTGCCTCGGCTTCTCAAATAGCTGGGATTACAGGTGCGCACCACCAAAGCGCAGCTAATTTTTGTATTTTTAGTAGAGACAGGGTTTCACCATGTAGGCCAGGCTGGTCTTGAACTCCTGGCCTCAAGTGATCTGCCCACCTCGGCCTCCCAAAGTGTTGGAATTATAGGCATGAGCCACCGTGCCCAGCCTGATCACAAACTTTAAAAAACAATTAATTCAGATTTGTTGAAGATATTTCTAATACCACTTAATCTATTTTTATGTCTTGATAAGAGAGAATAATTGTTTGTTTTCTTTGAAGTTTTCTGAACCACCAACTACTATTATATAGTATTGCAGTTGTTCAAACATAATGAAGATAACCACACATAACGTTCAGATTCTGCCTCAAAGAAGAAAGCCTTAAGAAAGAAGGACTAGGAATTCCCTATAGAAAATGAGAGGAGATATGGAGGGGTTAGAGTTAGAGAGGGTGAGAAATCTTTTTTTGGGAGGGAGGTACGAAGAAAGGATGAGAGGATAGCAACGTACACTTAGGAAATTTTTCCTAAGTGCATAGAGAAGGAATGTATCTATTATTTTTATTTCTAAACAGAAATAACACCCAAGGGTCATCATGTGATGAGAATGATGTGTGGGAAGTCAAGCAGCATAGAAGATATAGAAAAGCTACCAGCTGAGGCTGGATCATGGTTCTATAAAGGATTGCAGGCGGGGTGCTGTGACTCACATCTGTCATCTCAGCACTTTGGGAGACCAAGATGGGAGGATCACTGAATCCAGGAGTTTGACACCAGCCTAGAAAATATAGTGAGACCCTATCTTTACAAAAAATAGAAAAAATTAACCAGACTCGGTGGCACACCCCTGTAGTCCCAGCTACTGGGGGCACTGAGGTGGGAGGATCACTTAAGCCTGGGAGCTTGAGGCTGCAATCAGCTGTGATTGTGCCACTGCACTCCAGCCTGGGTGACAGAGTGAGATTCTGTCTCAAAAAAAAGAAAATGGATTCAAATATGAAGAAGTTAAATAATGTATTCAAAGTCACTTACCTGTATAGTTAACTAAAGTTAATACAATATGTTATTGAATTACAGTAAGTATAATGTAAAAATTATTACTAATTAGCCTTTCATTATTAGACTCAATCCAAGTGACTGTTTCAAATCAAAAGTGAATTTGAACCAGTTAAATAAAATGGAATATTTAAAATATGATACTTAATCTGAATCCACAATACATTTTTTGTATTTGTTGGGGAAGTTGATTAAACTATTTTTGTGTTTACATCTAGTCTTTAAGTCAGTGATTAATTTGGTGGTTTCTTTAATCCATCTTTATTTTTAACAGGTCAAGGGAGGAATAAATGGAGAATAATTTTTTTTAAAGTGAACAATTAAAAAAATAAAAATGTCATCCTCTTTTTTTTTTTTTTTTTTTTGATAAACACCATACTGTTCCATCCTATATAGTCAAACCAGGAGGAGACACCACTTAAAAAATGTGAATGAATGTTAAACATTTCTTATCAAACTTCCAGATATAATTTGGTCCTAAAATACTGTTCATTTATTAGCTGAAAATCTCTGAAAAAAGCACCAACACGAGACAACTTGTGCTAAGACTTCTAGATTTGAAAGTTTTAAAGTATTTTAATCCACACCTTAAGTTTCTTCCTCTCACTTCAGGCTTAGTTCTCTCACTCCTTTTCTCTCTCTTTAAGTGCTGTGTCTCAACTTCAGGCAAGATCTAACATAGAAACTGATGAAAATTTTAAAAAGTTCTTCCACCCCACTTGGTGCTGTGGGATTTCGGTAACAGACAGTATTGAAATCAACATGTTTGGTACAATTTATTTTTTATTTGAATTTGTTAGCATTAGCAAATTTGTGAATCCTTTAGTAGAAACATCTAATTGTGAGTGTACAACATGTACATCTTGAAACGTGTACGTAGCTCAGCCTGAAAGAGAAACTGTTCTATGCTTATTTCTTCCCCAAGATCAAGAGAAGATCAAAAGTTAACATGTCTTAGGAAGCCCTTTGATTCATTTTGATGTCCATTTTCATGATCAACTTTTAGTGACATGCAGCTGAATGATAATTAAAGACTCTTAGCATCTCTTTAGGGAGGCTTTCAAATGTCAAATGCCCAGGCACAGAGTATGCATAAAATGTCTTCTCCAAAGATCACAGTAAAATGTAAAGATAATAAATTGAACATTTGCTACTGAGGGTCCTACTGAGACTTCAGGACAGCTATTAAAATTAGTTTCCCCAATAATTTACATATTAATACCATGAAATATTCACTATATTAACTTTTTGATTAAATTTTGGTCACCTATGATAATTTGTTTTAATAATTTTAGGAATAGCAATCCCTTAAAATGATCAATTGTGAACAGCATTTAACATTTAAGTGACAGCCTTCTATCTCCTGAACTATTTCTCAGTAATTTACTTAATTTAAAAAATAATTCAATGGTTCTCATTGCCTTAATTAAACTTTAGAGGAGTTAAAAAAAACTAGAAGATAATTTTTCCATTGTGTTATTTTTTGTTATACTAAAAAGTTATGTTATGAAAAAAATCTGGGTGAAACATAGTTTAATATGCTTTTCTTTGATGGAGTTTCTGACAGCCTTTAAAATGCTAATATTCATCATGAATCTCTAAGGAAGGGGGGGATGGGGAATACAGCATTTTCCACATTTGTTTGACACTTTTGAGAAAAGAGACCTCAAGGGACTGTTCTGTAGAAAGAACATGTTTTGGGAAAAGCTGATACAGAAGATGTTTGAGTTTCTGTTTACACATTTAAGGACATAGTCATAGAATATAGAAGTGTCAAAATTTTGTTAGGTTATAAAAATGTGTTATCTTAGGGTGAAGGAATCTCATGTGAAGTAGATGGAAAATGTGAGATATTTTCATATTTAAACCAAAACTAGAACCTAAGCCCTAAGTTTTCTGATTGTGAGGTGATGGCTTAACAGATTATCCTTGAACACAGTTCCTTTGTATGTACTTGACTTAGCGCGGCAGATGAAAGCAGAAATTCTGGTCATCTTAGCTCTGAGAAAATCATCAGTGATACAGGAAGATGATTGACCTGGGAGGAGAGGTGTGTTGGGAGCCAAAGGAAGATCTGTACCTTGGATTCTACATGTTGAGGCCTATCATCTCTGAATCTTGGGGTTATGAATCATCTTGATGTATCCCAAGCTAGGCTGAGAGTTTACCAAAATGATTTTTCCATAGAAGGACTAGAAGACAGAAGACCTCCAATATGATGTTGGGTGGTAACATGATAAAATGTACTATTTCTACTAATAATTCTATGTCTTGAGTGCTATGTGCTTGACACTGTGCTAAAGTGCTTTCTGTGGCTTGTTTCATACCATGCTCAAACAGCACCTTAGGTCGGTTAAATTTCTATTCTCATTTTTAGATAAGATAACTGAGGGCTGGAAAAGTTGCATGTCTTTTCTAGATCTCACACTTCTAGATCTCACTAAGAAGTGAGAGCCTGGACAAGAATACAGGAAGTCTGACTTTAAAGCTCATTATTCTTAACTGCTAGGGGTTTGCCTTTTATGTTGTCTTACCATCAATAATAAAGTTTCCAGCAACAAAGTTTGTCATTGGCAGGTCTCTCTTTATTAAATGGAGGCACCTCTGTGGCTACAGATGTCCAAATTTCTTGAATATTTATTTATTAATTAGTATTTCAACATGAAATTTCATTCCATTCGTTGCCAAGATTTGACACTGTAACTTGTGTTTGTATCTGAGGTTTGGGGAGGTAAAAGATGGTCTTAGCCAAGAAGATTGAAAAAAAATTGTGCTTGTTAAGAAGAAAGTGAATCTTCTTTAGAAAACAGCAGGAAGATGAGTGAAAAAAATTAATAAGTATTTTATTAACTCAAGGGACATGTATAAGAGCTCCATGGGGTAAATGTTGAAATAGTATTCACGTATTATTTTCCCCAACTCGTGTTGAGGATTTTTTTTTTTTTTTACTTGGGCATATTGCATGATGTTGAGGTCTGGGCTACAGACGATCCTGTCACCTGGGGAGTGAGCATAGTACCCGATAGGTAGCTTTTCAATCCTTGCCCTCCATATTCCCCTCCCTCATCTAGTAGTCCCCAGTGTCTATTGTTGCCATTTTTATTTCCATGCTCACCCCATGTTCAGCTCCCACTTATAAGTGAGGACATGCAGTATTTGGTTTTCTATTCCTGAATGAATTTGCTAAGGATAATGACCTCCAGCTGCATTGCTGGTGCTGAAAAGAACATGATTTTATTCTTTTTTATGGGTGTATAGTCTTCCATGGTGCATTTGTACCACATTTTCTTTATCCAATCCACTGTTGATTGGCATCTTGGTTGATTCCATGTCTTTGGTATTGTGAGTAGTGCTGTGATGAACATATGAGTACATATGTCTTTTGGGTAGAAGGATTTATTTTCTTTTGGATGTATGCACAGTAATGGGGTTGCTGGGTCAAATGGTAGTTCTGTTCTAAGTTCTTTGAGAATCTCCAAACTGCTTTCCACAGTGGCTAAACGAATTTCCATTCCCATCAGCAGCGCATAGACATTCCCTTTTCTCCACAGCGTTGCCAGAATCTGTTGTTTTTGACTTTTTAACCATAGCCATTCTGACTGGTGTGAGAGGGTATCTCATTGTGATTTTGATTGGCAGTTCTCCAGTGATTAGTGATGTTGAGCAGTTTTTCATACTTTTTGGCTGCCTGTATGTCTTCCTTTGAGAAGTGTCTGTTCATGTCCTTTGTCCACTTTTTAATGGGGTTGTTTGTTTTTGGCTTGATGATTTGCTTCAGTTCCTTATAGATTCTGGAGGTTAGACCTTTGTCAGATGCATAGTTTGTGAATATTTTCTCCCGTGCTGTAGGTTGACTATTTACTCTGTTGATAGATTCTTTTGTTGTGCAAAAGCTCTTTAGTTTTATTCAATCCTACTTGTCAATTTTTGTTTTTGTTACAAATGCTTTTGAGGACTTAGTCATAAATTTTTTCTCAAGGCCTATGTCCAGAATTGTATTTCCTAAATGTTCTTCTAGATTTTCATAGTTTGAGGCCTTACATTTAAAACTTTAATCTATCTTTTTTTTTTTTTTTTGTATATGGTGAAAAGTAGAGGTCCAGTTTTAATCTTCTGCATACAGGTAGCCAGCTGTCCCAACACCATTTATTGAATAGGCAGTCCTTTCCTTATTGCTTTTTTAAATCAACTTTGTTGAAGAGCAGATGGCTGTCGGTGTGTGGCTTTATTTCTCAATTATCTTTTCTGTTCCATTAGTCTATGTGTCTGTTTTTATAGTGGTACTATGCTGTTTTAATTACTGTAGTCTTACAGTATAGTTTGAAATGAGGTATTGCAATGCTTTGGCTTTGTTCTTTTTGCTTAGAATTGCTTTGCTTATTTGGGCTCTTGTTTGGTTCCATATGCATTTTAGAATTTTTTTTTCTAATTTTGTGAAAAATGACTTTGGTGTTTTGATAGGAATAGCATTCAGTGTCCATTGCTTTGGGCAGTTTAGGCATTTTAATGATATTAATTCTTCCAATCCATGAGCATGGAATGTTTTTCCATTTGTGTGTGTCATCTGTTATTTCTTTCAGCAGAAGTGTTTTGTAATTCTCATTGTAGAGGTCTTTTACCTCTTGGATTAGCTGTATTCCTAGGTATTTTATTCTTTTTGTGGCTATTGTAAATGGAATTGACCTTTTGATTTGGCTCTAGGCTTGAAAGTTATTGGCGTATAGAAATGCTACTGATTTTTTTACATTTATTTTGTATTCTGAAACTTTACCTAAATTGTTTAACAGTTCCAGGAGCCTTTTGGCAGAGTCTTTAGGGTTTTCTAGGTGTAGAATCATATGATCAGCAAAGAGGGATAATTTAACTTTTTCTTTTTCTGTTTGGTTGCCATTTATTTCTTTCTCTTGCCTGATTGCTCTGGCTAGGACTTTCAGTACTATGTTGAATGGGAGTGCTGAGAGTGGGCATCCTTTTTTTTGTTCCATTTCTCAAGGGGAATGCTTCCAGCTTTTGCCTACTCAGTGTGATATTGGCTGTGCGTTTGCCAGAAATGGCTGTTATTCTGAGGTGTGTTCCCCTGGTGCCTAGTTTGTTGAGGGTTTTAAGTTGTGAACGGATGTTGGATTTTATTGAAGACTTTTTCATGTCTATTGAGGTGACCATATAGCTTTTGTTTTTAATTCTGTTTATGTGGTAAATCACATTTATTAATTTGTGCATGTTGAACCAACCTTGCATCCCAGGAATGAAGCCTACTTAATCATGTGGAATTAACTTTTCTATGTGCTGCTGGATTTGGTTTGCTAATATTTTGAGAATTTTTACATTTATGTTTATGAGAGATATTGGCCTGTAGTGTTTTTGTTCTGTTGTTTTTGTGTCTTTGCCAGCTTTTGGTATCAGAGTGATTCTGGCTTCATAGAGTGAGCCAGAATTTATACTCCTTGGTTTTTTTGAATAGGTTCAGTAGAATTAGTAGCAGCTCATCTTTGTACTTTTGGTAGAATTTGGCCATGAATCCATCTGGACTGGGGCTTGCTTTGGTTGGTAGGTTTTTTTAAATTGTTCATTCCACTAACAACTTGATATTGTGTTTAGGGTTTCAATTTCTTCCTGATTCAATTTTGAGAGATTGTGTATTTCTAGGAATGTATCCATTCTCTCTGGATTTTCTAGTGTTGTGCATAGAGGTGTTCATAATAGTCTCTGAGATCTTTTGTATTTCTGTGGGATTGGTTGTAATGCCACCTTTATTATTTCCGATTGTGCTTGTTTGGATCTTTTCTCTCCTTTTCCTTGTTAATTCTAGCCAGTGGTCTATTGAGCTTGTTCGTCCTTTCAAAGAACCAGCTTTTGGTTTACTTGATTCTTCATATAGATTTTGGGGCATCAATTTCCAGTTCTGCTCTGATTTAAGTTATCTTTTTTTCTTCTGCTAGCTTTGTGGTTAGTTTGTTTTTGTTTTTCTATTTTCTCAAGGTGTGATGTTAGATCATTCATTTGAGATCTTTGTGACTTTTTAATGTAGACATGTAGTGCTATAAACTTTCCTCTTAACACTGCTTTTGGTGCCTCCTAGAGATTTTTGATTATTTCGTCTTTGTTTTCATTTATTTCAAAGAATTTTTTGATTTCTGCCTTAATTTCTTTGTTTTCCCAAAAGTCACTCAGTAGCAAGTTGTTTAATTTTCATGTAATTGTATGGTTTTGGAAGATCTTCTTGGCGTTGATTTCTGTTTTTATTCTACTGTGATCCAAAAATATGGTTGGTATGATATTGCCTTTTCTGTATTTATTGGGACTTGTTTTATGGCCAGGCATGTGTATGATCTTGGAGCATGTACTGTGTGCAGATGAGAACACTGTATTCTGTGGTCGATGGATGGAGTATTCTGTAAATGTCTATTAGGTCCAGTTGATCAAGTGTTGAAATTAGGTCTGAAATTTGTTTGTCAGTTTTCTGCTCTAATGATTTGTCTAACACTGTCAGTGGGTATTAAATTCTCCACTATTATTGTGTGGCTGTCAAAGTCTTTTCACAGTTCTAAAAATAGCTGTTTTATGAATCTGGGTGCTCCAATGTTGGGTGCATGTGTATTTAAGATAGTCAAGTCATCTTGTTGAATTGAACCCATTATGTAATGCCCTTCTTTGTCTGATTTTACTGTTGTTAAAGTCTGCTTTATCTGATATAAGAGCAGTGAATACTGCTTTTATTATTATTATTATTATTTTGCTTGCATCACATATCTTTCTCTAACTCTTTAGTTTGAGCCTATGGGTGTCATTATGTGCAATAAGGGTCTCTTGAAGACAGCAGATGGATTTCTTTTTTTTTTTAATCCAATTTGCAACTCTGTGGCTTTTAAGTGGAGTGTTTCGATCACTTACATTCAAAGTTACTATTAATATGTGAGGTTTTGATTCTATAGTGAAGTTATTAGCTGGTTGCTTTGTATTTTCTATTGTATTGTTGCTTTATATGTCTGTAGCTATGTAATATAAATGTGTGTGTGTGTGTGTGTGTGTGTGTGTGTGTGTGTCTTTGGTAGTAGTTATCATTGTTTTGTTTCTAGGTCTAGAGCTCCCTTAAAGATCTCTTGTCAGACTGGTCTAGTGATTGCTTATCTGGGAAAGATTTTATTTCCTGTTGCTTATGAATCTTCATTGCATAGAATATGAAATTCCTGATTGGAATTGCTTATCTTTAAGAATGCTGAAAATAGGCCCCCAATCTTATCTGATTTATAAGGTTTCTGGTGCAAAGTCCACTGTTAGCCTGAAGGAATTGTTTGTACATGATCTGACCATTTCCAGTAGCTGCCTTTAAGATGTTTTTCTTTAGTGTGGACTGTGAATAGCCTGGAAACTATATGCCTTTGTGATTCTCATTTTGTATAATATTGTGCAGGTGTTCTCTGGATTTCTTGTACCTGGATGTCTACCTCTCTTGCAAGATGGGAACATTTTCCTGGAGTATTTTCTCAAAGATGCTTTCCAGGTTGTTTACTTTTTGCCCTTCTCTCTCAGGAATGACAGTAAATCTTAGGTGTGATTGCTTTACATAAACCCGTATTTCTCAAATACATTGTTCATTTTAAAAAATTATTTTTCTTTATTTCTCTCTGACTGTGTTGGTTCAAAAAACTGATCCTCAAGCTCTGAAATTTTTACTTCTGCTTTGCTGTCCAGTCTATTGATAAAGTTTTCCAATGTGTTTTGAAAATTGTTAAGTGAGTCTTTAATTCCAGAAGCCCGATTGATTTCTTTTTAGATGTTTGTCCCTTCCTTCATTTCCTCAGTTGCGTAAGAAGTTTCTTTGTGTTGATTTTCTATCTTGTCTTGGATCTCTTTAAGTATCTTTGCAATCCATGCTCTGAATTCTTTATGTGTCATTTCAGAATTTTCATTTTGGTTAGGGATCATTGCTGGACAGCTAGTGTTATCCTTTGGTGGTATCGCTACATTCAGATTTTTCATGGTGCCAGAATTCTTGCACTGACTTCTCATCTGGAGACACCAGCACTTCTAATTTTTTGTAATTATTTTCATATGGGAAGGAATGTTTTTCTTTCTTTCCCAAAAAAGTTTTTTTTTTTCTTTTCCTTTCCCCTTACCCCATCTCCCTAGGGGATGTGACTATAGCAAATGTTGGGTAGGATCTTTTGGCTTTGCTTCCATAAACCTATACTACATTGAGTTTTATACTGACCTGTGCAGTTTGACCTATAAGCTAGTAGGTGGTGCTTATGGGTTAGACCTCGGTGTGGCCAGCATGGCAGGAGATATATTTGATCCTTGTTTACTGGAAGAAGCTCTCTGTTGCCTCAGGCAGTGGCCTAATTTGTGGAGTGCACAGAGATCTGCTCAATCCACTCAGCCCTGGGAGTGGGGCACAGGGAAAGAATGGCAGGCCCAGACTGTGAAGTCTGCCTACTGGTCCCCTGATGGTGGGCACAAGCACCAGTGCTGAGAAAGAATCCAGTGGGCAGCCACTAAATACTTAGAGGTGTGACTAGGCATGGAGCTGGGAAACCTTTTCAGTCCCAAGTTCTCAAATGGAAGGAAGGGGGCAGCTGGAACTTCCAATCCAGGAGAGTAGGTGCTCTAGAAGCCTGGAGAGCTGCCAGAGCAAACTGTAGAGGGCCTCCTGCAACAGGATCTCTGCACATAAAGGGTGAGCTTGCTCAGTCAGGCTGCAAATTCAGGTGAGAGGGGGTTCTGAATACCTGGAGATGTGCCTAGGCATGGGGTGGAGAGGGCCCTGCTTCACTGTAGTCTCTGCAAAGGAAGGGTGAGGTCACTCAGGCTGCAAGTCTTGTCACCCAGGAGAAACTGCCATTGTAGCAGCTCTCCTTCTGCCCCAAGCCTGTGACAGGAGAGATCACAATTCTAGCACCTACTGCTGAGATACTTTGCACCCAGCAGCATGTGTGGTCACACTGCTGGGTGACCAAAGAATGGCTGACTTTGTATGTGCTTAGGTTAAAAATGGCATCTTGCTCCCAATTCTGGATCTGGGAAAATGCACGAAGCATTTTGCTCTTGTCAAGTGCCCAAGGTATGCTACGTGCCAAAAACTTCGCATCCACCATCTTGGTTGGGTGGGGAGGGGACTTGTTCATGTAGTATATGATTTTTAAATTAAGTCAAAGACTTGTTTTGTGTAGGTGCATCTATCCATGCAGATGGTGGGAGAACAAGCCTACACTTATTTTAGGAGGTGTCTTCTAGGACCAATCAATTCTTATGCTCCTGGAGAGGTGATACAGTACAGTTAATGGAGGTGTCACTACTGCTGTGAACAGATCAGTTGCCATGGGTTCTTTCTAATGGGTTCAAAGCTCAGTGTTCTTTACTAATTTCTCATTTTCATTCCCACTGTCATAGTTCAGGCCCTTATTACCTCCTGTCTGGACTACCAGCTGGTCTGATTGACTGTGGTGTCACATATCTCAAAATCACGTACAGAACTTAAGGCTCTCAAAGTTTCCTTTTTATCATATCACTTTCCTGATAAAAAGTCTCCAGCAGGTCCCCATCACCTACTGAATGAAGAACAGACTTTGTAGCCTGGCATCTAACAGTCTCCTGAACTGGCAATAACCCATCTGTCCTGCCTTATGCTCTTTGATAACTCACATGAATCCTTTATCCATGCCTGCTGATAGCTGCTAGTGGCTTAGTTTTCCTTATGCCATTTCCTTTTCTTTTGCTTTTCTGTCCAATGAAATAAACATATACTCCTCTTCTATTTCTTCCATCAGCATTCTATGTATGCATTCTTTTATGCCCATTACAAATCCCTCTGTCTTCAATAAAGCTCTTGGATCAGTTCAACTATAAGAGACTTTTCATCCTCTGAACTCTATGAGTGGACTTACGATATCTCTTCTATATAGCTATAATTTTGTCTTTGGATTATAGTTAAAACACATATTTATATGGGATTTTGAAGTTATTAAATTCAGGGGCTGCATCTTAGTCATTTCTGCACCCCACAGTGACTAGCCCAGGGCCATACGTAGTAAATACTCCAAAAATATAAGTTGCATTCAAAATGAGATAGTTACCACCATTCTAGAGAGCCTTATCCACAAAATCCTAAATCCCCAAAGGCAAGCGGTTATAATGTTTCTTCTGCACTGTTTGTACTTCTAGTGCCTTCTATTTTTCTTTTGAAAATTCATCACAATTGTAATTAAGGTGTTAATTTTCATAATTATTTCTTTATTGTTGGTCTTTGTAAGGACAGATATTAAGTCTGCTTAACTCCTCATTGTATGCTCAGAACAAGGACAGTACTTGGAATGTGGATGTCATGCAGCAAATATTAACTGAATAAGTTAGTAAGTTTTCTAGCATAACCTATTTCCCAAACACCTGAAACAATAGCTATGTGTTCAAAGATATATATTGGACACTTACTATATTGAGCACATGCTAGGGCTGGGGAAACAAGCAAAATTGAAAGTGACTTCCTGCATACTCATGAGTGAAAGTTTCATTCAATTCAATCAATTGACAAAATAAGATGAGCCAATTTGTCTGGTTTTAGTTGACAGCAGATCAATCCCTGCCATACCTGGTCCATAAAGGAATCACAAAATCTCACTAACTAAGGCTGACTTACATTCCTGGCAAAACCAACATGGCCAGCCTTACAAGGAAGGGTTATTTGACACCTTTAATTTATGCCTAATTTTTCAGATATCTGGAACTATTTCTTCTGTGTAGTAGATTTTGCCTCACATGAATAATGTCAGTGGACATGCATCTACAGTGTAGGACTCAGTTGACAATACAGAATGTATATCTTCAATATTGTAAAGGATTTCATGTTTAAATGGTCTGTCATAGTCCTGTCAAAAGTTGAGATGGGACATTTAGTATTCAACTGGGTTACTCTAAGAGGCACATCATGTATATATTCCTCCTGACACGAACTTGAAACCTGTGTTAGGTTAGATCAGTATAGATTGAGCCATGAACTATAGAACATATTATAAAGCTCTATGCTTGGCTTTTATTGGAGTCATATGAGAAATGGTTCTATGTAGAAGATCCCATTATTAAAAAAAACCCAGTAGTTAAAGATATTATGTGTAAATTTATTCAATATTTTAATATGAGCACCTATATATTTTTTCCTGTATTTCAGATTAAGATAAACTTTGTCCACTGATATGCTTTCTTTCAGTAGTTAATGAAAGATTTGCAACTAGGAGAGATTAGGAAAATGGTGGATAGGAGGCAGGACTAAATTGCAGCTCCTACCTGGATGGACAGAACAACACGTAGAGATTCACATTGTGAAATTTTGCTCCAAGAACCACTACAGGAACATACAAGTGAAGCCAAGAGAATGCACAGACACTTTGAAGGAAGTGGATTGCTCCTGCAGGCCCCAGGAGACAGCCCAAAAACTGTGAGTGCCCAAAGTGTGAAAGTGGGAAAGGGAGATTATCTGCCCCTGAACACACACCCTCCCTGGATAACCTAAAGATCCAGATCATGGGAGAAGGGTTTGACCTTACCTGGAGCTGAGACTATTTTAGAGAACCCAGTGAAATACAGGGGTAGAAGAAGAGTGGGAAGAGCCCTGTGGGCTCTCTCAGTCCTCAGGAAAGCCATTTCTGATTTTGTGTTGCAGAGGTCCATGGGGAGGGCTGCCAGAGGAACTGGGAAAAAAACCACAGTGAGAAGAAAAGTTCCAGCTGAGCTTTTTAACAATGTTGACTGAACGTAAAGTTTCCTGGACAGGACTCGGGTGATGGGGTGAATCTGGAGTGCAGACACAGCACAGAAGCCAGTGCAGGCAGGGAAGAGTAAAACCTGAAAGCTCTGCTTTCTTTTGCAGCCATGAGGCTGGTAGCCTGGGGCAGGTCTCAGCCCTGCTCACCTGCTCCTGGAAACAAACTTGGTGCTGTTGAGTAGGGCACAGTGGGAGTGAGACCAGCCTTTTGGGTTGCATGGGAGCTGAATGAGGCCTGTAACTGCCAGCTTTGCCCCACTTCCCTTGCGACTTTCATGCCACAGCAGAGGCAGCCATAATCACCCTGGGAACATAACTACAATGGCCTGAGAACCACACCTCTCATACCCCACAGCAGCTGCCTCAAGCCCTTTCAAGGAGAATCTGAGCTCAGTCATGCCTAACCCTGCCCTCACCAGATAACCTTTCTCTACCCGCCTTGGTAGCTGAAGACAAAGGACATATTCTCTTGGGAGACCTAGGGTCCCATCCACTGCCTGATCTTTCCTGTACTACCACAGCTTATGCTCTCTTGAAAGTGCCACCTCCTGGCAGAATACCAACCAGCAAAAAACTAGTGCAATAAACAAAACTACAACTCAGTACCCTCACAGAGTCCATTTCACTACCTTGCCACCTCCAGCAGAGCAGGTGCTGCTACTTATGACTGAGAGACCTGAAGACAGTTCACATCACAGGACTCTGTGGAGACAACCTCCAGTACCAGCCTGGAGCCCAGTAGCTCTGCTGGGTAGCTAGATCCAGAAGATAAACAACAATCACTATAGTTTGGCTCTTAGGAAGCCACATCCCTAGGAAAAGGGGGAGAGCAGTACATCAAGGGAGCACCTATAGGACAAAAGAATCTGAAGAGCAGCCTTGAGCCCCAGATCTTCCCTCTGACATAGTCTACCCAAATGAGAAGGGACCAGAAAAATAATTCTGGTAATATGACAAGACAGGGTTCTTTAAGACCCCCAAAACATCATACTAGCTCACCAGCAATGGATCCAAACTAAGAAGAAATACCTGAAATGCCAGAAAAAGAATTCAGAAAGTCAATTCTTAAGCTAATCAAGGAGGCACCAGAGAAAGGTGAAATCCAACTTAATGAAATCAAAAAAATGATACAAGATATGAAGGGAAAAATCTTCAGTGAAATAGATAGCATAAATTTAAAAAAACACAACTTCTGGAAATAAAGGACACATTTAGAGAAATTCAAAATGCACCAGACAGTCTCAGCTATAGAATTGAGCAAATAGAAAAAAAAAGTTCAGGGCTCAAAGACAAGGGTTTTGAATTAACCCAATCCAACAAATACAAAGAAAACAGAAATAAAAAAATGAACAAAGCCTTGAAAAAGTTTGGGATTATGTTAAATGACCAAACCTAAGAATAATTGGTGTTCCTGAGGAAGAAGAGAACTCTTAAAAGTTTGAAAAACATATTTGAGGGAATAATCAAGGAAAACTTCCCTGGCCTTGCTAGAGATCTAGACATCCAAATACCAGAAGCTCAAAGAACACTTGGGAAATTTATTACAAAAAGATCATCACCTAGGCACGTAGTCATCAGGTTATCTAAAGTCAAGACAAAGGAAACAATCTTAACAGCTGTAAGGCAAAAGCACCAGTTAACCTAAAAGGAAAACCTATCAGATTAACAGCAGATTTCTCAGCAGAAACCTTACAATCTAGAAGAGATTGGGGCCCTATCTTCAGTCTCCTTAAACAAAACAATTATCAGCCAAAAATTTTGTATCCAGTGAAATTAAGCTTCATAAATGAAGGAAAGATACTGCTTTTTCAGAAAAACAAATGCTGAGAGAATTTGCCACCACCAAGCCAGCACTACAAGAACTGCTACAAGGAGTTCTAAATGTTGAAACAAATGCTTGAACTACACCAAAATAGAATCTGCTTAAAGCACAAGTCTCACAGGACCTATAAAACAAAAACACAATAAATGAATACCTAAGGTGTTTAGGCAACAAATAGCACAATGAATAGAATAGTACCTCGCATCTCAATACTCATGTTAAATGTAAATGTCCTGAATGCTCCACTTAAAAGATACAGAATGGCAGAATGGGTAAGAATTCACCAATCAAGTATCTGTTGTCTTCAAGAGACTCATGTGACATATAACATAAAGGGGTGGAAAAATATATTCCATGTAATTGGACACCAAGAGAGAGCAGGAGTAGCTATAGCTATTCTTATATAACAAAACAAACTTTAAAGCAACAGCAGTTAAAAAAGACAAAGAGAAACACTATATAATGAAAAAAGGACTTGTCTAACAAAAAATTATCACAGCCATAGATACGTATGCACCGAACACTGGAGCTCCTAAATTTATAAAGCAATTACTATTCTACCTAAGAAATGAGATAGACAGCAACAAAATATTAGTAGTGGGCTTCAATACTCCACTGACAGCACCAGACAGGTCATCAAAACAGAAAGTCAGTGAAGAAATGATGGGTTTAAACTTTATTCTAGAAAAAATGGACTTAGTAGATATTTACAGAACATTCTACCCAAACAGCTTCAGAATATACATTCTATTCATTAGCACATGGAACATTCTCCAAGATAGACCATATGATAGGCCACAAAGCAAGTATCAATAAATTTTGAAAAACTGAAATTATATCAAGTACTCTCACAGACCACAGTGGAATACAATTGGAAATCAAAAGGAAACCTCAAAACCATGCAAATACTTGGAAATTAAATAACCTGCCCCTGAACAATCATTGGATCAATAATGAAATCAAGATGGAAATTTTAAAAGTCTTTGAACTGAGCAATAACAGTGACACAACTTATCAAAACACCTGGGATACAGCAAAGACAGCACTAAAAGTTCATAGCCTTAAATGCCTACATCAGAAAGTCTGAAAGATCAAAAATAGACAATCTAAGGTCACACCTCCAGAAACTAAAGAAACAAGTACAAACCAAACCCAAACTCAGTAGAAGAAAAGAAATAACAAAGATCAGAGCAGAACTAAATGAAACAAAAGAAATACAAAAGATAAATGAAACAAAAAGCTGGTTCTTCAAAAAGATAAATAAAATTGACAGATCATTAGCAAGATTAATCAAGAAAAGAAAAGAGAAGATCCAAATAATCTCAGTTAGAAGTGAAATGGGAGATATTACAACTGATACCACAGACATACAAAAGATTATTCAAGGCTACTATGAACACTTTTACACGCATAAATTAGAAAATCTAGGAGATGGATAGATTCTTGGAAATATACAACCCTCCTATATTAAACCAGGAAGAAATAGAAACTCTGAACAGCCCAATAACAAGAAACAAGATTGAAATGTTGATTAAAAAAATGGCCAGAACCAGATGGATTCACAGCTGAATTCTATCAGACACTCAAGGAACAATTGCTACAAATCCTATGGACACTATTCCAAAACATAAAGAAGGAGTCCTCCCTAAATCATTCTATGAAGCCAGTATCACACGAATACCAAAACCAGGGAAGGACATAACAAAAAAGAAAACTACAGACCAATATCCCTGATGATTATAGATGCAGAAATCATTAACAAAATTCTAGCTAACTAAATCCAACAATATATTAAAAAGACAATATACCATAATCAAGTGGATTTAATACCAGGGATGCAGAGATGATTTAACATATGCAAGTCAATAAATGTGATACACCACATAAACAGAATTAAAAACAAAAATCACATAATAATCTCAATAGATGCAGAAAAAGCATTTGACACAATCCATCATTCCTTTATGATTAAAACCCTCAGCAAAATTGGCATAGAAGGGACATGTCTTAATGTAATAAAAGCCGTCTATGACAAACCCATAGCCAACATAATAATAAACGGGTAAAAGTGGAAAGCATTCCCCCTGAGAACTGGAACAAGACAGGGATGCCCACTTTCACCACTTCTATTCAACATAGCACTGGAAGTCCTAGCCAGAGCAGTCAGACAAGAGAAAGAAATAAAGGGCATCCAGATCAGTAAAGAGGAAGTCAAACTCTGACTGTTTGCTGATAATATGATTGTATACCTAGAAAACCCTCATTCAAAAAGCTCCTTGAACTGATAAATGAATTCAGCAACGTTTTGGGACACAAAATTAATGTACACAAATCAGTAGCTCTACTATACACCAACAGCAACCAAGTGAAGAATCAAATCAAGAACTCAACCCCTTTTAGAAACAAAAAAATAGAATTCTTAAGAATATAGCTAGGTGGCCGAATAGGAACAGCTCTGATCTGCAGCTCCCAGTGGGATTGTTGAAGAAGATTGGTGATTTCTGCATTTCCAATTGAGGTACCTGGTTCATCTCACTGGGACTGGTTGGAGAGTGGGTGCAGCCCACAGAGGGTAAGCTGAAGCAGGGCAGGGTGTTGCCTCACCCAGGAAGTGCAAGGGGTCAGGGGTTTTCCCTTTCCTAGCCAAGGGAAGCCGTGACAGACGGTAACTGGAAAATCGGGACACTCCCACCCTAATACTGCACTTTTCCAATGGTCTTAGCAAACGGCACACCAGGAGATTCTATCCTGTGCCTGGCTTGGCGGGTCCCATGGCCACGGAGCCTTGCTCACTGCTAGTGCAGCAGTCTGAGATAAAACTGCGAGGCTGCATCCTGGGCTGGGGGAGGGGCATCTGCCATTGCTAAGGCTTGAGTGGGTAAACAAAGTGGCTGGGAAGCTCGAACTGGGTGGAGCCCACCTCAGCTCAAGGAGGCCTGTCTGTCTCTGTAGACTCCACCTCTGCGGGCAGGGCATAGCTGAACAGAAGGCAGCAGACAACTTCTGCAGACTTAAACGTCCCTGTCTTACAGTTCTGAAGAGAGCAGTGCTTCTCCCAGCACAGCGTTTGAACTCTGAGAACAGACAGACTGCCTCCTTAAGTGGGTCCCTGACCACCATGTAGCCTGACTTGGAGACACCTCCCAGTAGGGGCCGACTGACACCTCATACAGCTGGGTGCCCCTCTGAGATGAAGCTTCCAGGGGAAGGATCAGGCAGCAATATTTGCTGTTCTGCAGCCTCCACTGGTGACACCCAGGCAAACAGGGTCTGGAGTGGACCTCCAGCAAACTCCAACAGACCTGCAGCTGAGGGACCTGACTGTTAAAAGGAAAACTAACAAACAGAAAGGAATAGCATCAACATCAACAAAAGGACATCCACAACAACACCCCATCTGTAGGTCACCATTATCAAAGACCAAAGGTAGATAAAACCACAAAGATGGGAAGAAACCAGAGCAGAAAAGCTGAAAATTCTAAAAACCCAACAGCTTCTTCTCCTCCAGAGGATCGCAGCTCCTTGCCAGCAATGGAACAAAGCTGGATGGAGAATGACTTTGACACATTGACAGAAGTCAGCTTCAGAAGGTAAGTAATAACAAACTTCTCTGAGCTAAAGGAGGATGTCCGAACCCATTGCAAGGAAGCTAAAATCCTTGAAAAAAATTAGACGAATGGTTAACTAGAATAAACAGCATAGAGAAGACCTTAAATCACCTGATGGAGCTGAAAACCATGGCACGAGAACTACATGATGCATGCACAAGCTTCAGTAGCCAATTCGATCAAGAGGAAGAAAGGGTATCAGTGATTGAAGATCAAATTAATGAAATGAAACAAGAAGAGAAGTTTAGAGAAAAGAGAGTAAAAAGAAATAAACAAAGCCTCCAAGAAATATGGAACTATGTGAAAAGACCAAATCTGCATTTGATTGGTGTACCTGAAAGTGATGGAGAGAATGGTACCAAGTTGGAAAACACTCTTCAGGATATCCAGGAGAACTTCCCCAACCTAAAAAGGCAAGCCAACATTCAAATTCAGGAAATACAGAGAACACCACAAAGATATTCCTCGAGAAGAGCAACTCCAAGACACATAATTGTCAGATTCACCAAGGTTGAAATGAAGGAAAAAATGATAAGGGCAGCCAGAGAGAAATGCTGGGTTACCAACAAAGGGAAGCCCATCAGACTAACAGCAGATCTCTTGGCAGAAACTCTACAAGCCAGAAAAGAGTCGGGGCCAATATTCAACATTCTTAAAGAAAAGAATTTTCAACGCAGAATTTCATATCCAGCCAAACTAAGCTTCGTAAGTGAAGGAGAAATAAAATCCTTTACAGACAAGCAAATGCTGAGAGATTTTGTCACCTCCAGGCCTGCCTTACAAGAACACCTGAAGGAAGCACTAAACATGGAAAGGAACAACCAGTACCAGCCACTGCAAAAATGTCAAATTGTAAAGACGATCGATGCTAGGAAGAAACTGCATCAACTAATGAGCAAAATAATCAGCTAACATCATAATGACAGGGTCAAATTCACACATAACAATATTAACCTTAAATGTAAATGGGCTAAATGCCCCAATTAAAAGACACAGACTGGCAAATTGGATAAAGAGTCAAGAGCCATCAGAGTCCTGTATGCAGGAGACCCATCTCACGTGAAGAGACACACACAGGCTCAAAATAAAGGGATGGAGGAAGATCTACCAAGCAAATGGAAAACAAACAAACAAACAAAACAAAAAAGCAGGGGTTGCAATCCTAGTCTCTGATAAAACAGACTTTAAACCAACAAAGATCAAAAGAGACAAAGAAGGCCATTACATAATGGTAAAGGGATCAATTCAACAAGAAGAGCTAACTATCCTAAATATATATGCACCCAATACAGGAGCACCCAGATTCATAAAGCAAGTCCTTAGAGACCTACAAATAGACTTAGACTCCCACACAATAATAATGGGAGACTTTAACACCCCACTGTCAATATTAGACAGATCCACAAGACAGAAGTTAACAAGGATATCCAGGACTTGAACTCAGCTCTGCATCAAGTGGACCTAATAGACATCTACAGAACTCTCCACCCCAAATCAACAGAATATACATTCTTCTCAGCACCACATCACACTTATTCCAAAACTGACCACACAGTTGGAGGTAAAGCACTCCTCAGCAAATGTAAAAGAACAAAAATCATAACAAACTGTCTCTTAGACCACAGTGCAATCAAATTAGAACTCAGGACTAAGAAACTCACTCAAAACTGCACAACTACGTGGAAACTGAACAACCTGCTCCTGAATGACTACTGGGTAAATAAGGAATTGAAGGCAGAAATAAAAATACCAATGAGAACAAAAGCACAACATATCAGAATCTCTGGGACACATTGAAAGCAGTGTGTAGAGGGAAATTTATAGCACTAAATGCACAGAAGAGAAAGCAGGAAAGATCTAAAATCGACACCGTAACATCATAATTAAAAGAACTAGAGAAGGCCGGGCGCGGTGGCTCACACCTGTAATCCCAGCACTTTGGGAGGCCGAGGCGGGCGGATCACGAGGTCAGGAGATCGAGACCATCCTGGCTAACACGGTGAAACCCCGTCTCTACTAAAAATACAAAAAATTAGCCAGGCGTGGTAGCGGGCACCTGTAGTCCCAGCTACTCAGGAGGCTGAGGCAGGAGAATGGCGTGAACCCGGGAGGCGGAGCTTGCAGTGAGCCGAGATCGCGCCACTGCACTCCAGCCTGGGTGACAGAGCGAGACTCCATCTCAAAAATAAAAAAAAAAGAAAAGAAAATTATGTCAGAGGTAAAGTGTAGCCTTTCAGTAGCAAGAGCAAACACATTCAAAAGCTAGCAGAAGGCAAGAAATAACTAAAATCAGAGTAGAACTGAAGGAAATAGAGACACAAAAAACCCTTCAAAAAATTAATGAATCCAGGAGCTGATTTTTTAAAGAGATTAACAAAATAGATAGACCACTATGCCCGGAACTACTTCCTTCCAGTGGGTTCTTGGTGTCGCTGACTTCAAGAATGAAGCCGCGGACCCTCGCGGTGAGTGTTACAGCTCTCAAAGATGGTGTGTCTGGAGTTGTTTGTTCCTCCTGGTGGGTTCGTGGTCTTGCTGACTTCAGGAGTGAAGCTGCAGACCTTCACAGTGAGTGTTACAGCTCTTAAAGGTGGTACGTCCAGAGTTGGTTGTTCCTCCTGGTGGGTTCGTGGTCTCGCTGAAATCAGGAGTGAAGCCACAGACCTTTGCAGTGAGTGTTATAGCTCTTAAAGGTGGCGCGTCCAGAGTTGTTTGTTCCTTCTGGTGGGTTCATGGTCTTGCTGACTTCAAGAGTGAAGTCGCAGACCTTCGCAGTGAGTGTTACAGCTCTTAAAGGTAGTGCGGACACAGAGTGAGCAGCAGCAAGATTTATCGTGAAGAGCAAAAGATCAAAGCTTCCACAGCGTGGACGGGGACCCAAGCGGATTGCTGCTGCTGGCTTGGGTGGCCAGCTTTTATTCCCTTATTTGTCGCCACCCACATCCTGCTGATTGGTGCATTTAAAATCCTTTAGCTAGATACAGAGCACTGATTGGTGTGTTTACAATCCTCTAGCTAGACAAAAAAGTTCTCCAAGTCCCCACTCTACCCAGGAAGTCCAGCTGGCTTCACCTCTCATGGCTAGTAAAACTAATAAAGAAGGAAAGAGAGAAGAATCAAATACATGCAATAAAAAATGATAAAGGGATATCACCACTGATCCCACAGAAATAGAAATTACCATCAGAGAATACTATAAACACCTCTATGCAAATAAAGTAGAAAATCTAGAATAAATGGATAAATTGCTGGACAGATACACCCTCCCAAGACTAAACCATGAAGAAGTTGAATCCCTGAATAGACGAATAACAGGCTCTGAAATTGAGGCAATAATAGCCTACTAACCAAAAAAAGTCCAGGACCAGACAGATTCACAGCTGAATTCTACAAGAGGTACAAAGAGGAGCTGTTACCATTGCTTCTGAAACTATTCAAATCAATAGAAAAAGAGGGAAACCTCCCTAGTTCATTTTATGAGGCCAGCATCATCCTGATACCAAAGCCTGGCAGAGACACAACAAAAAAAGAATTTTAGACCAATATCCCTAGTGAACATGGATGTGAAAATCCTCAATAAAATACTGCCAAACTGAATCCAGCAGCACATCAAAAACTTATCGACCACGATCAAGTTGGTGTCATCCCTGGGATGCAAGGCTGGTTCAACATATGCAAATTGATAAACGTAATCCATCACATAAGCAGAACCAAAGACACAAACCACATGTTTATCTCAATAGATGCAGAAAAGGCCTTCAACAAAATTCAGCAGCCTTCATGCTAAAAACTCTCAATAAACTAGGTATTGATGGGAAGTATCTCAAAATAATGGGAGCTATTTATGACCAACCCACAGCTAATATCATACTGAATGGGCAAAAACTGGAAGCATTCCCTTTAAAAACTGGCACAAGACAGGGATGCCCTCTCTTGCCTCTCCTATTCAACATAGTGTTGGAAGTTCTGGCCAGGGCAATCAGGCAGGAGAAAGAAATAAAGAGTATTCAATTAGGAAAAGAGGAAGTCAAATTGTCCCTGTTTGCAGACGACATGGTTCAGTAGCTCTTTATCAGGAGGCTAAGAATTTGCATTCTAACAAGTCCTTAAGTGATTTTGGTGCTGCTGTTCTGGGGTGATCCTTTGAAAACCATTGAGGTCATCCATTATATCCACCCGTATTCCAGTGTTTTAAACTTCCTTAGACATTTTTTGCCCTAAATTTTTCTCAAGTATCCTTAATTGCCTAGGATATGTCACTTATTCCCAAACTACTAGGTTGGAATGTATAAACCAGGTGGTCACTCATTAGCCTTAGAGTTATTTTGGGAAAGAATAACAGCTTGCTCTCTCAATGACCTCCACTGCCTTTGGCTGACTTTGTTCTTTAATTATTTATTAGTCTGGACATTCATTAATTTACTTGTTGAATGAATTTTTATTGGATGCATACCATACATCAGGGACTCTTTCAAGTGCTGGGCATGCAGTGGAAAACAAAACAGACAAAGGTCCCCGCTCTTATGGAGCTTACATTTTAGGAGAGAAAACAGAAAATAAACCAGTAAACAAGTAAATAAATGGATCATTTCAGACATGATAAATGAAAAACAAAAACGAAACAGAGGATGTTGAGAGAATGTCTATGAGGGACTAACAGATATTGTGCTTAGGAAATGGTCTCTTTGGGGAGGTTGCATTTGAGGGAATCCTCAATGACTTGTCTTTTCTTCGTAGATTATTCTTCGGACTTGGACTCCGCTTTGGATTGCCTTCTTTCAGCTTTGCTGCTTTGCTGAAGGCTGTGCATCAGAGGTGCTTCTACCTGGGAGGACCTCCACCCCATAACCTCTGTCACTCCCCAGACACTCTTTCTGGTACTAATCCCCAACTCTCCCTCCACCTGTTTGACCCTACCAGCAAGACTAAGTAAGATCCCTGCTTACTATCCCTTCACCAACTCCATTCTTGAATAGTTTGTAAGAAAAGGAATGCTCCACTTTTTGAGGCTGGTCTTTCCATTTCTGAAATATTCTTTAAGAAAACTTTTTAAAATATAATGAGCAGCCGGGCGCGGTGGCTCACACCTGTAATCCCAGCACTTTGGGGGGCCGAGGTGGGCAGATCACAAGGTCAGGAGATTGAGATCACCCTGGCTAACACGGTGAAACTCTGTCTCTACTAAATATACAAAAAAATTAGCCGGGTATGGTAGCGGGCTCCTGTAGTCCCAGCTACCCCGGAGGCTGAGGCAGGAAAACGGCATGAACCTGGGAGGCAGAGCTTGCAGTGAGCTGAGATCGTGCCACTGCACTCCAGCCTGGGCGACAGAGTGAGACTCCTCCTAAAAAAAAAAATTATATATGTATACACACATATATGAGCTGCATTTAGTTCTCTTGTAATTTCTTCCCCTAATTGTACCCATTGGTGTAATGCAGACCTAATCTAATTCCTTTGCATGTGATGACTCTTCAGATATATGGCAACAGCCAAGGTGTCCTCCACATCTGCAAGATCCTTCTTTCTTAAGCCAAACTTCCTTATTAACTTTGAATCAATCAGTCTGCCTGAATATGGCATTGAATCTCTCTCTCTTGCTTTATCTCCTCCATATCCCTTTACTTTGTCTATTACTAGTTCCTCAGATGTGGTTTGAATACAGGAAACAAAGAAGAACTTCTGTGTCTCTTCACTCTACTTACTATTCATATCGATGACACAGCCTACATGCACAGGGGTTATTTATTTATTTATTTTTGAGGCGGAGTTTCACTCTTGCTACCCAGGCTGGAGTGCAATGGTGCGATCTTGGCTTACTGCAACCTCCACCTCCCCGGTTCAAGTGATTCTCCTGCCTCAGCCTCCCGAGTAGCTGAGATTACAGGCACAGGCCACCATGCCTGGCTAATTTTGTATTTTTTGTAGAAAAAGGGCTTCACCATGTTGGCCACGGTGGTCTCGAACTCCCAACCTCAGGTGATCTGCCTGCCTCGGCCTCCCGAAGTACTGGGATTACAGGCATGAACCACCACCCCTGGCCTTATTTCCTTATTTTCGAATACTAAAGTCACCTTAAAAATTTAAATTGAGTTAAACCAATTCCTGACCTCTTCTCCAACTATTTTCTCTTCACATTTGTTGCAGTGAAAAATGCCCCCTCTATTGCTACACTTACTTTGCATTAACTGTATATCAGGCACTTTTCTCAGGCTTAAAATACATTTAATTCTTAAACAACTATCTCAGGATGGCATTATAATTAACCCCACTTTATAGAAAAGGAAAGCAAGTCACAGTGAGGTTAAATCACTTGCTGAAAGTCACATGGCTCTTTGATTGTGGCCATGGTAGGATTTGAACTCTGACAACCTGACTCCAGAGTTTGGGCTCTGAACCATTATTCTATAATGCTCTCAATCCCACTGCCATCAAATGCAGAACCTTTTATCATCCTTGTAAAATTTTATGTCTTTAGATTTACTTCAACCTCTCATATCTGTCAGAATTCTTTTGTGTTCCTGGCAGTATCGTCCAATGTATTCAATATCTCAAAAAAGTTCATGCCTTCCATAAATATAAAAACAATCTATTAAGTTACACTCTACAATCTATCTATCTATCTATCTATCTATCTATCTATCTATCTATCATCTTTCATGTATCTTCATCAATCCATTTATAAGTGCCAAATATTATCAGTCATCTATTCACATGTCCCGAGAGCCATCAGAGATGAGAATTTCACTAAAGTGCAAGTTAAATGCTTGTTGTCTGTAGCTTCCCTTCCAATATATATTTTTTAATTTTTCATGTGCTAATGAAGCTCCATAATGACTGGTAGAAGATGCCCTGGATCTGCTATACAGAAACAAAGAACAAGTATCAAACTGGATGTTAAACAGAAATTGTATGACCTTCATGTTTCCTTCCAGGTAATGATCATGAAAACAGAGGGTAAAGGTTGGCAGACAATTAAGTGCCACTGAAGTCCTTTGACATTAAGCAGGACATCATAAACATATTTTCAGTTTGGAGGGATTTGACTAACAATTCTGTATCTGGAACAAATGATAGCTATAGATATGATACAACTCCAGGAGACTGGAAGAAAATGTGAAAGCTATTGGCATTGTAGGATGCTGGGACTGCGACTTTGTAAGAACTCTGTTATAATGATCCGTAAAGGTGCTTTTCCAGTTAGAAATGAATGCGTGTTTTGCACTGAAAGAGGTATGAATGTACCCCATAATATATAACATTACATAACATTTAGCCAAAACAAGTGGTCACTAACTGTTAGTTTCTTTAGCTTTCTACTAAGTCAAGTGTTAATATACCTACCAATTTTGGATTCCCACAGGGTACAAGACAGCAGCTAGACAGCCTTTTAAGCTATCCTAGTATAGTGATATTTGGAGACAACAAATATAGAACAAAATATTTGTTTTGCTTACTACCTTATCCCTAGAGCAGTGTTTCTCAATAGAGGCACTATTGACATTTGCATTGGATAATTCTTTGTTGTGGGAAACTGTTCAATGCATAGTGGATGCTTAGAGAATGTTAGCCTGATCTTGACTCACTAGATGCCAGTAGTGTTTTCTCAGTTGTGATAATCAAAAATGTCTCCAGCCACTGTCAGATATCCTCTAGACAGAAAAATTCCCCACTGTTGAGAAACACGGAGTTACAACATCAAATATAACAGACACTCAAGTGTTTGTTAATGAATAAAAAATTGGATGAATGAAATTTTTCCTGCTGTCCATATTCATATGAATTTTTCATTGTCTAATATAGCAATAATGCAGGAGAGGGGAAGGGAGTTAGAAATTAGATTTTAAAAGAGAGCATTTTTGTTAGACACTATACCTGGCCAACAGGAACATGCATTTGAAGTCTAATCCTACGCAAACCAACAGAGATCATTCTATCTTGTGAGCCCTTGAATTACCTACCTACCGGAACTTCTCCCTGTTGGTGACTAAAATTCCACCAAAGTAGATGCTTTTTACTTTGAAGTTCCATTTTCCTGAAGAGCTCTTTTAAAAAATAAATACACCAGGTAGAATTAATTGCTTAATCCTTATTGTTAACAAGAAAGGGATCATGCATTTGATTTTCTTCTACATTACTATGAGCACCGAGGGAGTCCTTGGGATTTTGGAGATTTTAGAGGTCACATTGCAAAAAGGAGATGGTAAAGGCAAACTTCACCAACAACTGAATTTTATCAAGTGGTTCTCACCAGTGTTATTTGTTTATTAAATAAACACACAGTCTCTAGGATACTTTCTTTGCATGTTCCTTCTTCGAGGACATGTAGAAAATGTTAAATACCCAAATATTCAAAATCATGATACCCAGAAACTTGTTTGCTACTTTAATTGCTAATTTCATGGTCGTCATTCTTAAACAGTAGTAAATTTGAAGACTATACTTTCCAATTTTGTATTTCCAAAATTGTTGATATCTGTGAAGAATGAGTGCTAGAGCCTCTCAGATTTGATTCTAACAAGAAGTCTTAGCGAAGTCACAGTCTTTAAGCATAAGCTGCTAAGGTGCTTTCTTCAGTACAGGCACTGGCATCTGTTATTCAAACCCTTGCTTGAGTTGATTTCTGCTTATTATTCATTAAAATATATGTGTTAAAATAAGCATGCCCTGATCTGAGCCTCTCACTTAGATGTTGTTTCTCTCATCTTTCCAGCAGGGTTGCAGTAATCATACCTACTAGAGAATGAGGGCATTTCCTTTGGTCAGTACGTAATTACCAAGATAGTCATTACCATCACTACAAAAGGCAGCAGGGATGTTCTTCACAGAGAAAAATTTGACATGGAGCAAATTGAGCTATTCATAGTGGTAGAGAGCTACCCTTCAAGCTATCCATAGGATAGTGCATTCAGTTCAATTCAATGTCCATTTATCATATACCTATTGATACTGAGGGGAGAAGATTCAATTAAATAAAGCTACTTGCTGGGCAGAGGAGTAGATTTCCTTTCTGAACAGTTAAATGTTATGGGCCATTTTTTATGTGTTCACTTACCTAGCCCTTGACAAAATAAAAGCTAATTATGGCAAAATTAAGAAGATTTCACAATCAGAGATATCAATATCTCTATGGCTTCTCTGGGACAGGCACCACATTAGTCTTTAATGTTTTTGGAAGTCTTTCTAGACTTATTCATTGATCTATGTGAGAAAACTTTCTGATGAATGATCTAGTATGCAAAATGTCCATAGCATTGGTAAATATCCTTACCTCCTGTAGCTGGTTTCTTTTATAATCTCTTTGTCTCATGAAAAGAAAGGGCAATTTATAATTTCTTATTAAATTTCTGGCTTGCATGATTGTCTCTAGGCTTTTGTTCATGATTTATATCTCAAAGCAATGCAATGGATTGCCCATAGGAATCTGTTTGCTGGATGGTGGTCATGTTTGTCTTGGGAGTTCAGGATCCACTTTGGCAAAAAGGACATATTCTACAGCTTTCTGAGGAGGGGTTAAAATATTTTAATGGCCAAAATTTTGAGTATCATGCTGTTGTTTGAGATGTACACCTTTATTCACTCATCTGGAGTTCCATCATCCTGTAGTCTTGCTATTTCAGATGAAATAGACTTTGACAATAAAAACAGACAGCAAATCCTACAGTCCTGTTTTATTTTTGTTGGGCAGTAGTCTTTCATTGAAGAAAAGGGAAAAATATTTCAAAAACGTTTTAAGTGCTGTATGTATTGGAAAGTATAGAAACTAACTCTGCCTGGAGGAGTCCTTAAATTTCTTCACGGTAAGGGCTGTTGTCTTTTTACTATGTTTACTCGAGAAATGTAGATATTTGTCAGGTAGTAGGTAGAAACTCACAGAACAAAGCACCCTTCACAATAAAACATAGAAGTGGCTCACATGCTTCATCAGCCAGAGTACAGCCCATTGTTCCCAAAGGACAAGCTACCAATTGTGTTACTTGTAAATTCTATGAAGTTTCCTTTCACATCCAAAGGAAGAGGAAAAATATGGCTCCCATATTTCACCGTATTCCTCTCTTTTAATGTTTTCTTCCAGTTTCTGCTCAAGAACTTTATAATAATTTTTGACTACTTCTTAAAATCAAGAATTTAGGAGAAGATATTGGTTGCAAAAAATTGTGGCTGAGGCACACGCCAATCACTGAGTTCTGTTAACTGGAGGTGAGTTATAGTAATGAGATTAATGTTTGCATTAGGTATACTCTAGCCCCTTTGGAAATTACTCAGTGGGAACATCCATTTATATTTTAGAAGCAGAAGTGGAAACCAGCACACTTGAATTTTCTTGTCTGCAGAAACTTTTATATTAGTGGGATATACCAATATACCTTACCTATAAATCCTAATCTCTTTTAAGAGTGTGGAAGAATATTTAAAGCTGTTTTCCATTTGGCCATAATTGTCTTTGCAAACACTGTTGCTTGAGGACAAAGTGTGTATGCAACTGGGAGTGTGTGCTTAGTGATTAAAAAAATTTACATCTACAATGCAGTTTGAATAAACACTCCAATGAATACATTAAGTGCAAACAAGAGGAAATATTTATTTATTTTTTCTGAGTTTTGTGACACATGTCAATGTGAAGCCTATACAATGGGTAAGATTGTTTTCCATATTTTCAGTATATGAATGTCACACCTGTAGCCTTTTTAATTGCAAAAGTGGCCTCCTTGGCTTTAAATAAACCTTGCATAGATTATGACATTCATTCCACAACCTAAGAGCTTATTTAGAAAGAGGTGAGCTTGTGTTTTATACCTAAGCCTTAGCTTACATGTTATACACACAGACTTTCCTAAGTACAAGCCAAGTTAAACATAATTTCATTGTAACCTTTAAAAATTTTTCAGCATAATGACTAGCTGTGACATGAATAAGTGTGCCAAAAAAGCCCTTCAACAAACCTATTCTCATGCTTCATTTACATTATTCCCAGAATACAAATAGTAAGATATTAAAACTGGATAAGACTGTCAAATGAGATTCACTCACCTGACAGTTCTGTCACTTTAGATTGCTTTGTTGTTTATGCCAGGGTTGCAATCTCTGTCCCGTTACTTGTTAATTGCTTAGTCAATGCAATTGTATCACAACAAATTTATCAGGATTTTAAGAGAAGAACTGTCTCTCACTTGGATATGAAATTACTTTGATGGATCGAAGGTGATTATTACCATTAAATGTGACAAGCACAATATAAAAATTCTAGTTTTAAATTCACCTGCAGTAAAGGTGCAATAAAATTCTATATGAAGACTTCTAATAAAGAAATGAAACATCATGTGAGCAGACGACCATCAAATATCATCAAATGAAATATTTTTGAATAATTGAGAAGTGAAGAACACTTTAAATATTGGATGTTAAACTCAAACAAACACATTGTACTTATTTGCATGTAACTTATGAATGTATTCATGGGTGTGTGTGTATGCTCAGATTTGGTGAGTGTTTACTGGGACATCGGCACTGGGTTCATGACACTGAAGGTTTCCTTAGGCCCTGCCAATGGAGTTATCCTGCTCTTCATTTTAAATTCAGCTTTTGCCATATGCAAATTTTTTTAACCACTTTGTATCTATGTTTACATTATCTGCTTTCATTTAAAATCAAATTCTGAAGAATTTACACATTTTTCAGGTAGCAGAATATACTAGTAAAAACAGTAGATAAGTGTCTAAAGCTGAACTCATTATCTCCCCCACCCTGTCTTATCCATTCCCTCCAAATCTATTACTTTTCTTAAATATTTATGTTATTTGTAAATATTACATATTTAGATTATTGGCTCAGGTTTCAAATCTTACCATCATCTTTTACTCCTTTCTCTTATTTCATATGTGCAACTCATCACCAAATCTTTTCCATTCTCCTATGTGCATCTGACACTCCTCTATATTCATTACCATTTTCAGTTCAGGTCCTGTCATTATTTCTTCTTCTCTAGATTGGTTTATTGACCTTCAAACTTCACCTCCAGCTCAGTATCCATGTTGCTCCATGTTGCAACACCTAAGAAAGGCCCACAGCACTTTTAGGTTACACTGTTAAAACACCAACATTTGTTTCTGAATTATAAATCTGATCTTACTCTTTGCTTATATCTGCGAGTGGATTCCTATTAACTACAAGGTCAAATCCAAATTTGTTGACTTATAATACCTCATAGGTTCTTGTTATTGATCGAGTCCAGTCCTTCATTGCATTGTCTTATTTCCCCAGTACCTTTACTTGTCCCTATATTATGAAAATATTCACCCATATATGATTCCTTGAGCCAGTCATTGCATTTTATGACATAGCTTGTTTCCTCTCTTCTCCTTATATGACTGTTAAACTGTGGATTCCTTGGAAATCCATAATACTCGATATATCTGTATTATATTTAGTTTCCTTATCCACTATCTTTCCAATATGCCTTAAACATCTATCAGCATTTACGGTAGCAATTGATATTTATGAAGTGCTTGTTATGTGGCTGGTATGGTTCTACATGCCTCATGTAATTCTTGTAGCTAACTTATAAAGTTCGTAGTCTTGCTCGTGATGAGGGACAAACTGGAAGCAGTGAGATTAGGATTTGAATCAAGTGGTTCTGCATCAGACCCTGGGGTCCTAACCTTGCATTATGTGTTCACTCCATTGGAAATGATTTATATAGATGCATACGTCCTCTCCTGGAATGTGAACTTGTTATATTCAGGGACTATTCTCTATGTTTTTATTCCCTAAGCATAAAATGGAACTGAACGTAGAATAGACATTCAGTACATATGTGCGGAATAAATGACTAGGAATTAATCATGGGTTCACCTTCTACCTTTTGAATCATTTGAAAAACTCATTCAACCTTTTAGAAAATAAAGTTCTTCCTTATATGCAAAATTGGAGTTATAATGCCTACCAATATTTCAGAGTGCTCATGGGAAAAATAAATAAGATGATAAGGTAAAAGTGTTTGAAAACATGAAGAGTTACACAAATGAATGGAAAGGACATATTTTTATGAGTAACAATCCAATAAATTGAACAACATGTAAAGGTCTACTATGTACAAGACTATTATTGGTGATCTTGGAAATATAAAACGAATATAATTCTTACCCTTCAAGTATTTAGAATCAGATATCATCACTTAGTAATTATAAATGATTTTTTCTTTCTAAGTACACAGTCTTAATAGAGATTGCAAATCACCTTAGCCAAAGACATACAGAAAAATAATTTGATTCATTCATTACTTTATGCTTTCATTCATTTATGCTTTCATTCTTTCAATGAATGTTAATGCTGCCCACAATGTGATCATCACACTGCTAGGCCCTGGAGATACAGTGGTGAGGAAGTTAGACAAAGCCCCTGCTATGTGAAGATGAAAGGTAAAGCATATGTAAACTCAGACTATAGAAAAAAAGAAATTAAAAAGACAGAGAGTGATAGTGTGTCCGGAATTGGTGGGTTCTTGGTCTCACTGACTTCAAGAATGAAGCCGCGGACCCTTGCGATGAGTGTTACAGTTCTTAAAGGTGGCGTGTCCGGAGTTTGTTCCTTCTGATGTTCGGATGTGTTCGGAGTTTCTTCCTTCTGGTGGGGTTCATGGTCTCGCTGGCTCAGGAGTGAAGCTGCGGACCTTTGTGGTGAGTGTTACAGCTCTTAAGGTGGCGGGTCTCGAGTTGTTCCTTCCTCCCAGTGGGTTCGTGGTCTCACTGGCTTCAGGAGTGAAGCTGCAGACCTTCGCAGTGAGTGTTACAGCTCATAAAGGCAGTGTGGACCCAAAGAGTGAGCAGCAGCAAGATTTATTGCAAAGAGTGAAAGAACAAAGCTTCCACAGTGTGGAAGGGAACCCGGATTGCCACTGCCGGCTCAGGCAGCCTGCTTTTATTCTTATCTGGCCCCACCCACATCTTGCTGATTGGTCCATTTTACAGAGAGCCCCCAGTGGTCTGTTTTGACAGGGCGCTGATTGGTGTGTTTACAATCCCAGAACTAGACACAAAGGTTCTCCACGTCCCCACTAGATTAGCTAGATACAGAATGTCGACTGGTGCATTCACAAACCCTGAGCTAGATACAGGGTGCTGATTGGTGCATTTACAATCCCTGAGCTAGACACAAAAGTTCTCCACATCCCCACTAGATTAACTAGATACAGAGTGTTGACACAAAGGTTCTCCAAGTCCCCACCAGAGTAGCTAGATCCAGAGTGTCGATTGGTGCATTCACAAACCCTGAGCTAGACACAGGGTGCTGATTGGTGTGTTTACAAACCTTGAGCTAGATACAGAGTGCTGATTAGTGTATTTACAATCCTTTAGCTAGACATAAAGGCTTTCCAAGTCCCCACCACAGTCAGGAACCCAGTTGGCTTCACCCAGTGGATCCCACACCTGGGCCGCAGGTGGAGCTGCCTGCCAGTCCTGCGACATCTGCAGGCACTCCTCAGCTCTTGGGTGATCGATGGGACTGGGCGCCGCGAAGCAGGGGCGGCGCTCGTCAGGGACGCTCGTGTGGCACAGGAGCCCATGGAGGAGGGGGAGGCTCAGGCACGGTGGGCTGCAGGTCCCGAGCCCTGCCCCATGGGGACGCAGCTAAGGCCCGGCGAGAAATTGAGTGCAGCACCGGTGGTCCAGCACTGCTGGGGGACCCAGCACACCCTCCGCAGCTGCTGGCCCGGGTGCTAAGCCCCTCATTGCCCGGGGCTGGTGGGGCTGGCAGGGCTGGCTAGCCGCTCCGAGTGCAGGCCCGCCAAGCCCACTCCCACCTGGAACTCCAGCTGGCCCGCAAGCCCCGTGTGCAGCCCCGGTTCCCGCTTGCGCCTCTCCCTCCACACCTCCCTGCAATCTGAGGGAGCCGGCTCTGGCCTTGGACAGCCCAGAAAGGGGCTCCCACAGTGCAGCGGTGGGCTGAAGGGCTCCTCAAGTGCAGCCAAAGTGGGAACCCAGGCAGATGAGGCGCCGAGAGTGAGCGAGGGCTGCAAGGGCTGCCAGCATGCTGTCACCTCTCAATAGGGTACATGCAACTATTTACTTAAGTGCAGCCAAAGTGGGAGCCCAGGCAGAGGAGGCACCAAGAGTGAGCGAGGGCTGCGAGGGCTGCCAGCATGCTGTGACCTCTCAATAGGATACATGCAACTATTTTACTTAGTTTGTCTTTTCTTTGAGGAGATGATTAATATTAAGATTTTTGGGTAAACATCACTAGACTTGATAATCCAATATCCCTTTGGCATGACTATTGATCTAACAAGATGTAGTGGAGACTGTCAGTGGTCAGCCAATATCCCCTTGGTTCCCTTTATCACTTTATGCATGCCAGCTTGATTTGAAATGGGCAAGATCTGTGTCTTTGGGCTGTTGGAACACACTTTGCCAGCTCATGCTATGGCTGAGCAACAGCTGGTCGTTAATGCCCACTCCAGGTAGACTTTAATTGATAATATGGGTGTGGTGGTATAATTACCCCATCCCTTGGGGTAATTATATGTTATTCAGAATAATTCTGAAGCATGCATTTTACACTATTTCCCAGGTGTAAAGCTTTAGTTGCCCACTGTGGCAGCTTCTTTCACAACATACTTCATACTTGAATTAAGCAACCAAGCAGACCCTAAGCAGCAGTATTATGGTAACTGCTAGGTTGGTTTGCTTCCATAGATTTGGATGGTAAGGAGAAAATAAACTCAAATGACTTTAGAAAGCTTATTACTTAGGCAGATAGCAAAAGCAAGATCAAACTGGTGTCCGCTCCCAATGTCCTGGTGGCATCACAGTACAATTGAGAACCAGTGCAGATCACATGAGCAGAGAGTCACTTACCATTGAGGAACCAACCGTAAATTCACACCAGACAGTTTTGCGGTTTGTAGCTGTACCCAAAAGGAAGACAGGGTAGAAAGTCCCATACATCACCAGAAACAGACAAGCTTCATAGCAGCCTTCTACAAGGTAGGTTTCTCCTGTAAGTTAGGGACACAGGTGAAAAGTGGTCATGTGATGGATTTGCACAAGCTGCTTATCTCCTCATGTTCTTGAGAGTGTTACAGAGTTGGATAGTGATGGAGCCTTCCTTTTTTTTAGACCGTGATACACACAAGACCACCACAGCACCAGATTACCACATTCCCCAGCAATTTATCAATATCCCTACTCCCCCATAACACCTCCTCCTCCCTCTTCTGGTATTTCTGCACCTCCCAAACAACCTCTTTGCACACAGTCTTTGTCTCAAGGACTGCTTTTAGGCAGTGCAGGGGACCCAACCAAGACATTACATCTACAATTATATCTAAGAAAGCTTGGCTGGACATGGTGGCTCACACCTGTAATCTCAGCACTTTGGGAAGCCGAGGCGGGTGGATCACTTGAGGTCAGGAGTTCGAGACCAGCCTAGCCAATATAGTGAAACCCCACCTCTACTAAAAATACAAGAATTAGCTTGGTGTGATGGCACACACCTGTAGTCTCAGCTACTCAGGAGACTGAGGTGGCAGAATTGCTTGAACCCTGGAAGCGGAGGTTGCAGTGAGCCAAGATCGCACCACTGCACTCCAGCCTGGGTGACAAAGACTCTGTCTCAAAACAAAACAAAACAAAGAAACAAACAAACAAATCAGAGAAAAGAAAGCTGACTTCGTGGAACTGTTAGAATGATTTTGTTATGTTGCAGTTCTGAGCCTAGGCACAGAATTTGCAAGATTTGCCTTGATTTCAGCTACAGAGTGTGCATGTGTTTTGAAAAGGAAAAACAACAACAAATCTATTCCATAATATATTTGTTTTGTGAAAGACAGAATCTCTTTTTGTAAAGAAGAAAATGACTTTTGAATGAAAAATTTTGATATCAGGGTTTAAATATGAATGATTCAGGAAGGTGGTATTACTTTAAGAAAAAATGAAGCAGATGTGTGCAGGTATAAGTGTAGACATTTATGGTATAAACATTTATGAAAAGATTGTGCACGCAAAGATGGAGTAGGGCGCTTGAAAATCTATGACATGAACAGATCCCTTTCTAGGCAGAAGATATATTTTTTTTTCTAGCATTGTCAATACCTGCTGTGCACAGGTGGTTTGGGCAGTTGGGGCTCTTGCACATAAATATTGTTATTCAGATTCAAATTTAAGCATACAGATTTCACATCTCCCAAGGGTCTCAGTATTTGAACCTACCTAGTTCTGACTTCAGGGACTCTACTCTTTGCATTTTACTATACTTTTTTCTAATACCTATTAATACCTGGAACAATAATAACAGTAATAATAGCTAATTTTTATTGCACATTTGCTTTGTGCTAGACACAATTCCAAGTGTTTTGTGTATATTAACTCTTTTAATTATCATACCAACTTATGACATAGATCCTATTTCTATCCCCATTTTTTATTTTAGGAAACTTGGGCATAGTGAGGCTAAGTTACCTTCCCAAAGTCAAAGATCTAATACATGATAAAGGCACTATTTAAATTCATGCAGTTCAATGGAGCATTTGATTTTAAACACTACTCTTATATTTCACCAGATCCTTTCACATGATGTTATTAAAAGTACAGTTCAAAAACTAAATTTGATAATTGTACAAATTCTTTCCCTAGGGTGCCTGTCCAAATGCTTTAAATTTTAAATCCACATGTAAAATTTAAAAGACAAGATTATTTAAAACAGCTTTACTTATAATGTTAATGTCTGCATGCAGGAATCTTATTTGAGAATTGACCTCAAATAGTAGTATATGACAATGCTGAAAAAACAAAGTGATGTTAAAAACAATGAAAACCAATGTTAAGATGCACCATTTCTCTTGAGATCAAAAAAGAAATTAATAAAACACAACTGTTTCTAAAATCAAAAACATGTTTATTTTTTCTCACATTGCTATTAACTCAGTGCTTAAAAAATAATCCATTCTTAATATCTGTTAGGGTTCAAAGATGTTAATTATAAAATTGTTAGTTAAAATCAATGATTTAAAAATATTAGTTAAAACCAAATTGTTGTCTGGCTTTGCTCCAATTAGGATTATTTAGAGCTTTGCTAATTTAAATAGGTAGACCCCTGAATATAAGAGTAGATTTCTACACATAAATGGCAATAACATCAAAATCAGATGATGATTGTTATTCAATGTGGGTGGGATGGGAGGAGGAAGGGAAGCTACAGTTATTAAATGATGATAATATATAGATAACAAAGAGAAAAAGTTAATTAGAAGACATCAGTTTGCCTGAACTCGATAACATGATTAACTAAAAAACATTCTCCTTGAGAATGTAGAAAGGAGATTGTAGCTGAGCCCCTCAGTGCCAGTGTGTAAGATTTAGGGCTGAACATTAGCTTAACCAATTTTCTTGGATCTACTTTACCACCTATGATCCTTTGGAGCCATATTCCCCAGTAAGCACATACAGATGAGTTGGGACATATTGAACCAACTATTTTAGTATCACTTAATTTATCATAAAAATAGACTAATGTTAGAAGGGAGAAGCATGTGGGCTGAATCCAACTCACGGTAAAAGAGAAACTCAGCAGGGATAGATCTAGAAAAAGATCATGGAAATTCTGACTTCTGACTACTAGCACTAATTACTAGAGTTAACATTACTTAATAGGCATAGACATACAATAAACGATCAGTTTGACATTCCTCTTCCTATTAATAATAATTGTTCACCATTTCTGCCTATAAGCAAAAAGCCTCTTATTGATTCCTTTGTAAAACAGAGACAGAGTTTTGCACCAACAGTTTCTTAGTAGCAAGCAATAGATATAAACTCCAGCTAATTTTAGCAGGATAGAAATGTATTAAAGGGCTATTAGGGAGCTCTCAGTATAGTTGGCAGGAATGGAGAATCAGATTAAGTGCTTAAAAGCAGGATTTACACCCAAGGCACACTTCAGTACTGCTCTGATGATAAAACTGTTGCTGCCTTCATTTGTACGAGGTGCCATATTTTGTACTCTGCCAACATTTCAACCTTATCACAACTGCTAATGCTGCCAAGAAAGATACCATGCCTCTTGCACCGTTAGCTTCTGAATTAAAGTCTGACTTCGGTACATGTAATTGGCAGAGCCTAGGTCCATTGTTTATACACTAGCTTCAAGGGACCCTGGGAAGTGAACATCTTATCTTTTCTCACTTCTGGGATGGGAATCCATTTCTGCTGCTATGAAGACTCATGAATTGTGGAACTGCCCCATATGGGAAGGATGCCGAGATCTAAGTTGCCAAAAAGAAAGATTGTCTAGTCCATGACATTTTTATGTAAAACTGTTCTGAAGAGCCTCTGGCTTCTGGTCTTGACAGAAAAATCAAGTTAAGTAGTCTCTGAAAATGCTCCAAGGATTCTTACTAAACTCTGTTGCTCAAATAATAGATCTCTCAGAGATATTGACATGATCTTGAATTAAAATTCCTAAACTCTTTCATATCTAAGTAGATATCAGTAACTATCAGTTTTTGTAAAGAAATTAGATGACATTTTTTCCTTAGTATTTTTTTTTCCAAGACAGAGTCTTGCTCTGTCACCCAGGCTAGAGTGCCATGGGATGATCTCGGCTCACTGCAACCCCACCTCCCAGGTTCAAGTGATTCTCCTGCCTCAGCCTCCTGAGTAGCTGGGACTACAGGTGTGTGCCACCATGTTCGGCTAATTTTTGTATTTTTAGTAGAGACGAGGTTTCACTATGTTGGCCAGGCTGGTCTTGAACTCCTGACCTCATGATCCATCCGCCTCAGCCTCCCAAAGTGCTGGGATTACAGGTGTGAACCACCACGCCTGGCCTCTTAGTATATTTTACCTACAGTCCTGAACTGTCAAGCTTCCTTTGAAGCTTGTATTTCTAAAATGTTCTAGAAGCAATAAGAATCAGAGAAAATATTATATTGAACAGTACTTTGAAATTTCTGTATATATGGAGCACACCTGATTGGGCAGAAAATTTTTAGGTCATGAAATTCAATTTTTAATCAGATATAATGTGTGAGATAATACAAACACAGTCTCAAAATTTGTTTTCCAGCTGCAAGCAATAATTATTTTCTTAAGTGATATATATTTTCATAACATTAATATAGGGAAATGCCCATTCAACAAAATTTGTCCAAAATGGTAGTTGGATTAGCACCATTAATGCTTCTGTAATACACTCTGCACGCTTTCAATTTTTAAAGAACATTCACGTATGTAAATGAAGATGGGGAAAGAATATACAGTTTGAAACCAGATAAACATGTTTACCAGCTCTGGATCTGCTATTTAACAACTTTCTTACTTAATTTATTTAACTCTCTGAGTTTATATCCTTGTCTGTAAAAATGAGGGTGATAATATCTTTCATGAAGGACTGTGGTAGGAATTACCTGAGAAAATGCAAAAGCACATTGCATAGCCATGGGCATTTTGTGGTCTCAATAATGGTGGTGGTTATTTTCATTTTTAGATTAGGGTACTTTAATGTAAACAAGAGGCAAGAAGTAAAGGAAACTACCTTTAAGATACTTATTGCATAGAGTCTCTGCTTTCTAAAAGAAATGGAGAAGCATTGCTTGGAGTCTCCACATTCTGGAACCTACAAGGATAACTTGGGCATTTTCTATAAGATACCAGCATGTACACATCAGAGTTACCATCAAGAAATAAAACTAACACACATACACACACACACACACATTGAATAAGCTGGACTGAGGCAGGTAACCATGGGGCAGAAATGGTCAGATCGAAACAGTCTAATGATCATAACTACTGAGTCATTATCAAAAATCAAGTAGTCAGGCCAATGGAACTTCTGTTGGATTTTTATGTGACACTGACCTGGCATATACAGGGTCTTAGTCCTCAACTGAGAAATGTGATCAACAGAGAAGCTCACCAGCCACTTTAGAAAATAGCACCATTTAATAATTTCACAAAAGGCAGCAGGTGCTAAGATGAGAAGGACTTGGAAACTTTCATGGGTATGTATGCACGTGTGTGTATGTGAGAGAGAGATAGAGAGATAGAGAGAGAGAGAGAGAGAGAGAGAGATAGCCGTGTGTTAGAGACATTGAATTTCACATTAAGAAACTTGGCTTAAAAATCTCTTCCCCACTTACTAGCTGTGTAATCTTGGGAATAGTATTTTACCTCTTTCACTATTATTATTATTGAAATAAAGATTAAAATAGTACTTTTCAAGATAATTACAGTGAAAGTTAACTGCATTTAGGCACAGGAAATCATCTAGAACAGTCCCGGTAATTATTTGGTGTCTAATAAATATTGAGTCTTTAAAAATTACATTATTATATATGTCATTATTTATCTATTTTGATTGGTCAGTGCCTATGCTGAACAGGTACCTAAATAGTTTGAATATTATCTAATTATTGAAATAAATTTTATCATTTTGCTAAATGCTAAATTCTAATAGCTAAAGCATTCTGAAAGTCAATAAATATTTTCTCAAACAAACCAAATGCTTTTCTCCCAAAGGACTATATTTCTCTTTTTCCCTCTTTTCACAGCTCATTTATCCTGATACCTAGACATTGTTATTACATTTGAGCTCTTTCTGGAAAGCCCAGCTGGCATTTCCACAAAAGTTCTCTTTGCATGCGCTATTTCCCCTCCTGATCTCCTCTGTGAAATGCAGTTGAATTATTTATGTGTGCCATGCTTATTATTTATGTGCTCCACAAAGTGGAGAGCAAGAGGGAGTACTAACATTTATTCCCCAAGTGGGAGGAGTCAGTAGGAACAAAAAATGTTAGGCCAAATAAGTCACTTAGTAGAATGAAAACAATGGAATCTTCTATCAAATGCCATTAGCTCAGGACTCGGAGTGTCATGGAGAAGACGTCTAAACCATTTGGCCCACTCAAATGAAGGACAAGAATGTTCTTTCCTGTGGCACCAAGGCCAAGGAATCATTGGTTAAATAAAATTAGGTGTAAGATGCTGAGTAAAGTTGAAGTCCTGAACTTACTTTGATTATTTGCATGGGTGAACCTGATGAGGACTCACCTCCTAATGACAAAGCCCATTAATAGGGATTGTTTGGTTTTGGAGGCAAGAGATGGAAAGCTGATAAAGTCAGAGAAATTAAGAAAATCATGCTAAGTGATTTTGTTCATCCATGGTGGAGCTTTTAGAAACAAACAAACAAAAAGCAAACAGAACTCTTCTTCTGAGAAGCATAGTAACTTCTTCCTTTCCTTTCTGTACTGCAGGTATTTATACTGTAGTTATTTTTTAAAAGATGTGAAGATTCTGTGTAATGCAAAAATTCACAACATATCACAGCCAATGCCCCAAGCAAACAAAAGGGGAAAGTTTTTAGCTCCTACATGTTTCCTGTGAGATTTTGAAATACAACTTCAGACTACTAATTACAGTGAAGTTAGATGAAACCAAAGGGCTAACCATTGTGTTGATTCAATTTCACAAGGGACTGAGGTTTCAGTGAGAATTCAATTCATTTTATTTCTTCTGCAGGTTAAGTTACTGTAAGTATAGAGTGGATTCTGGTAACATATGTCTATGTTTTTTTCATTGGATGAGTTTTGCAAAGTTGCCTCAGAGAATTTCCAAATTGAAAAGAAGAGATGTGTATTGGTAGTTTTTATAGACAGAGTGCACCTAAATACAGAAACTGTATCTAGATCAACACAAATCTCTCACCACCCATGGGAAATAATTCAAGAGTGTATGCTAGACCAATAGTGGGTCAGGAACATTATCTTCATAAGAAAGATAGCACATTATACTTACTTCTGATTTTCACTATTAATTGTTTGTTACCTTAGGCAAGTCGTCTGGGAGAAGGGATTTAATAATAAGAAAATATGTGTGTCCTTCCTTTCCTAAGTTGGCCAAGGGCACATTTCACTGCTTGAGTTACTCTACTCACTAAGAAATAATTCAAGCTCTGTGCTTCTGTACAATTTATGTTTTTCTTGGAACCACAGTGTGAAAGGATCTATTTGCTATGCTCACTTTAATTTTGCTTAATATTGGAAGGCCTACATTTATGCAATTATAATTTTAAGCCCATATATTTATAGATAAAATTAATTTCTTAAAATATATTCCATCATATAACATGTTTTATAATGCATAATGATGGGATCCATTATTCCTTATCCTAAACAGCATCTTCTTTTCTATTCTTTGCATGATTTGGAATACCCAACAATTAATTACAAAATATTTGTTGAACATTTTTATGGAGAGAGTATCCAAACTTTCTTTGGCTTCTGAAAGCCAAGAACACCTCTGTCTTAGTTTGTTCTGGCTGCTATAACAACAGATAACAATTATCTGTTGTTGACTAGATAATTTATCAACAACAGAATTTTATTGCTTACAGTTCTAGAGGCTTATAAGTCCAAGATCAAGGTGCCAGCAGATTCAGTGTTTCTTGAAGGCTTGTTTTCCTGCTCCAAAGATTGCACCTACTTGCAGTGTCCTTACTTGGCAGAATGGCATAAAAGGTATAGATTTTTCTCAAGCCCTCTTATAAGGGCTCTAATTTCATTCATGAGGGTGGAGTTCTCATGACCTCATCATCTCCTAAAAGCCCTACCTTTAAATACTATGGCACTGGGGATTAAGCTTCAACATGATTTTTGAAGGGGCACAAACATTTAAACCATAGCAACACCCCCCACCATCTTATGACTACTCATTACTTTCTCTATACTCCCTCCATGGACAATCTCATCCTGTCCAGAGTCTCAATTACCAACAAATTCCTGTGATTCTCAAATTTATCTTTCAAGTTCATTCTTCTGAGCTCTAGATCTTTAAGACATTTATAATGGAAAGTTCAGAACTAAATGAATTTATCTAATTTCGCTATCTATCCTTTCCCAATCCCCATACACTTGCTCTTTAGTCTGTTGGCCCAGATTAGTTGACTAGAACATTATCAGACTTGCAATCCAAACAAACATATAGGCTTTTCCTTGTTCTTTTATCCCTATGTCCAGTTACCACCTTTCCTGAAGTCTACTTTTCAAGTCATTTTCATCACTTTTCTCTTTTCTCCTTTCCTGCTGCCCTTGTTCTCTTAAACCATCACCTAGTGCAGTGATTTCCAAGAAGGGCCACATACACACACTTGAGGGTGGTCCATGGAAGCCAAGGAAAAACATTTTAGAATTTTTGTTTACTTATTACATAGAAATAAGTAATTCTTTTACATTTTACTTCCTGTTTTTTAAATTTCTATGTGACTTTTATGACATATACTTTATGAGTATGTCAAAACATATTACAAAATATGCATGTAAGAGAGGATGCATGCTCGATTTTTAGTGATAAAAGTTCATCATCAAAAATGCTTGGAGACAACTGAGCATTGTTGGAGTCTTCTATCAGGTGATTTGTCTCGGTATTTATATTCTCCAATATATTTTGCACAATTATTAAAAATATTGCTGGTGTGAATATTGAATAGAACCTTATTCTTGCCAAAGTAAACTGTGTGCTTCATTATCAACTCTAAATCTACTTTTCCCATTTCCTCTCTCACCATTTTCCGTATCATATATCCTTTGTATTGTGCCAGGTGAACATTACCATTCTGCCAGATACTCTCCCGTTCACGATCTGCTGTCTTTTTGCGTGGGCTGAGCCTTTTCTTCTTTGCCCAGCAAACTCCTGCTCTTTAGAACCCTGGTCAAAATCACTTCCTCCTGAAGACTTCTCTGACTCTGGAAACAGAATTAGTCACATTCTTGTGTAAAAGAAATAAATTTATGGACAGTGCTATGATTAGCATGAAGTGGGTTCTATTTTAGGTGTCTCTTCAAGATTTTCTCTCTTCCTGTAGACTGTCTTTAGATTGCATGTTATTCAGCCTAATACCATCCACCACTCCTAGTTCATTGGTTGCCATGCAAGACAACTAATGAATTATCTTGCAGAAAATATGTTAATTTAGTGAAAAAATACCAAAAGCTACAGTATCAGGGTATTATTAGAAATTTCACATTATTTTGATAAATTAGTTAAGAGTTAAAAAACCAGACTGACATCAAGATCAGTAATTCAGTTGTGCTGTATTAAAACAAAAACACTTTCTTAGTATATTTGTCTGGGAAAACCTAATTTTTCAATTTAATCAGTGTTTAGGGCATTTTTTTTAGTTCTTGATGAGTGGAATATTTCATCAGAGACATCTACCTATACAGGATAAAATATGTGTAATATTTGAGCAAACTTTAATACTATTTCCTATTGCACCAAGACTCAGTGAGAAGAAATGGGTGGATCACTTTTACAGGTACACTAAACTGACAGTAAAGGAGTTCCTGTCACTATAGCACATTTCCCAAATATCCATGAGTTCTTAGACTACTTGGTCTTTTCTATCCAGCCAAAGGAGGTTCTGCTCTTCAGTGGATTCAAACAAGTATCACTGGACAGATATGTGTTCCCTTAGGAAGTCCCAGGCACTCAGTCTTATAAGGTCAGTTCAATGTAGACAAGAGTCACCAGCATATCCAAGCACATCAAGCATGGTCAAGTGTGCATAAAACTCATCTATTTTAAAACATTGGGTTAAGCGTTATTCATTCATTTAACATTTCAATGTTAGCAGCAATTTTTCAACTACTTTCAACAAGTTGCATCAGCAAGATTTGCATTCACAGTTTACAGACTCAAATACTGTGGAGGATGGTCTGAAGACCAGAGAAAGTCTGACCACAGAGTATTATTTCCTTGGAATACACTAAGTCCTAAGTGGGGAATGTCTGAAAAATAATTAAGTAACTTAACTAAGAAACTCAGTCATCTTGGTTGGCCTCCTACAGATACATTTTTGTTGAAAAGTGAGGGAGGAAGGTATTAGTTTATACTTTAAATGTCTCAATCTCTATTATATCTGTATATAATTAATATCTATTGTATATAATAGTTCTGTGTAATTTTATTACATGTGTAGATTGCACATGTAGGTCCCTGTAACCACTACCACAATCAAGATATGGAACTATTTCACTATTCCACTACTCTGAAGATCTCCCTCACACTACTTTATAATTAATCACATTCATCCTACCTGCCTCACCACTATCACTAACCTCTAATCTGTTTTCCACCTCTATAATTTTTTTTATTTTAGGAGTGTTATGTAAATGAAATAATTAGTATGTAATCTTTTAAGATTGAGTCTTTCACACACCATAATGCCCTTGTATTGATAGTTCATTCCTTGTTATTGGAATAGTATTTCGTGATATAAATGTACAATAGTTTGTTTAATCATTCACCTATTTTAGTATATTTTGGTTGTTTCTTGTTTGGGGCTATTTCCTATGGACTTTAAAATATATTAACAGCTCTTTTATAATCTTTATCTTTTAAGCCAACATCTGAGACTTTGTAAGATTTTGTAAGTTATTTCTATTGACTAGATTCTTTAAAATCTTAATTATGGGCTGTGTCATATTTTCATGGCCTAACTGTTTCACCCTCCTCTTTTTTTTCCTTGTTCTTTCTTATTTTTCTTTTCTTTTTGGCAAAATGGCTTTGTTTAATTAATGAAACAGGCTTCCATATTAGCTTCTGGTGTGGTCTTCTAGATATTTTCATGGTGTTTTATAATGTCTTCTTTCCCTAGTTATACTTTTATTTTCATTCTATGTGTATCACAATTCCTCACATTTCCTTTACATTTGGCAAAGGAATCAGACAATAAATTTTTATGGGAAAGTATTATTCTTGGCAATAAAGATAACACTGTATTTCAAGTCATACATTCTTAGGGTTAAGTAAGAGTTTTTATTTTTAGCTATATTTTAATTTTTATACTAAGAGATTTAAATGTGTTTTTATTATAGTTGCAGCTCAAAGTTGGTTTTACTTTGAAGCATTTCCTGAACTTCAAGGCAGAGGCAAATATTCCAACTATGATATTCCCCAAATTATACAAATATGTCTATTACTATACTGATTATATTTATTATGTTGATTGATTATAGTCATTTTGAGCATAGGCTTTTTCCTGTTTGATATTACAACCCTAAGGTAATGCACATGAAGGTAGGAAATGTATTTTAATCATTTCTATATATTTTATTTATTTATTTATTTATTGCTTAATTTAATTTAAGTTTGAGTTCTGGGATACATGTGCAGGATGTGCAGGTTTGTTACATAGGTAAACATGTGCCATAGTGGTTTGCTATACAGATCAACTCATCACCTAAGTATTAAGCCCAGCATCCGTTAGCCATTCTTCCTGATGCTTTGCCTCCCCCTGCTCCGCACCCCCTAACTCCGACAGGCCCCAGTGTGTGTTTTTACCCTCCCTGTGTCCATGTGTTTTCATTGTTCAGCTCCCGCCTATAAGTGAGACCATGCGATGTTTTGTTTTCTGTTCCTGTGTTAGTTTGCTGGGGATAACAGCTTCCAGCTCCATCCATGTCCCTGCAAAGAACATAATCTCATTCCTTTTTATGGCTGCATAATTTTCCACGATGTTATATGTACCACATTTTCTTTATTCAGTCTATCATTGATGGGCATTTGGGTTGATTCCATTTCCTTGCTATTGTGAATAGTGCTGCAGTGAACATACATGCACATGTATCTTTGTGATAGAATTATGTATATTCCTTTGGGTATACGTCCAGTAATGGGATTGCTGGGTCAAATGGTATTTGTGGATCTCAACCTTTGAGGAAGCACCACACTATCTTCCAAAATGATTGAACTAATTTACATTCCTACCAACAGTGTAAAAGTCTTCCTATTTCTCTGCAACCTCACCAGCATATGTTGTTTCTTGACTTTTTAATAATTGCCATTCTTACTGGTATGAGATGATATCTCATTGTGGTTTTGATTTGCTTTTCTCTAATGATCAGTGATGTGGGGTTTTTTTTCATATGTTTGTTGGTCACATAAATGTCTTCTTTTGAGAAGTGCCTGTTTATGTTCTTTGCCTACTTTTTAATGGGGTGGTTTGTAATTTTCTTGTAAATTTGTTTATGTTCCTCGTAGATTTTGGATATTAGCTCTTTGTCATATGGATAGACTGCAAATTTTTTCTCCTGCTCTGTGGGTTGTCTGTTCACTCTGATGATAGTTTCTTTTGCTGTGCTGAAGCACTTTAGTTTAATTAGATCTCATTTGTCAATTTTTGCTTTTGTTGCAACTGCTTTTGAAGTTTTTATTATAAAATCTTTGCCAGCCAGGTCTGGTGGCTCACGCCTGTAATCCCAGAACTTTGGGAGGCCAAGGATGGCAGATCACGAGGTCAGGAGATTGAGACCATCGTGGCTAATACAGTGAAACCTTGTCTCTACTAAAAATACAAAAAATTAGCCAGGCGTGGTGGCATGCACCTGTAGTCTCAGCTACTCGGGAGGCTGAGGCAGGATAATTGCTTGAACCCGGGAGGCAGAGGTTGCAGTGAGCCAAGATCATGCCACTGCACTCCAGCCTGGGCAACAGAGCAAGACTCCATCTCAAAACAAAAACAAAAAACCTTTGCCCATGCTTATGTCCTGAATTGTATTGCCTAGATTTTCTTCTAGGGGTTTTATAGTTTTGGGTTTTATATTTAAGTCTTTAATCCATCTTGAGTTAATTTTTGTATAAGGTGTAAGGAAGGGGTCCAGTTTCAATTTTCTGCATGTGGCCAGCCAGTTCTCCAAGCATGATTTATTACATAGGGAATCCTTTTCCCACTGCTTGCTTTTGCTAGGTTTGTTGAAGATAAGATGGTTGTAGGCTGAGTTCTTTATTCCATTTTATTGGTCTATGTGTCTGTTTTTGTGTCAGTACCATGCTGTTTTGGTTACTGTAGTCTTGTAATATAGTTTGAAGTTGGATAGCACGATGCCTCCATCTTTGTTCTTTTTGCTTAGGAATGCCTTGGCTATATGGGCTCTTTTTTGCTTCCATATGCATTAAAATAGTTTTTTTCTAATTCTGTGAAGAATGTCAGTGGTAGTTCGATGGGAATAGCATTGAATCTGTAAATTACTTTGGGCAGTATAGCCATTTTCACGATATTGATTCTTCCTATCCATGAGCATGGAATGTTTTTCTATTTGTTTGTGTCCTTTCTGCTTTCCTTGAGCAGTGGTTTGCAGTTCTTTAAGTGGTTCTTCACTTCCCTTGTTAGCTGTATTCCTAGGTATTTTCTTCTCTTTGTAGCAATTGTGAACTGTAGTTCATTCATGATTTGGCTCTCTGCTTGTCTGTTGTTGGTGTATAGGAATGCTAGCAATTTTTGCACATCGATTTTGTATCCTGAGACTTTGCTGAAGTTGCTTATCAGCTTCAGAAGCTTTTGGGCTGAGATGATAGGGTTTTCAAGACACAGGATCATGTCATCTGCAAACAAAGACAGTTTAACTACCTCTCTTCCTATTTTAATATGCTTTATTGCTTTCTCCTGCCTGATTGCTCCAGCCAGAACTTCCAATATGATGTTGAATAAAAGTGGTGAGAGAGGGCATCCTTGTCTTGTGCCAATTATCAAGGAAAATGCTTCTAGCTTTTGCTCATTCAGTATGATATTGGCTGTGGGTTTGTCATAGATGGCTGTTATTATTTTGAAGTCTGTTCCTTCAATACCTAGTTTATTGAGAGTTTTTAACATGAAGGGATGTTGGATTTTTATCAAAGGCTTTTTCTGCATCTATTGAAATAATCGTGTGGTTTTTGTCTTTAGTTCTGTTTATGTGATTAATTATGTTTATTGATTTGTGTATTTTGAACTAGCCTTGCATCCCAGGAATGAAGCTGACTTGATCATGGTGGATAAGCTTTTTGATGTGCTGTTGGATTTAGTTTGCCAGTATTTTATTGAGGATTTTTGCATCGAGGTTCATTAGGGATATTGGCCTGAAGTTTTCTTTTTTTGTTGTATTTCTGCCAGATTTTGGTATCAGGATGATGCTGGTCTCATAAAATAAGTTAGGGAGGAGACCCTCCTTTACACTTGTTTGGAGTAGTTTCAGAAGGAACGGTACCAGCTCCTCTTTGTACATCTGGTAGAATTCAGCTGTTAATCCATCTGGTCTCGGGCTTTTTGTTTGGTTGGTGGGCTATTTATTACTATCTCAATTTCAGAACTTGTTATTGGGCTATTCAGGGATTTAACTTCTTTCTGGTTTAGTCTTTGGAGGGTGTATGTGTCCAGGAATTTAGCCACTTCCTCCAGATTTTCTAGTTTATTTTTTTAGAGGTGTTTATAGTATTCTCTGCTGTTTTTTTTGTATTTCTGTGGGGTCAGCAGTGATATCCCCTTTATCATTTTTCATTGTGTCTCCTTGATTCTTCTCTCCTTTCTTCCTTATTAGTATAGCTATTTTATTAATTTTTTTTCAAAAAACCAGCTCCTGGATTATTTTTGAAGGGTTTTTTTGTGTCTCTATTTTCTTCAATTCTGCTCTGATGCTGGATATTTCTTCTCTTCTGCTAGCTTTGGGGTTTGTTTGCTCTTGGTTCTCTAGTTCTTTTAGTCAGATGTTAGGATGTTGATCTGAAATCTTTCTAGCTTTTTGATGTGGGCGTTAGTGCTGTAAATTTTCCTCTTAACACTGCTTTAGCTGCATCCCAGAGATTCTGATATGTTGTCTCTTTGTTTTCATTGATTTCAAAGAACTTCTTGACTTTTGCCTTGATTTCATTATTTACCCAGGAGTCATTCAGAAGCAGGTTGTTCAATTTCCATGTAGTTGTATGGTCTTTAGTGAGTTTCCTAATATTGAGTTCTATTTTGATTGTGCTGTGGTCTGAGTGACTATTTATTATGATTTCAGTTCTTTTGCATTTGCTGGGGAGTGTTTTACTTCCAATTATGGGATTGATTTTAGAGTTAAGTGCCTTGTGCTGAGAAGAATGTATATTCTGTTGTTTTTGGGTGGAGAATTCTGTAGATATCTATCAGGTCCACTTGATCCAGAGCTGAGTTCAAGTCCTGAATATCTTTGTTAACTTTCTGTCTCAATGATATGTCCAATATTGACAGTGGGGTGTTAAAATCTCCCACTTTTATTGTGGGGGAGTCTAAGTCCCTTTGTAGATCTCTAAGTACGTGTTTTACAAATCTGGGTGCTCTTGTATTAGGTGCATAGATATTTAAGATAATTAGCTCTTCTTGTTGAATTAAACCCTTTACCATTATGTAATGTCCTTCTTTGTCTTTTTTGATCTTTGTTGATTTAGTGTCTATTTTGTCAGAAACTAGGATTGTGACCCCTGGTTTTTTCTGCTTTCCATTTGCTTGGTAAATTTTTTTCCATCTCTTTATTTTGAGTCAATGTGTGTCTTTGCACATGAGATGGGTCTCTTGAATACAGCACACTATTGGATCTTGACTCTTTATCAAGTTTGCCATTCCGTGTCTCTTAATTGGAGCATTTAGCTCATTTGCATTTAAGGTTAATATTGTTATGTGTGAATATGATCCTGTCATCATGATGCTAGGTGGTTCTTTTGCAGATTTGTTGATGTAGTTGCTTCATAGTGTTGGCCTTTGCACTTCAGTGTGTTTTTGTAGAGGCTGGTAACAGTTTTTCCTTGTCATATTTAGTGCTTTTCTCAGGAGTTCTTGAAAGGCAGGCCTGGTGGTGACAGATTACCTCAGCATTTGCTTTTCTGAAAAGGGTTTTATTTCTCTTTATTTATGAAGCTTAGTTTGGCCAGATATTAAATTCTGGGTTGGAAATTCTTTTCCTTAAGAATGTTGAATGTTGGCCTCCAGTCTCTTCTGGCTCGTAGAGGTTCTGCTGAGAGATATGCTGTTAGTCTGATGGGCTTCCCTTGGTAGGTGATCTGGCCTTTCTCTCTGGCTGCTGTTAATATTTTTCCTTCATTTTGACCTTGGAGAACCTGATGATTATGTGTCTTGGGGTTGATCTTCTCATGGAGTATCTTACTGGGGTTCTCTGGATTTCCTGAATTTGAATGTTGGCCTGTCTTGCTAGGTTGGGGAAGTTGTTCTGGATGATATCCTGAAGTATGTTTTCCAACTTGGTTCTGTTCTCCTCATCTCTTTCAGGTACCCCAATCAGTCATAGGTTTGATCTTTTTGCATAATCCTGTACTTCTCAGTGGTTTTGTTCATTCCTTTTCATTCTTTTTCTCTAATGTTGACTACCTTTCTTATTTCAGCAAGATAGTCTTAGAGCTCTGAAATTCTTTCCTCCTCTTGGTCTATTCAGCTATTGATACTTGTGGTTGCATTGTGAAGTTCTTGTGTTGTTTTTCAGCTCCATCAGGTCAGTTATGCTCCTCTCTAAACTGGTTGTTCTGGTTAACAGCTCCTGTAATGTTTTGTCATGATTCTTAGCTTCTTTGCATTGGGCTAGAACATGCTCCTTTAGTTCAGTGAAGTTTGTTATTACACACCTTCTGAAGCCTACTTCTGTCAATTCATCTATCTCAGCCTCTGCCCAGTTTTGTGCCCTTGCTGGAGAGGTGTTGCAGTCATTTGGAGGAGAAAATGAGCTTTGACTTTTTGAGTTTCCAGCATTTTTTTTCATTGATTCTTTCTCATCTTTCTGAGTTTATCCAGCTTCAATCTTTGAGGCTGCTGTCCTTTGGATGGGGTTTTGGTTAGGACTTTCTTGTTGATGGTTTTGTTTTTGCTTTCTGTTTGTTTTTCTTTTAACAGTCAGGCTCCTCCTCCATAGAGCTGCTGCAGTTTGCTAAGGGTCTACTCCAGACCCTATTTACCTGGGTTTCTCCTGCACCTGGAGGTGTCTGCAGGCTGCAGAACAGCAAAGATGGCTGCCTGATTCTTCCTTTGGGATCTCTGTCCTAGGGGGACACTGACCTGATGCCAGTGGGAACACTCCTTTATAAGGTGGCTTGCGACCCCTGTGGTGGGGGTCTCCTCCAGTCAGGAGGCATGGGATCTGGGACCCACTTAATGAGGCACTCTGGCTGCCCCTTAGAAGAGTGGGTGCACTGCACTGGGAGGAATCCCACTTGTCCAAACTGCCTAGATTCCTCAGAGCCAGCAGCCATTTCTGTATTTTTCATAGCACTTGTTACATAGCACATGTTTACAAAATACTTATTGAATAAATAGATAATCAAATTAAAGAATAAGTGTATGAAAATGAGATTTGTCTGTATTCCCTAGTTATCCTAAACAGTATCTTGAACATTATAAGCACTTATGAAGTATATAAAAAGATAATTGAAATATTTCATGGAAATCCTTTTAATTTCACTAATTGAAATTCTATCTGCAATGACTATTCCCTGAGCCTTCTATTTTTAGGCAGAGGGAGGCAATATAAAAAACACTAACCTAAGAATCAATTTTAGCTCTGGTACTCAATTTTTGTTTTTGTGGTATGATTTTGGACAATTCACTTTTACCTTTACAACCCTCAGTATATTCATCTGTAAAATGAAGATAAGACCCAGCCTACACAGTTCCCAGATTGTTCTGAGGATGGGATGAGATGCTGTAATTAAAAGGATTTTGTAAATAAAAGAGCCTGGTAGAAACATATTGAAATAAATATATTGTCTACAATTTTTGATACAAGTTTTGAAATTAAAAGATAACATTGCATGTTTTTATTATGTACTATATGATGTCTAATATAATGCTTTGAAGTATATTATGGAATATCAATTTTATTACATTCAAATGGAAATAATGACTTGAAGGCTCTTTTATTGTGGTGGTCAAACCAATTAGGAGTGTATAGAAGGTCTTTAGCTCATTTCTAAAAATAAATGTTTATGAATACACAAAAATAGTTTGATACATTTAAAAATAAATTTTGAAGTGCTAAAATATTCAAATTCTAATTTATGCTAAAGTATGTATTCTGGGAAAGTGTTTTAAAAATTAGATATGTCTAAGTGTTTATTTTTGAGCCAGAAGTGATGATCAGGTCCTTACATATTTTACTTTACATTTCACTGGGAGAAAGTCACATTTCTGAATTCCAGACTAATAGTTGATGTTGGGGCTAATTTAGTTTTTAGCCAAACAGAAATCCAAAATTCCAGTTCCAGCACTTGGCTATATCAGAATTTCCCAGTTTCCTTGAAAATTTTTATCCTTTATAGATATTTTGAAGGTGCATTTTCAAATTTGTCTTCAAGTCACTAAAGTAACTCTCAATAGAAATAAGTAAATTGAGTTCACCAATTATTCTAATATTAAAATTTAATTAAATTTTTAAATAAAATTTATGCAAAATTTGAAGCAATATCTAAGTATAAGTCTCCCTTGGAGACTTTCTTTTCTTAGAATAGAAAGGCCAGGCATAAGAGCAAGAGTAATTAAAAACTTATCAGCAACCTTTTAAAATCAAGTGTCTGAAAAAGTTATTTAATTTAGGTTAGAATTTAACACAACTACTCTTGATTGGCTGTTAAATGAGTATCCATTAATTATTAAAAATAACATTTGAAGGTTAACATTTAGCAATTTTGATGAAATATACTCTGTATTGAAGTAGAACACTTTTCACCAAATATGTTTAAATACATATTTGGTAAAGGCTTCCATTTTGTTACTTAAGGCCTCACCTAAAAGGGTCTCATTTTATACTGCTGTGTTCAGATTAACTTGTTGATAGAATATTAGAATAGAAATAGTGAAGTACGCTTTTGAAAACAGCATTTAAGTTAGAACTTAAATTTTCAACAATGTTTAAATTTGTTTTAAGGTATATATCACAACTCTATTAATGCCAATTTGAGAATTCAATCAGCATTTATTGGACATTTATTGAATACTACTATGTTAAAAGCATAATGAGAATACCATGGGGGACTCAGGAAGGTAAAATATATTTTATTTGCTTTCAAAAAATGCCTGCATTAAAATAAGAGGAATGCACAGTAGGATGTAATAAGATGCAAAATGGGCCAGAAAAAATAATAAGGTTGTTTAGGAAAAATCCAAAATTACATTTGACTGGAGTGACTGCGAGAGATTCCATGAAAGAATATCCTAAGTAGCCTTTGAAGGGTGAAAAACAAGAGTATATGAACACTGAGCAGGAAAAACAAACTATATGCAGAGCAGTTTGAACAAAACTATAGAAGAGAAACCATGGAGGCAAGTTTGGGAATCGGTGGAGAGTGTTTGCTTGATTGTTGACAAAAGGTCCTGGTAAAGGGAAAGAGACCTGGTAAAGGGAAATAACTTTTATAAAGTATATTTATGATTTCAATCTAATTATATAAATATGAATTTATGAAGCTAATTAATGGATGACTAGCTAATTTTAAAAAGTAATGTTACCCTTCACGGAAGATGTAAAATAGATCTCTTTAAAAAGCATCCAGTTTCACTCATAATTTTTATTCACTTATAAAGCAGACATTTATATAAAGTACTCAAGACAGTATATCTATTTTGGAAAATTAGATCATCTATACAAATACAATTAACATTAAAGGAGCTCTACCAGTCAGTTCTTTCACCAAATTTGGGTTCAGGAAATTATAAACTTCATTTCAAAGCCCTTCACTGATTAGCATCATCTGGTTTTATCTTTAGCAAAAGCTTGAGTCTGAATCACAGCAGTCAGGAGAAAGGGTAGACTTTGAAAATATAAAATTTTACCAAACATGGAAGAGAAATAACAATAACAAAAACAATGATAATAATATAAAGCATACGTTTTACAGTTTCAGAGAGATTTGTATAGTTGAAACAGCATGGCTTTGAAGTCAGACCATCGTTTTCCAGCAATTTTGCACATCGTGCAACTTAAATTATCTGAGTTTTAGTTGACTTGGTTGTAAAACAGAACAATTAACTGCTTACTTTCCATGATTATTGTGTGGATTGAATATGGTAACATAAAAATAAAATATTGAGTTCATGGTAGAGGCAAAACAATTGTTAATCTTCCTCATCTATTTCTCATACACATTATCATAACAACCTTGTGTAAGTGGTTATTATCTATTCATCCACCATATATTTTATGAGCTCTTACTCACATTGACCCTGCATTGGTCTAGAAGGGGAACATCAAACAACAAAACATACAAAAATGCCACATTTATTAAGATTTTAATAACAAAGCTCTGGGAGAAAATTAGTAAATGGAAAAAGAAAAAAAATGCATGGTATCTTTTTCCTTGAGTTTCAATAACTCACCCAGCATATGCTTTAATTTAGATTGGTTGGTTTTGCTTTATTTTAAAACAAGAAATTCTTTTTGGATCCACAGATTTATTTTACCCTTGTATTAGTCAGGGATCTCCAGAGAAACAGAAACAACAGGAGATCTCTCTCTCTCTCTCTCTCTTTCTCTCTCTCACACACACACACACACACACGCACAGAAGAGTTGATGTTGTTGCATCTTGAATCCAAAGGCAGTTGGGAAACAGAATTCTCTCTTCCTCAGAAACCTTAGTCTGTTTTTCTCAAAGCTTTCAATTGACTGGATGAGGCCCACCCACATTATAGAGGGTAATGTGCTTTACTCAGAGTTTACTTTTAATGATTTAAAATGTTAAGCTAATCCAAAAAATATTTTCACTGTGACATCTATACTGGTGTTTGACCAAATATCTGGGTACCGTGGCCTAGCCAAGTTGACATATAAAATTAACCTCATGATTTTTTATGTTAGGAAAATTTTATTCAGGGATTAAGTATAACTTCTTTTTCATTTATTGTATTTCCAGTAATTTTCTGAAGTTTAAAATTTAATAGGTGCAGATTTGTAAGGTTATAAAATCATATAGGCTGAAGTGGGTATACTAGTGAAAACTATGTAGACATCATATTTTAAAAACATTTCAAAACTAAAATGAAGGAGAAAAAAATTATGATTTTAAGTACTTAAGCACACTGTGTCTTTTAAAATATGATTTCGATATAGTTTCGCTAGGCACCTATTTCAGACAACATGAAGAGTTTTATACCCTGCTAAGATGGATGTGTTCAACAGACATTTATTCTCAAGTATGTAAAGACAGGAACTACGGTACTGCGGATGCAATATAGGTTTACTCTTTTTTTGTTGTTGTTGCGATGGAGTTTTGCTCTTGTTGCTCAGTCTGGAGTGCAATGGTGCAATCTTGGCTCACTGCAACCTCTGCCTCATGGGTTCAAGCAATTCTCCTGCCTCAGCCTCCTGAGTAGCTGGGATTACAGGCACCCACCCCACACCCAGCTAATTTTGTATTTTTGGTAGATACAGGGCTTCTCCATGTTGGTCAGGCTGATCTTGAACGCCCAACCTCAGGTGATCCGCCCGCCTCGGCCTCCCAAAGTGCTGGGATTACAGGCATGAGCCACCACACCCAGCCAGGTTTACTCTTAAAAAGGAAAAGATATATAAATCTAAAATAAAAGTTGAAATAAAAAAATTAAAAATTAAAAGGGAGCTATTTATCATTAAAGATAAATTATGAAGCAAATCATTTGTTCCTGAAAACACTTTATTCATGGGCTGCATTATAAATTATCTTTGTGTTGAAGAGAACACTAGATGGAATTACATATTTTGAGAAACAGAAAGTAAATAATAGCCTATGTCCTGACTAATCATATTAAGGCAAAAGTTCCATGCCTATTTTTGACTGTTCAGTTCTCTACCATATGTGATCATTTTACCTCATGAGTTTTCAAAATTATTTCTTAAATAAATGACTACTTCCTTGTAGTTAAATTGTTTTATAAGAGAAGCTTCTTTGTCCATCTGAAATGTAAACTATATTGGAATAAATGTCAAAGTTTGTGAAATAAGTTTGAGATAATTGCATGAAGTCATAAAAGAAGGCTAGGGTAGGAAAGAGATAATTCATAAATCGTACCTGTTGTTAATCACTTCAGATGTAATTAAACTCAGCCAACTCTCTGAGCTTGTGTTTTTCTTCCTGTCTTGCCTCACACTGAATTATTCATTTTGAAAAATATGTAAAAACTCAGGCTGGGCGTGGTGGCTTACAGGTGTAATCCCAGCACTTTGGGAGGCCAAGGCGGGCGGATCACAAGATCAGGAGATCAAGACCATCCTGGCTAACACAGTGAAACCCCGTCTCTACTAAAAATACAAAAAATTAGCTGGGCGTGGTGGCGGGCGCCTGTAGTCCCAGCTACTCGGGAGGCTGAGGCAGGAGAATGGTGGGAACCCGGGAGGTGGAGCTGGCAGTGAGCCAAGATCACGCCACTGCACTATAGAGCGAGAATCTGTCTCATCTCAAGAAAAACAAACAAAAACAAAACAAAACAAAACCCAAAACAAAAGAAAACAACTCGTGGTAATTTCTAGTGTTGGAGATGACTTTTAAGTGTTATCTCCCTGATGGAGCTGCTTATGGCAAAGTTAAATTACAGAAAATGATTCCCAACAGTTTCTGAACCTAAAGCACAACACAGTTCTTTGTGTTGACAGCAAATATAAGTCCTTTATAAACAACAAACATCCCCCTCCATATTGCCTGACAATTAAGAACAAATGAATGGGGGATGGAGAAGCTATGGAAAAAGTTGGTGGTGAAGATGAAAATGTAGTACTCTAAGATTAAACAACAGGAGGTATTATAACATTAGACTAGAATTAAAAAATTCAAGCTTTGTCAAAAGAAAAATAATAATACAATTCACAAAAATAAGAGAAGGAGAGAGAATGCTACTTTCTCACCTTTCATAATGCAGAATAATCTAAGTTCTCTAATATTGAAATATTCAGGACAAAGAAAAAACATGAAGTTTTAAATATTCTTTTCATAATGTCTTTTATTAATATTAAAAGGTATTTTTTTCTTACAACTTAGGTTTAAAGAAAAAACATTTTATCTTAGATCTTGCAATTTCATTTTCATTTCTTTTTTATCCATAAAAATTATATTTAATACTTTGTTAATAACAGGATGAATAATGCATTTTCATTTTAATGAAATAATCTGTGTCCCTTCTGTGTATATGCATAAACAGATGTATAGAGTGATGTTCCCTAATTTTAGTCATGATTATTCTTTTCTTTTTGTGTTTTCTTCTGAAATTTTTATAAAGAACATTATATTTTTAAGAAAAAATATTTATTATTCTAAAAAGAAAGAAATTGAGACTCAGAGAAGTGAAATAACTTGAGAAGTTGACATAAAACGCTACCTGACTTCAAACTATACTACAAAGTTAAAGTAACCAAAACAGCATGGTACTGGTACCAAAACAGAAATACAGACCAATGGAACAGAACAGATCCCTCAGAAATAATGCCGCATATCTACAACCATCTGATCTTTGACAAACCTGACAAAAACAAGCAATGGGGAAAGGATTCCCTATTTAATAAATGGTGCTGGGAAAACTGGCTAGCCATATGTAGAAAGCTGAAACTGGATCCCTTCCTTACAACTTACAAAAAAATTAATTCAAGATGGATTAAAGACTTAAATGTTAAATCTAAAACCATAAAAACCCTAGAAGAAAACCTAGGCAATACCATTCAGGACATAGGCATGGGCAGGGACTTCATGTCTAAAACACCAAAAGCAATGGCAACAAAAGCCAAAATTGACAAATGGGATCTCATTAAACTAAAGAGCTTCTGCACAGCAAAAGAAACTACCATCAGAGTGAACAAGCAACCTACAGAATGGGAGAAAATTTTTGCAGTCTACCCATCTGACAAAGGGCTAATATCCAGAATCTACAATGAACTCAAACAAATTTACAAGAAAAAAACAAACAACCCCATCAAAAAGTGGGCGAAGGATATGAACAGACACTTCTCAAAAGAAGACATTTATGCAGCCAAAAGACAAATGAAAAAATGCTCATCATCACTGGCCATCAAAGGAATGCAAATCAGAACCACAATGAGATATCATCTCACACCTGTTTTCTAACTGGCGACCATTAAAAAGTCAGGAAACAACAGGAAACAACAGGTGCTGGAGAGGATGTGGAGAAATAGGAACACTTTTACACTGTTGGTGGGACTGTAAACTAGTTCAACCATTGTGGATGTCAGTGTGGTGATTCCTCAGGGATCTAGAACTAGAAATACCATTTGATCCAGCCATCCCATTACTGGGTATATACCCAAAGGACTATAAATCATGCTGCTATAAAGACACATGCACACGTATGTTTATTGTGGCACTATTCACAATAGCAAAGACTTGGAAGCAACCCAAATGTCCAACAATGATAGACTGGATTAAGAAAATGTGGCACATATACACCATGGAATACTATGTAGCCATAAAAAATGATGAGTTCATGTCCTTTGCAGGGACATGGATGAAGCTGGAAACCATCATTCTCAGCAAACTATTGCAAGGACAAAAAACCATACACCGCATATTCTCACTCATAGGTGGGAATTGAACAATGAGAACACATGGGCACAGGAACATCACACACTGGGGCCTGTTGTGGGGTGGGGGGAGGGGGGAGGGATAGCATTAGGAGGTACACCTAATGTTAAATGACGAGTTAATGGGTGCAGCACACCAACATGGCACATGTATACATATGTAACTAACCTGCACGTTGTGCACATGTACCCTAAAACTTAAAGTATAATAAAAAATAAAAATAAAAAAATTACTCTAAATACTTTTCTAGGGCAGTTTTAAAATATTGGCTCAAATAGTTCACATTTTTTCTATTTTTTATTATTTTAAAAATTAGATAAAATATGAACAGATTACTTTTTTAGTATTTTTGAAAGGACCTAGTAAGAGTAATTGATAATTTATAGGTCACTTAGTTTCAGGTCTAATACAATGATAGAAAATTATAGCCTAAATATTCTGAGAACCACAAACCACTGCTCAATTTCAAACAAATGGAAGAACATTCCATGCTCAAGGATAGAAAGAATCAATATTGTGAAAATGGACATACTGCCCAAAGTAATTTATAGATTCAATGCTATTCCCATCAAGGTACCACTGACTTTCTTCACAGAATTAGAAAAAACTACTTTAAATTTCATATGGAACCAAAAAAGATCCCGTATAGCCAAGACAATGCTAAGCAAAAAGAACAAAGCTGCAGGCATCATGCTACCTGACTTCAAACTATACTACAAGGCTACAGTAACCAAAACAGCATGGTACTGGACAAAAACAGACATATAGACCAATGGAACAGAACAGAGGCCTCAGAAATAATGCCACACATCTATAACCATCTGATCTTGACAAACATGATAAAAACAAGTGAGGGGAAAGGATTCCCTGTTTAATAAATGGTGTTGGGAAAACTGGCTAGCCTTATGCAGAAAACTGAAACTGGACCCCTTACTTACACCTTATACAAAAATTAACTCAAGATAGATTAAAGACTTAAACGTAAGACCTAAAACCATAAAAACCCTAGAAGAAAACCTAGGCAATACCATTCAGGACATTGGCATGGGCAAAGACTGCATGACCAAAAGGAATGGCAACAAAAGCCAAAATAGACAAATGGGATCTAATTAAACTAAAGAGCTTCTGCACAGCAAAAGAAACTATCATCAGAGTGAACAGGCAACCTACAGAATGGGAGATAAATTTTGCAATCTATCCATCTGACAAAGGGCTACTATCCAGAATCTACAAGGAACTTAAACAAATTTACAAGAAAAAAACAACCCCATCAAAAAGTGAGCAAAGTATTTGAACAGACACTTCTCGAAAGAAGACATTTATGCAGACAACAGACACATGAAAAAAATGCTCATGATCACTGGTCGTTAGAGAAATGCAAATCAAAACTGCAATGAGATACCATCTCACTCCAGTTAGAATGGCGATCATTAAAAAGTTAGGGAACAACAGATGCTGGAGAAGATGTGGATAAATAGGAACAGTTTTACACTCTTATTGGGAGCATAAATTAGTTCAACCATTGTGGAAGACAGTATGGTGATTCCTCAAGGATCTAGAACCAGAAATACCATTTGACCCAGCAATGCCATTACTGGGTATATACCCAAAAGATTATAAATCATTCTACTATAAAAACACATGCACATGTATGTTTATTGCAGCACTATTCACAATAGCAAAGACTTGGAACCAACCCAAGTGCCCATCAATGATAGGCTGGATAAAGAAAATGTGGCACATATATACCATAAAATACTATGCAGCCATAAAAAAGGATGATTTCATGTCCTTTGGAGGGACAGGGATGAAGCTGGAAACCATCATTCTCAGCAAACTAACACAAGAACAGAAAACTTGAACAAAACACCACATGTTCTCACTCATAAGTGGGAGCTGAACAATGAGAACACATGGACACAGGGAAGGGAACATCACATACCAGGGCCTGTTGGGGGTAGGAGCTAGGGGAGGGATAGCATTAGGAGAAATACCTAATTAGATGATGGGTTGATGGTTGCAACAAACCACCATGGCACGTGTATACCTATGTAACAAACCTGCATGTTCTGGACATGTATCCCAGAAGTTTAAGTATAATAATAATAAAAAAATCTTAAACACTTTTTTTCACTTGCTTTCTTTCTTTAATGTGAGTGGGCCTACACATAGTGAGAGAGAGAGGAGAGAGAGAGAGACAGACAGACAGAGAGACAGAGAGAGAGCAAATAGAGAGGGAGGGGAGAGAAAGGAGAAATAAATTATGGGTTTTTGTTTCTTACCTGTACCATCAGTTCCTTTTGACTCCATGATATTCTATTTGAATTCTCTCTATAGATATGTGTGTGTGTATGCATATATATGCATATAATTACACTTTAAATCTGTATTTATCTCACATAAGTGTTCCCAGTCTTTATCTATACAAGGTTATAGAAACTAGAAGGCAGGCCATATATTTTAGAGTAATCTATTTTAGAGCACCTGTAAATTGTATTCAACATAACAGTTTTATTAAATTCCTTGACTTAAAGTGTTACTGAATTATTTTGTGATCTACAATTCTCAGGTGAAGAGACAAAAATCCCATCAAGCTGAGGAGACGGGAATCTAATTCCACAGAACAAAATGTGCTTTTAATAAACTGTGACAAGAAAGGCAAGAAATATAAAAAGGTTTAGGAGATAAAAATCTGGGTCTTAGACTAATGAAAACATTCAATTCACATGTCACAACCAAATAAAACAGCAGAATATGGTGAGTGGACACTGACCTCTCAAGAATACATCTTCTGTACACCATAGCAAACTCACCTAGAAGAACAATGAATCCCTGGCAAACATTTATCTTACAAAGAAATGCAATAAATTGGTTGAAAGAATACACTTTCAATGCAGCAACAAAATGAAAGCAACCTAGCTAAAGGAATCTACTTTACACAGTGTGAAATATAATACTTGTTGAACTGTAAGCCACTTCTGTGCATACCTAGCCACATATACATAGTGTGGAGAGGACTGGTTGTGGGCTGCTTCTGTCTTCCAATTGGATGCTACTTGAAACTTAAATTACAAAGTAAATATTCTGATTGTAAGTAACATGCACATTTACAGAAAAATAAAAAAATTAAAGAAAAGTAAAATGCCAGAAAGTAGAATTAAGAAAAATATTCATATTCTTGAGACAATTATTAACATTTTTGTGCATTCATTTTTATATTTTTTGTTAGAAACTTTCAGCATAATTGAGATAATATTTTTATGTAATTTTGTATTCTTTTCACTTAACTTCATATTTTCTTAGTTTACTTTCTATGAATGTTATTTTTGAAACCAAGGGCAAGAATAGTTTGAAGTCTCTTTGGTTTATATCACCAATTGCTCTCATATCAATTTATCAATGTTCATATCAATTTACATAGCACTATATATGGTTGCTACTCACCCTGGGATTGAGAAAATATTGATTACAATTTTCATTGTTTTAATAAGTTGTTAGATTTTAGAAGTCCCTAATCTAATTTTACTTTATTCTTAAGTGTACTGATATTACAATTTTATAAAAAAATATATTTTTTCATATTGTCAACTGTTTATTTTCTTTCTTATTTTTGATCTTTTACTCTGTTGGCAACCTTTGGGCTTTTCATATACTAATGTTCACACTTTTGTCTCTTACATTTTTTACTTTCCCATTTATTACTATTTCTTTCTCTGATAGCAATTATATTATCCTAATCATCCAAATATTTATTACTTATTTTTTGTCTAGATTATTTTTCAGCCACTAAAATTTGAGAGTGCGCTATTAAAATTTTCAACCACAGATGTGTTTCTATTCCCCCCAGCATTAACAGGCTGGGCACTGTGGCTCACGCCTGTAATCCCAGCATTTTGGGAGGCCAAGGCAGTCAGGTCACTTGAGGTCAGGAGTTTGAGATCAGCCTGACCAACATAGCGTGACCCCATCTCTACTAAAAATACAAAAATTAGCCAGGTGTAGCAACACATGCCTATAGTCCCAGCTACTTGGGAGGCTGAGGCAGGAGAACCACTTGAACTCAGGAGGTGGAGTTTGCTGTGGGCCGAGATTGTGCCACTGCACTTCAGCCTGGGTGACATGGAGAGACTCTGTCTCAAAAAAAGAAAAAAAAAAAAAACAACCACACACACAAAAAAACAATGCATTAACAATGCTGCAGCTGATGACTGGCATTTATGGAGTGCTCTTTGTGTATCTGGCTCTATTCAAAATGCCTGCCATCCTACATAATTTGATCCTCACAAGAGCCAATGAGAAAGGTCCTATTATGAATTCAATTTTTTAGAGGAGGAAATGGAAGCACAGAAAAGTTAAAAAAAAAAAAAACTTGCTCAGTGTTACCCATAAGAATTAAAACCCAGGCTATTTGGCTCCAGGGTACATGTTTTGCTTATGGCATTTTGGTATAATAGTACTTAGAGGTTGGCCTAGGTTAGCCTATCTTCATTGTGTGTTGGATTTTTAATCAGTTTAAATGTTCTCTCTATATTACCTGTGTAAGAAATTTGGGATGATTGTGCCAGGCTAAACTCTGAGACATAAAAATAAGAAATGGTTTCATTGTTCTTCAGTCACTGACTTCAGCCATTTTCTTTGTGTTCCTTTTCTTGATGACAATGATATTTTTGTCTCAAGTAGATTTCATAGCAGTTCTAGAAAGACCTTTTCTGGTCATTGTGGTATTAAGAAGATCACCTGCTGTACAGGTAACTTATATGGGAGGGAAGTGGTAGCTCGAAGTGTTTCAAATGCCCCTCCTCTGTCCTCTGTCAGTACAGCCCATTGTCTCTTGCTGCTGAGCTACCCTAGCCCAGTGGGCAGCTCTTTGGGGCAACTGTCTTAAGACAGCTCAGTGTGTGTTACTTCTGCAGAATCCTGTGGATCTTCTGGGAGCTCACACATTCTCTCATCTGATATGAGGTAGAAGTGCAGGCTGCTCTATTATTTCTCTCTAATCTTTCTAATTTTCTTTCAACCATAAGGCTTTGCAGGTGGGGCACTGGTGGTTCAGCCAATCCACGGCACAAGCAGATATCCAACTGAAAAATGAGAGGCCTGTTTCCACCACACATTCCTGGTTCCTATGAGTAATTCTCTTAGGATCGTTGATCTCAGGAAATGAGGGTTATTTTTCTTTTTCTTTCAATCATTTTCTCTCTCTTTGTCTTTCTGTTTCCCTGTCTTTCTCTACATCTCTTTTTCCCTCCCTCACATCCTATGTGATGTATCTTTATACAGACCAAAAGGGATGGGAAGTGGGTTAGTTGGGATGATAGTTGAGGACAGAAAGTCAGTTTTACTCCTTCATAATAAGCCCTGGAAACAATGTCTGGCTTCTGCTATTTACTTTACTTTTCTTTTTTTTGAACTGCAGTGTATGTATTGTCTTTTTGCTTTAGCATTTGTATTTGTCCATTCTGACATTGCTATAAAGAAGTACCTGAGACTGGGTAGTTTACAAGAAAAGAAGTTTAATTGACTCACAGTTCCTCAGGTGTACAGGTGGCATGGTTGAGAAGGCCTCAGGAAACTTACAATCATGGTGGAAGGCAAAGGGGAAGCAAGCACATCTTTACATGGTGATGGGAGACAGAGAGTGAAGGAGGAAGTGCTACACACTTTTAAACAATCAGATCTTATGAAAACTCACTCACTATCATAAGACCAGCAAAAAGGAAATCTGTTTCCATGATCCAATCACCTCCCACCATATCCCTCCTTCAACACTGGGAATTAAATTTGACATGAGATTTGGATGGGGACACAGAACCAAACCATACCAGCATTGGATCCTAATTTCCAATGTGGGTTAACCAGAAAAATTCAGTTACATATTTACTCTGTTTATTTCACTTTTGCTAGCCCTGATGATTTTCAGTTAGTTTGCTTTATTGGTATATGCCTAGATTTTATTTCACCCTTTAAAGCTATGTTCCTTGTAAGCAACATAGTTACATTTTTCAAGTCGGATGTAACAGTTTGTCTTTTTATGGTTCAGCAAAGTAAATGATGTGCCCAAGGTGACACCATTAGCTAAATGGAGCATCAACATTCTATCTCAGGTGTGTCTGCCTACAAAGACCATGCCCCTAATCACTACCTTTCTCATTTTTCTCCAGTAATGTGGAAAATATTATCTTGATCTCAATGTTATGGATTATTGTAATTTTTTTTTCAAAACTCACCTGAAGCTCTAATTGTCCAATTCAGGGATAATGTAAGTTTTGACTAGGTAAGGACAGTAATATACTTTATTTCCTGACACTTCTGTCTATGCATTTCCAATCTTTCATAATCTTTGTTATTCTAATTAGTTTAGTGATTTAAGCTCATGAGTTTTAGAATTAAAGAAATTTGGTTTTAAAGCTCAGTTTTGACACAGTATCATTTATGAGGATTAAAGAGCTAAGACAACAAAAAGGAAATTATAATGCAAGTCTTATATTTGTCTGTTGGTGAAATGTAAACATATTGGGTCATGAGTGGCAACTGGAGACATAAACTTAATGAAAGTCAATTTCATGTTGGGTGAGGATGCTTCTTACAGCCCGGTGCAGGGGCTCACATCTGTAATCCCAGCACTTTGGGAGGCCAAGGCAGTCAGATCACTTGAGGTTAGGAATTCAAGACCTGCCTGGCCAACATGGTGAAACCTTGTCTCTAGTTGCATACCCCTGTAGTCCTAGCTACTTGAGAGGCAGAGGCAGGAGAATCACTTGAACCCAGAAGGTGGAGGTTGCAGTGAGCCGAGATGACGCCACTGCACTCTAGCTTGGGTGATAGAAACACCGTCTCAAAAAAACAAAAACAAAAACAAAAAACAAAAACTTAACCTCCTGTGCAGCTGGAGTTCAGTCTTACTTGGGCACTGAATGAGAATTACTGATTTAGCCTAGCAAATATTTTTTTTCAAGGGTGGGATATGTTAACTTGTTTTGGGAACAAATGAACTTGACCCAAAAATAAAGACTAATGATCATAATTTTGAGTGCAGTCTGGGGGCTTTTACTCAAATCTCTTTTTACCCTAGTCTCCAAAAATACTTTTTGATTAGAGAAAGGGGTGAAAGTAAATAAATTCTGAGGAGCTTCTTTCTTGAAACTGAATTTGCGAGCACAAATGTCACCACTTGTGAGGTCTCTGAGAATATATTTAAGACTATGAAACAGGAAGTGAATTGCTTTTCCCCTTTTTTCTCTTCTCCATTTTGCTACAGCTACCAGTATCTGGTGCCACCCCTAAATAACAGCTTTGGCAGTCTGGAAGTGCTTTTCCTAGGTACGTAGTTAGGACCACTGCATGTCTGGTGCTGGTGCACCAACCAGTGCCACAGTGAGAAGGGAGAAAAGGACAGGGGAGCCAAAAAGAGCAGTGGGATGGAGAACAGATACAAGCAGAGGCTTTCAGGTGCCATTTTGCCAGGTGAAGTAATAGTAATACGTACATGTTCCAAAGCCATGCATGTAGAGTGATGGTGTTGTGCAGTGAAGGTAAAGCAGCAGAACATAAGTTTATGGACATGCACTCTTGGTTTCTGCCCTTAAATATGCTCTAATCCCAATACCCTACACCTCAGTAAGATCGCATTTTCACCCTCACAGTTATCTAAGTTCAAAACTGCTGAGTCATCCTTGACTTCCTCCTTTTTTCTCATCCAAACTATTAGAAAATTCCATTGACTCAGCCTTCAAATATATCCAGAATCCAAACATTCTCAGTCCCTCTGCTACTACCATGCTGGTGCTGGCACCCATCATCTCTCACCTGGTTACTGCAGAAGCCTCTTCTCTGATCTCCCTTTCTCTACACTTGCCCATCATTCTGTATTCTCAACATGGCAGTCATAATAAGCCTTTTAAAACAAAATGCATCCTGATCTCACCCACAGTAAAAGTTAAAGTCCTCCCAATATGTTATAAGACTTTAAATATGGTCTGTCTTCCCTCCACAATCTCCCTGACCTTACCAATGAAGATGATAATATTAGTATACATTATTCAATATGTCACATATAATATAAAATATTTTGTACAACATGTATAACATATACCTCATAGGGTTGTTAAGATCTGTAAATTAATATGTGAAAAATGCCTAGAAGAGTGTCTGTCACATAGCATGCACTCAATAAATTTAATGTATATTTATTATTGAATTCTTACTATACAGGAAGGTAGAAGCATGAAAATTAATGGACCGCTAATTCCAGGAATAAAGTAATTGCTGCTCAGTAAGATCGAGAGACTTGTCCAGAGTCATTGATGGGATGTGGTAGAGCAGAGATTCAATTTTACATCTTTTGACTGTCAGATTGCCCAATGTGTCTCCAACAAATTATTAATAAACAGTATAATTCACCTTGGAAAATGATGTCCTGAATTCACTTTTTATTTTTCATTTCATTTAAACTTTCTAGAATAAAAACCATTTAAAATAACTCTAAATTACATTTATACAATTTTTTTTACAGTTAATAGAACTATGACCACATATTTCTAAATAAATGCTTCCACATCTCTTAAAATTAAAATCTTTGAGATGAAGTATTGAGTAATTATAATTTTTAATTCCCTAAAATTATAAGTCCAAGGCCAGGAAAATAAACAAATATATAGCAATGATAAGGAGTATTAATGTATCTTTATTTGCATTGATTTGTCAGTATTAATTTAGATTGCTGACCAATAACCTAAATTCTCATAACTTGATATCAAAGCTTCACATAATTTGTTTGTGTTTTCTTTCTCTTTGTTTCCTTGTGGTTATTTGTGGATCTTTTATAGTTTGTGATTCACATTTATTTATATTACAGCACTATATTTATCTCAACTAATTCCCAGGCTTGATATTAAAAGTTGCATCTCACAAAGCATAGTCATTTCATTCCCAGGATGACATTCATATAAGTGAAAAACACTAACTCAGCTCAAGAGCTGTGTTCAAACTAGTAAGAACAAGATCTATGTACTTTTTTGCCAAGACTATTTCACGACTGCTAGAAATGAGAACAAAACACTACTAGTAAATGGATTCAAAATGATCAACTCAATGTAAGCAAGCTTAGGATCAAGTCTATTTGAAAAGTCCATTCCAGTTATCTATTTACTTTTGCTTGTGCTACAATATTATATAGGCATTTGCATTAATTTAAAAATATTGGTATTCTGGTAAGCCTGTGTTTCAGTGCCCTTTCTGTCTTCAGTTTTAAATTTGCTAGATTCAGTGGCTGGGCTCTCAGGGATAATGATCATGCTAGTTAAGGTGGATGACTATGTTTCAAGGGATGAGCTGTTGCATTTTTTTACTCAGAGCACCTCAAATGAACATAAATATCATACCATAGATGCCTTTGCTGGCGGCTGGTGATTGTCGATGCAGAGGCACCGCGATGCCGCACAGATGGCAAGAAGGAGGAAAGGCAGAGCTTGAGGCCATTTTCTTCCAGTGTTCCCTCATGCCAACAGAAGTAGTAACAGCCTCAGTTTTTAAAGGATTGGGATATTATTGTACTTTCATTTCTTTGCTTAAATTCAGGCAATGCTTGCTTTCTGTTCTGCTTATAAGACAGAGAAGAATTTTCACTTCCAGAATCTAAAATAGTAGAGGGAGGGTTTGGCCTAAGATTCTGTCTCTTGTCCTGGGCTGTGAATGAGCAAGAGAAATTTGATGGTTTCCAATGATCAGAAATGTTTTCCAGTGAGAACCCTTTGGCAGATGTAACATTATAATTTCAAAGGAGCAGTTTTTATGTTGTTTCTTTTTGTTAAAAAATACATTATTTTGTATAAACCTGAAGTTACATTTCTTTATCTGTTGCTTATTTTAGATATCACTTTTTGCCATCATCTTCTCTATGCATTTTGGAGACATCCTACAGTATCTACTTAGCTTTACCTCTAACTTTTCTTTCTGTATCTAAACTTTTAAAGAACAGTATATTTATCATCTACCATTATTTATTATCAATTATTTCTCAGACCTTCTAAGTCTTGATCTCTACCTCTTCCAGTACCCAAATTCTTCATATACTGTGGGTTTTAATGTATTCCTAACTGCCAAAAGTGTAAAAAATATCCAGCCTCAAATTTTGAAGGTTAAAAATGTATGCCATATCCCGTTAGAGGAGCCAAGTAGAAAAATGATATCAGAAGAAAATACCAGCGTTTTGATTTTATGGTTTCAGATAATAAGTTCCTTGAAGTTTCTTGAAGTATGTGCTCATTTGACCATAGTGATTAAAACCAGTTTACATTTATCACTGGGGAATTGATGTGACACTGAGGCAATGGGGAGCAAAAAAATCTTCTGCTATATCAATTTCATATTGAAACAACGTGACAGCTACCTTCTCTGAGACATTCAGCTGCTTGTGGGGTAGAATACACCTTCCATATACAAGAGATAGGTATAAGAAAAAGCTTTGTAAATTTAAAAGTAAAAAAATCATAGCCAAACTAAATTGTAAGTGTGATTTTGTTAAGTAGAAGGTTTTTTTTTTTGAAATTTACATGTAGATATACTCTAGAAGTTAATGTTACAGGCTATACTATAAACTTGTTTTCTCCTTACCGTGATCCTATGGCAGATTTTCTACCTTTTATCACCGTGCTTGGAAAACCAGCCCTGAAAGTTTTGTTAAAGCTAAAATAAATATGTGATATGTATGCATATATTATTATGTAATATGAAGAACCTGGAATTCTAAACAACTGATTCTATTCTGTTACTGTTGCTCATCATCTTCACGATGATTGAGAGTCAAAAATAGGCCAGGCCATACATTTTACTTCTGATAAGCTTCAGACTGAATCTTAGTCAAGGCCACTGGGAAGGCTAAGTTTAGCTAACATGTGGAACTCATCTTTTCACTCTAATCACTTGTCTAAGCCTGAGATTTAACATTCTAGGGATTATGAAAAAAATGTCTAGACTCTGACAGCTAGCAAAAAGATGAGTTCAAAGCATTGGAGCTAGAAAAAGACAGAGATGGTTAGACTCTTTTCACTGAGCACCAGGTCCTAAACCCAGTCTTTGCTCTCCAGCCTTGAGGAAGGAAGAGCATCCCAGAGAATGCCTGTCACACAAAGAGTGATCAAAATTTTCTCACTCCACTTCCCTAATATTATCCAACCTAACCCATTACTTAGATTTCTTTCTTTTTTATTTTATTTATTTATTTATTTTTATTATTATACTTTTAAGTTTAGGGTACATGTGCACAATGTGCAGGTTAGTTACATATGTATACATGTGACATGCTGGTGCGCTGCACCCACTAACTGGTCATCTAGCATTAGGTATATCTCCCAATGCTATCCCTCCCCCCTCCCCCTACCCCACAACAGTCCCCAGAGTGTGATGTTCCCCTTCCTGTGTCCATGTGTTCTCATTGTTCAATTCCCGCCTATGAATGAGAATACGTGGTGTTTGATTTTTTGTTCTTGCGATAGTTTACTGAGAATGATGATTTCAAATTCATCCATGTCCCTACAAAGGACATGAACTCATCATTTTTTATGGCTGCATAGTATTCCATGGTGTATATGTGCCACATTTTCTTAATCCAGTCTATCATTGTTGGACATTTGGGTTGGTTCCAAGTCTTTGCTATTGTGAATAGTGCCGCAATAAACATACGTGTGCATGTGTCTTTATAGCAGCATGATTTATAGTCCTTTGGGTATATACCCAGTAATGGGATGGCTGGGTCAAATGGTATTTCTAGCTCTAGATCCCTGAGGAATCGCCACACTGACATCCACAATGGTTGAACTAGTTTACAGTCCCACCAACAGTGTAAAAGTGTTCCTATTTCTCCACATCCTCTCCAGCACCTGTTGTTTCCTGACTTTTTAATGATTGCCATTCTAACTGGTGTGAGATGGTATCTCATTGTGGTTTTGATTTGCATTTCTCTGATGGCCAGTGATGGTGAGCATTTTTTCATGTGTTTTTTGGCTGCATAAATGTCTTCTTGTGAGAAGTGTCTGTTCATGTCCTTCGCCCACTTTTTGATGGGGTTGTTTGTTTTTTTCTTGTAAATTTGTTTGAGTTCAGTGTACATCTGCCCTTTGTCAGATGAGTAGGTTGTGAAAATTTTCTCCCATTTTGTGGGTTGCCTGTTCACTCTGATGGTAGTTTCTTTTGCTGTGCAGAAGCTCTTTAGTTTAATTAGATCTCATTTGTCAATTTTGGCTTTTGTTGTCATTGCTTTTGGTGTTTTAGACATGAAGTCCTTGCCCATGCCTATGTCCTGAATGGTAATGCCTAGGTTTTCTTCCAGAGTTTTTATGGTTTTATGTCTAACATTTAAGTCTTTAATCATCTTGAATTGATTTTTGTATAAGGTGTAAGGAAGGGATCCAGTTTCAGCTTTCTACTTATGGCTAGCCAGTTTTCCCAGCACCATTTATTAAATAGGGAATCCTTTCCCCATTGCTTGTTTTTGTCAGGTTTGTCAAAGATCAGATAGTTGTAGAGATGCGGCATTATTTCTGAGGGCTCTGTTCTGTTCCATTGATCTATATCTCTGTTTTGGTACCAGTACCATGCTGTTTTGGTTATGGTAGCCTTGTAGTATAGTTTGAAGTCAGGTAGTGTGATGCCTCCATCTTTTTTCTTTTGGCTTAAGATTGACTTGATGATGCGGGCTCTTTTTTGGTGCCATATGAACTTTAAAGTAGTTTTTTCCAATTCTGTGAAGAAAGTCATTGGTAGCTTGATGGGGATGGCATTGAATCTATAAATTACCTTGGGCAGTATGGACATTTTCACAATATTCATTCTTCCTACCCATGAGCATGGAATGTTTTTCCATTTGTTTGTATCCTCTTTTATTTCATTGAGCAGTGGTTTGTAGTTCTCCTTGAAGAGGTCCTTCATGTCCCTTGTAAGGTGGATTCCTGGGTATTTTATTCTCTTTGAAGCAATTGTGAATGGGAGTTCACTCATGATTTGGCTCTCTGTTTGTCTGTTGTTGGTGTATAAGAATGCTTGTGATTTTTGTACATTGATTTTGTGTCCTGAGACTTTGCTGAAGTTGCTTATCAGCTTAAGGAGATTTTGAGCTGAGACAATGGGTTTTTCTAGATATACAATCATGTCGTCTGCAAACAGGGACAATTTGACTTCCTCTTTTCCTTATTGAATATCCTTTATTTCCTTCTCCTGCCTAATTGCCTTGGCCGGAAGTTAAAAACTTTGAAAAAAATTTAGATGAATGTATAACTAGACTAACCAATACAGAGAAGTGCTTAAAGGAGCTGATGGAGCTGAAAGCCAACGCTCGAGAACTACGTGAAGAATGCAGAAGCCTCAGGAGCCGATGCGATCAACTGAAAGAAAGGGTATCAGTGATGGAAGATGAAATGAATGAAATGAAGTGAGAAGGGAAGTTTAGAGAAAAAAGAATAAAAAGAAACAAACAAAGACTCCAAGAAATATGGGACTATGTGGAAAGACCAAATCTACGTCTGATTGATGTACCTGAAAATGATGGGGAGAATGGAACCAAGTTGGAAAACACTCTACAGGATGTAATCCAGGAGAACTTCCCCAATCTAGCAAGGCAGGCCAACATTCAGATTCAGGAAATACAGAGAACACCACAAAGATACTCCTCGAGAAGAGCAACTCCAAGACACATAATTGTCAGATTCACCAAAGTTGAAATGAAGGAAAAAATGTTAAGGGCAGCCGGAGAGAAAGGTTGGGTTACCCACAAAGGGAAGCCCATCAGACTAACAGAGGATCTCTCAGCAGAAACTCTACAAGCCAGAAGAGACTGGGGGCCAATATTCAACATTCTTAAAGAAAAGGATTTTCAACCCAGAATTTCATATCCAGCCAAACTGAGCTTCATAAGTGAAGGAGAAATAAAATCCTTTACAGATAAGCAAATGCTGAGAGATTTTGTCACCACCAGGCCTGCCCTAAAAGAGCTCCTGAAGGATGCACTAAACATGGAAAGGAACAACCGGTACCAGCCGCTGCAAGATCATGCCAAAATGTAAAGACGATCGATGCTAGGAAGAAACTGCATCAACTAACGAGCAAAATAACCAGCTAACATCATAATGACAGGTTCAAATTCACACATAATAATATTAACTTTAAATGTAAATGGACTAAATGCTCCAATTAAAAGACACAGACTGGCAAACTGGATAAAGAGTCAAGATCCATCAGTGTGTTGTATTCAGGAAACCCATCTCACATGCAGAGACATACATAGGCTCAAAATAAAAGGATGGAGGAAGATCTACCAAGCAAATGAAAAACAAAAAAAGGCAGGGGTTGCAATCCTAGTCTCTGATACAACAGACTTTAAACCAACAAAGATCAAAAGAGACAAAGAAGGCCATTACATAATGTTAAAGGGATCAATTCAACAAGAAGAGCTAATGAGCCTAAATATATATGCACCCAATAGAGGAGCACCCAGATTCATAAAGCAAGTCCTGAGTGACCTACAAAGAGACTTAGACTCCCACACATTAATAATGGGAGACTTTAACACCCCACTGTCAACATTAGACAGATCAACGAGACAGAAAGTCAACAAGGATACCCAGGAATTGAACTCAGCTCTGCACCAAGCAGACCTAATAGACATCTACAGAACTCTCCACCCCAAATCAACAGAATATACATTTTTTTCAGCTCCACACCACACCTATTCCAAAATTGACCACATAGTTGGAAGTAAAGCTCTCCTCAGCAAATGTAAAATAACAGAAATTATAACAAACAATCTCTCAGACCACAGTGCAATCAAACTAGAACTCAGGATTAAGAAACTCACTCAAAACCGCTCCACTACATGGAAACTGAACAACCTGTTCCTGAATGACTACTGGGTACATAACGAAATCAAAGCAGAAATAAAGACGTTCTTTGAAATCAATGAGAACAAAGACAAAACATACCAGAATCTCTGGGGCATGTTCAAAGCAGTGTGTAGAGGGAAATTTATAGCACTAAATGCCCACAAGAGAAAGCAGGAAAGGTCCAAAATTGACACCCTAACATCACAATTAAAAGAACTAGAAAAGCAAGAGCAAACACATTCAAAAGCTAGCAGAAGGCAAGAAATAACTAAAATCAGAGCAGAACTGAAGGAAAAAGAGACACAAAAAACCCTTCAAAAAATTAATGAATCCAGGAGCTGGTTTTTTGAAAGGATCAACAAAATTGATAGACCGTTAGAAAGACAAATAAAGAAAAAAAGAGAGAAAAATCAAATAGACGCAATAAAAAATGATGAAGGGGATATCACCACCGATCCCACAGAAATACAAACTACCATCAGAGAATACTACGAACACCTCTACACAAATAAACTAGAAAATCTAGAAGAAATGGATAAATTCCTCGACACATACACTCTCCCAAGACTAAAACAGGAAGAAGCTGAATCTCTGAATAGACCAATAACAGGCTCTGAAATTGTGGCAATAATCAATAGCTTACCAACCAAGAAGAGTCCAGGACCAGATGGATTCACAGCCGAATTCTGCCAGAGGTACAAGGAGGAACTGGTACCATTCCTTCTGAAACTATTCCAATCAATAGAAAAAGAGGGAATCCTCCCTAACTCATTTTATGAGGCCAGCATCATCCTGATACCAAAGCCTGGCAGAGACACAACCAAAAAAAGAGAATTTTAGACCAATATCCTTGATGAACATCGATACAAAAATCCTCAATAAAATACTGGCAAACCGAATCCAGCAGCACATCAAAAAGCTTAGATCTCTTTCTTTTTATTTTATTTTATTATTATTATACTTTAAGTTTTACGGTACATGTGCACAACGTGCAGGTTTGTTACATATGTATACATGTGCCGTGTTGGTTTGCTGCACCCATTAACTCGTCATTTAGCATTAGGTATATCTCCTAATGTTATCCCTTCCCCCTCCTCCCACCCCACAACAGTCCCCGGTGTGTGATGTTCCCCTTCCTGTGTCCATGTGTTCTCTTTGTTCAATTCCCACCTATGAGTGAGAACATGCGGTGTTTGGTTTTTTATCCTTTGCTCTTTCTTTATATATGGGAAAATTGGGGGTTAGAGCTGGGGAGGAGAGTTTGAAGCTTTCCTTACCCACTTTGACCTGTAAACAGATTGTAAACAATGAGCTGGAGGACAGAGATCTTTACTTCTATGAATCTCTGTTTGGACTGTCTTTCCAAAAATGTTTACTGCATTTTAATCAATAAATGACAGAGAGATGAAGTCTGCTCCTGTCTGCTCCTTTGAATAACACAGATTACGGGAATAACAAAAAGGAGTTGATATAACAGCAAGCAAACAATGAGAAAAAGCAAATGCAAAAACAATACAGTTGAAGCTAATGAAGCATATTCTATGATCAAACATAGAATTGGTTTTATCTTTTACCTTTGGTGGAACTTAATAAATTTAACTCTTAAAAAACTCTCAAAATTTAAGCAGTCTAAGAGAATCCCAGGGTTTCAGCTTTAGAACTAGTAAGAAGGACAGATTTTGCAATATAGTTACCAATGTTATGTTTTAATCAAGATAATCCATGGAAATTTGGTTTCCCATTAATATTGGGAAGGCTTCTTTTTCTCAGGTTTAGATCAAAGCAATAGTTTCTAACTTCTTGGACACTATTTTATTTTAGTTTGGGACACAGTAAATATTCTTTTTCTAATCCATCTAAAAAAAATTTGAATTCAAGAACTAATTAAGGCTGTTGTCCACTGCTCTGACTGCTCTGACGATGGTTTCTAATTATAGTAAACTGCTTTACTTAATTCTTCAGATTTTTTTTGGAATTCGTAGAAACTCCAAAGCATCCTATTTTCATAAAGGCCAATATTCCGTTGCATTCAAATTGCAGTCCTATTTATTTTCTGCTTTTTCTTCAACCATAATCCTACTTTTATCCTTAGGAAGTTTTAGCTTTGTGTGATTGGTAGAATAGCCAGTGAAAGATATGCTGTCTCCTCCTTTTGGGATTCTAAATTCTGTTGTCAAGCTGGTCCACCAGGGATACATCCATGTGCTGTGTAATTGTCCATGGTCATAGAATAGCATTCACCATGTTGTAATTTTGTTTCTTTCTCCTGGCCTTTAGGAAACACTGCAGGGAGGCTGTGGTTCACTGTGTGTGCTCACTGGATTTTGTTTCCTCTTCCTGGGAACACAGCTGGACTATCTTTCCCTGTCTTTCTTTTAGTCAAATGGGGTGTGCGATTGGGTTCTGGTCAGCAGGATTTGGACACAAGTGATGTGTACCTGGATCTGGCCTATAGCAATCTTTCTGTCTCCTTATCTGCCAGTCAGATGCTGAGGATTCCTGGAGCCCTGGGGCTAGGGGAACAAACAGATAGAAGTAGCTGAGGCCTTGAGTGATTGCGTGGAAGAAAGTGCCCCACAACCCCACAACTCTTGTTAGATAGTGATATAGGTGAGAAGTAAATGGTTACTGTGTTAAACTATTAAGAATTTGAGATCATTTGTTGTAAGAGTCAGTTTACTTTGACAAATATAGGCGCATGGTGGTAAGGATTGTGTCTCTGAAACTGAAACCATTTATTAACTACATGACTTTGAATAAGTTTTTGATTCTCTCTGTATCTCAGTTTCCTCATGTGCAGAATTGGAACTATAATAATATCTCATAAGATTATCATTAGAATAAAATGAGGATGTATAAAAGATTAAAATTAATATGTGTGAAGTGCTTAGGACAATTCCTGACACATTGGAAATACTGAATATACATTAACTATTGTTATTGGCATTGAAAGAAATAGTCATGTGAAATCCATCACAATTTCTTTTGTGTGTGTGAAATATTATCAGATATTACTTTCCTTTCTGTGCTATTTCTTTCCAAAAGGAGCTTTGGTCAGGAGAGATGCATGCCACACACTAAGATCAAAATAGGTGAGCAGAATAGGAAGAGGGCAAACTGGAGAAAGCCTTGGGTCAGAGCAGCTCACAAAATAAGAGCCAGGGTCCTGTAATGTGAGACCAAGAGCTGAATACAAGAAGTATGACATGAAGCTTCTGTTTATTATTTCAAAACACATATAAATTAGGAGTGAAAATGAAAAAAAAAAGTTAAAATAGGATATAATTCAAACTGTTAGTTTTGAGGAGAGAGACAGGGGTGAGAGAGATGATGGAATCAGGTGATATTTCCAAAATGTTGGCTGAAAATCAAATATGGTCTTTTAGGGAGGGAGGTAAGTTGGGGTAAATAGGCTAGAATAGAATAGAGATCAGAGTGACTCACAATAGGTTTGGATGTATAGAATTTAGCATGTAGTCATCTTGGGTGGTGGATTTAAAGCTATCTAAACAGTGTGGCCAAATAAAAGTCTTACTATTTAATTATCATGGGGAAACAGGCATAAAATGGGACCGTCCTGGCATACCTGTTGTATTATTCAGGGTTCTCCAGGGAAACAGAACCAATAGGAGATACAAGTGTGTGTGTGTGTGTGCACGCACACGCGTGTGCATATGTGTGTGTATGATGTACACACCTATATCTAATCTACAGCAGTCTTCAGAGCCCTTGTCTTCCCTTATCTGCCACTTAGAGAGAGAGAGGGTGACAGAGAGACAGAAGGAAAGTGAGAGAGAGAGAGAGATTGATTTTTAGGAACTGGCTCACAGGATTGTGAAGGCTAGCAAGTCCAAAATCTGAAGGGTAGCCAAGGAAAAACAGATGCTGCAGTTTGAGTCAGAAGGCATTCTTTTGACAGATTCCATTTCTCTTGCAAAGGCCAGTCTATCTTTTTTTAAGACCTTCAACTGATTGACTGAGGCCCACTCACATTATGGATGGCAATCTGCTTTACTCAAAGCCTACAGATGTAATTGTTAAACTCATCTGAAATATACCTTCACAGCAACATTCAGATGTGCTTTACCAAATATATGGGCAACATGGCCTAGCCAAGTTGACACATAAAATTAACTGTCACACCTTGATAAAAGGTCAATCAGTATGGAAAAGATGCACCCAACTGGCAACCCTTTGACTGAATTTGTCCTGTAAGCATGACGTGGTTTGGCTCAGGGTTTCATAAGTTTTTCAATCAATATTTTAAATTGGGAAATTCCATACACAGACAAAATATATTCAAGTTTCCAGCTTCTCTTAATCATTGTACACCCTCCTCCACTGGGTCCCCATTTTCTCATAGCAACAGATGGAAGTCAGTAGCAGCCACCTCCTTAGGGTGGGATATGACTTCGTTCCTTTCCCACGGTCCCTACTTTGTCATATTGTTTGTTTCTTACACTCAATCATTCTCACCCATTTGCATGTGTTTTCTAGATTTTGTAATTATTTAGGCTTTGAATCTTGACTATATAATCTGGGTGCAGTGAAGATAAATTGAAGAAGCCCCTTGATGCTTTGCCCTACTGAAGATAATCATTTCAATGACATAAGCTCAAACTACTTCAGCTGCCCCAGGGAGAGCACAGCTACCTTGTATGAAGACCCATATTCCTAACACAGATACTTGAGATTACCTGGGAGCTTTTGACAATACAAACAGTAACAGAGAAGACTTTTTTCTCTTTGTAGTGCTTATTGTTCAAGGAAAGCCAACTTACATGTTTATTTGTTCTGTTACTATAACTTATATAACAATTTTAATGGGATATATAGTAGAAGTTCTAAGATAAGTCATGTGGAAAAATGAAAGTGTTGACTAGCTTTCTTTACAATTGTCATTCAATGTTTTTTTTTCTATTCTAATGGAGACCTTTATAAGAAAGGTGAATGGAAATGCATCTGTGTGTCATAGGGAAAATATGGCTTTTAAGATTTTGACAGCCTAAAATTTCTTAATAATGAGATTCACGATTGATCTGTGATGCATTTCCTTGGCCATATATGTGAACAAACATGAACTGTATTTCTATGGGCCACTGCTTTCTGTGACCATGTTCCTTAACCCTTTTAAGAAGGTTTTTTTTGGGTTGGCAGAAAATATAAAGTACCCTGGAAATAAATACATAATAATCTGTTCATGATATTAGTAAGTCAGTTGAACCAAGTGTACTACTTTCTACCTGTCAAAAGCTTTCAGGGGAGAATGACTTATATGGGCAATATTTCTAAGACTAGAAGCAATTGAGCTCCTCTTTTTTCCTATTTATTATTTTCTGGTGTCTTGGAATTCAGTATAAAATCCATTTCTCCTTAAAAACTTGGGTTGATTAACTCCCAGCCAAATAAGAGTACAACAGTAGCAGGGAATGATGGCTGAGTCTACAGGAAAGCCCCATTTCTCTTGTGTGCTGCTGAATGACCTGCAGGCATTGAGTTATATGAATATATATGTTTATGGCTTTTGTGTACTTAGCATAAAATGAAGGCAAAGAGAGGAGGTATATGCAATATATCTGATGAGAGAGCAGGATGGTACAATATCAGGTCCTCAGGTTGGCCTGAGGGCTAGGTCTGATTGGTATAGAAAGAGAGGCATTATTCTCATTTTATGCATGAAACATAGTCTGTCTTCAGTTTAGTTATGAGTGAAAGTAACGTACAAATTTGGCATTGGCAGAGATTTGTTTCTTTGGATTGTGCCAAGGGAAAAATGCTTGGTCAGGGCAATGGCAGTGGACCCTAGGCCCTGTGGCCAGTGATAGTGCGAATCAGTTGGCCACAGCAGATGCTAAATAGAGGTTTGTCAGGAGAGTTCTTCTTGAGATAGGGGTGTGTGTGTGTGTGTGTGTGTGTGTGTGTGTGTGTGGCTGAGGGCAGTGGGGAGCACTTTGCAAGGAACCAAATTTCTGGAACTAAATAAGATGTAGGGCAGGATCAGAGTAATTTTGGTTCTACAAGACTACTCTTACGTTGACAAAATTAATTAACCTGGATACTTAAAAGAATGGAATTTGTCAATAGTTTGCTCTATTCCTAGACCCAACAACGGTCAACTATGAATCAAGGAAAGCCTCATTATCACTCCGTGCATAGCCAGAATTTACTTAGAGAAAAATTTAAGTACTCCACTTTCCCTTTATAAATTTAATTTTTAGTTTACATACAGTAAAATTTTCTCTTTTTGAATACAGTTTCATGATGGCTAACAAATGCATATAAAAGTCTGATCATCAACACACAGAACAGTTCCATCAGCCCCATTTTCCTTGGTGTTTACCCTTTGTAGCCAACTTATTCTCTACTCTTTCCTTTTTGACGTACAAACAAAACAGTTTCCAGATTTCCTGAAATACAAACGTCTTAGTTGAGAGAAATAATATAGGCCTCTGGCTGATCACCTCTGATTCCTTTGCTTTGACACTTTTGGTTAAATAGCAATATTCTTTTGTATTTGTAAACCAAGCTGGCCAGGGTTATGTGAGTAATTTAACCTTTAAAAAGCTCAGTCACTGCTCTTCAGAGAGTAGGCAATGCCTGGAAGTTTAACTAGAGTGTAAATGAAGGTTTCATAGAGCTTTGTTAGTCTCTGACCAAACAACAATAAATATCTCTTGTTAAATTAATAAGGTTTCTCATGGGTAGGTGTTTAGATGCTCTACTTCTGAGCCTGCAAGCCCATTTAGCAGTTATCAGAACATGCCCTGATTTCTTGTCTGTGCCTCCAGGAGCCACTCCGTTGTTAATAAGCCTTTGGGAGGAGTCCAGAAAAAGACCTGAGCCCTCTGTTCAGAAAGTGGTAGGTGTTATTGCTGGGGCTCAGAAAACGATACCCCAAAGTAAAGGCCTCAGAGGCAACCTCAGAAGCAAGGTTTCTCTCTGAACTTCTCCTGCCCTCCTGCCCCTCAGCCTCCTTCTTTCCCAGGGCAAGCCATAGAAACTAGAATCTCGGCCGGGCACAGTGGCTCACACCTGTAATACCAGCATTTCAAGAGGACAGGGCGGGCGGATCACCTGAGGTCAGGGTTTGAGACCAGCCTGGCCAACATGGCAAAACCCTGGCTCTACTAAAAATACAAAAATAGCCGGGCGTGGTGGTGGGCGCCTGTAATCCCAGTTACTTGGGAGGTTGAGGCAGGAGAATCAGTTGAACCCAGGAGGCAGAGGTTGCAGTGAACTGAGATCGTGCCATTGCACTCCAATCTGGGCGACAAGAGGGAAACTCCGTCTCAAAAAAAGAAAAGAAACTAGAATCTCTCTTCCCCAAGTCATAAGAACCAGAACCCCTTTTCCCCAAAGCCAGTCAAAAGCCTAAAATTATTACTCTAACATTCCCAAACCTTTCTGTGTAGGAACTGGGCATAAAGAAATTCTCTAATCTATCTTGTTTGACTGTAGGTCCCAAGACTCCCATTCCAAAGACAATCCTGTTCCATGCCTGGAAGGAAGGAATGCTGCACAGAGAGGAAGAATCTGCACAGACAGGCCTTGTGAGTTCTCCCCACCCAGCATCTGCCATCATACCCTTTTTGGCCAATCACATTCCTATACGGCTGTTTCTGCTTCATTGAACCTAAGCATGAAAGTCAGAGAGTCTTCCATGTATATTTATGTCATTCTGAAGGCCCTTGTGTCATGTAAAACTATGGCTAAATACATTTGTTATGCTTTTCTTTTGTTAACGTTTGTTATAGGGGTGTAGTTTATGACTCACATAATGGGAAGGAAAGGGATCAATGCCTGCCTGTCCTTACAGTTTCTTTACTGGATTAATTGGCATAAAAGCAGCTTTTTTTTTTAATTGCCAAATGTTAGCATGTTCATTTATTTGTAATATTATTTCATTATCATTTCTTTTTTCTTTTTTTCTGTTAACTTTTGAATTGTCTATAAAATTATATAGTACCATCTGGATATAACAACCAAAATACAAAATACAAAGGAAAATATACAATGCAAAAAACATGCAAACAAAAGCTGTAAGAAGGTATAGATTAGGATTAGTAAACAAGTTAGAGGGCTCAGACAGGTTATTTATCCTTTCCTCTTCTTTTGAAAATTGGGTCTTAAAACCTTGCTATGGAATTTACTCTAGGCCCGCCTTATTTATATCAAAGCATCATAGGATGAGCAACCAGACTTTTGCTTTTCCAGGAAATTGTTCACATATATAGCAAATAATTAATCGTTGAAGCTTAAGGCAAGAAATGGAAGAAACTCTATTTATGGGAGCTATTTTAAACATTCTTGTTTATATCTTAAGTTTGAAGATTAGTGTTTTTCCTCAAAGGGAAGAAAATTTTTAAAAATTTCTCTGTTCATTCTTAGAGATATTTCCTAATTACACTATGCTTCAGCAATTTTGGAGGAGGGGTCGTTATGTCAGTGTATTGCACCTGTAGATAACAGCATTTTACATATGTCAAAGCACTTTATTGTACATTAAGTCCTTGAAAATCAAAATTTAAATCAAGGCCTTAAACGTATGCATAGACCTTACACCAACTCCTATTTCAAACACTTAGATCCTATTAAATATTAATTGCTATAGATCCTGCCTATCTGTGCACAGATAAACTAATTCTAATAGTTACAAATGTTCATTTTACTTTACACAACTTTGAGAATTCAGGAATTCATGGACACAATCTTCTGTGCAAGAATAATGAGCTGAAAGAAATGATAACCAAGAGGAATCTTTTGCCAAGAGATTAAATAAGAAACCTGGTTACAGTTGGAAAATTCTGAGTTTTTCTCCATAACATTTGTATTTCAGACATCTATCTGGGGAAGAAGCAAATAGGGAGAAATTTGCATTATGCTATATTTTATGAATTCTGTCTATTTTAGAAGGGACTGGTACTAGCTACAGGTAGTAATGATAAAGCTATAATAATAATTCTTTCAGTGTTGCAAAGTAGAGTTGGAGTTCGTATAACCCCATGAAGAGAATTCCACCACAAGTATTATATATAGACGAGGAGAGATTAATAAACACATTTTATAGGTACAAGCTGCATTTAATGAAATTGCTATATTCCCTGTGGGACTAATCACAAGTTGGAGCTCCGGGGAATTTTCTTAGGGGCTGACATAAACCTGTTCTTTATGTTTCTGCACCATTCCAAATTAGATCCATCTTCTCTTCCTGTTTGGATCCATGTCTCAGCAAATGGCTCTCTTGTCTGTCGACTTGTCTCCTTTCTTATCTAACCTACCCTTTACCTTTCTACCAAAAATACCTTAGTTCAGAACCTCAGCATTTCTTGCCTAAAGAAATTTCCTCTATTTCAGATTTTCTTAGCATACACCTTCCCTCACTGCAACTTGAGTACTTTTCTAAATTAACAATATGGTTATGACATCCTTTCATTCACTTCCTCGTTCATTCATTTAATAAATAATTTTCATGCACCTATTATTTACTATTCTGTGTCCTGAGAATAGAATTGTGAACAAAAGTCTCTTAGAATCTTTCTATGAGGGGATGTAGACAATAAATGTACATAAAAGTAAATAAATGCGAGAAGATTAAGGTACAGATAAATGCTATATAGAGAAAATAAAATAGGATAATATAGCAAAGTGACCTGTGAAGGTGATAGGCCATATTAAATAGGTGGAACAGGAAAGGCCTCTCTGATGAGATGACATTGCCACATGGTAAGCAAGCCATGCCTGTGAAGATCAAGAAAGTGTACTCTAGACAAAGGAAACAGCAAGTGCAAAGGCCTTGAGGGAGGCTTGAGCATGTGTTTGAGAAATAGAAGACAGTGATGGATGCATCATAGTGAGCAAGGGAGAGGGTAACAGAGATGAGGTCAAGATCAGAGAAGAAGGCTGGGACCAGGTCATTGCGGTTTAAAGGCCCAGGTCAGAGTTGCAATTTTATTCATCTGCCCTTGTTGGCCCCTTGAGTACTTTGGTGCCTCAACCATCAAGATCCCATTGCATCTGGCTTTATCTCTGGGTTCTCTATTTTGTTACATTGGGCTTTGTGCCTGTTTTTATACCAGTACTGTGCAGCTTTGGTAGCTAGAGCCTTGTCGTATAGTCTGAAGTTGAGCAATATGATGCCTTCAGATTTGTTCTTTTGGCTTAGACTTGTTTTGGCTATGCAGACTCGTTTTTTTGTTCCATATTAATTTTAGGATTTTTTTTTCTAGCTCTGTGAAGGATGATGATAATATTTTGATGGAAATTGCATTGAATTTATAGACTGCCTTTGGCAGTATGGTCATTTTCTCAATATTGATTCAACCCATCTGTGAGCATGGGTTGTATTTCTATTTGTTTGTGTCGTCTATTATTTCTTTCATCAGTGTTTTGTAGTTTTCCTTGTGGAGATCTTCTACCTCTTTGGTTAGGTACATTCCTAAGTTTTATTCTGTTTTGTTTTTATTATTATTATTTGCAGCTGAAGTAAAAGGAGTTGAGTTCTTGATTTGATTTTCAGCTTGGTCGCTGAGTGCTATTTGTGTACATTGATTTGTACCTGAAACTTTACCGAATTTATTTATCAGATCTAGGAGCTTTTTGGAGGAGTCTTTAGGGTTTTCTAGGTATAAAATCATATCATCAGCAAACAGTGACAGTTTGACATCCTCTTTACTGATTTCGATGCCCTTTTTTTCTTTCTCTTGTCTGATTGCTCTGGCTAGGTCTTCCAGTACTATGTTAAATAGAAGTGGCGAAAATGGGCATCCTTGTCTTTTTTCAGTTCTCAACGGAAATGCTTTCAACTTTACCCTGTTCAGTACTATGTTGGCTGTGGGTTTGTCATAGATGGCTTTTATTACCTTAAGGTATGTCCCTCCTATGCTGAGTTTGCTGACGGTTTTAATCATAAAGGGATGCTGGATTTTGTCAAATGCTTTTTCTGTGTCTACTGATATGATAATATGATTTTTGTTTTTACTTTTGTTTATGTGGCATATCACATTTATTGACTTCTGTATATTAAACCATCCCTGCATCCCTGGTATGAAACCCACTTGATCTGGTTTATTATCTTTTTGGTATGCTGTTGGATTAGGTTAGCTAGAGTTTCTTGAGGATTTTTGCATCTAGGTTCATTATGGATATTGGTGTGTAGTTTTCTTTTTTTGCTGTTATGTCCTTTCCTGGTTTTGGTATTAGGGCAATATTGACTTCATAGAATGATTTAAGAAGGATTCCCTCTTTCTCTATCTTTTGGAATAGTTTCAGTAGGATTGGCATCACTTCTTTGAATGTCTGATAGAATTCAACTGTGAATTCATCTAGTCCTGGACTTTATTTTGTCAGCATTTTTTTAAAATTACTGTTTCAATATCACTATCTGTTATTGTTCTGTTCAGAATTTCTATTTCTCTCTGGTTTAATCTAGGAAGGTTGCATATTTTCAGGAATTTATCCATCTCCCGCACATTTTCTGGTTTGTGTATGTGAAGATGTTCATAGTACCCTTGAATGATCTTTTGTATTTTTGTGGTATTAGTTGTAGTACCTCCCATTTCTTTTCTAATTGAGATAATTTGGATCTTCTTTCTTCTTTTCTTGGTTAATCTCACTAGAGGTCTCTTGATTGTGCTTATCTTTTCAAAGAACCAGGCTTTTGTTTTATTTATCTTTTGTGGTTTTTTTTTTTCTATTTCAATTTCATTTAGTTCTGCTCTGATATTCGTTATTTCTTTCCTTCTGCTGTGTTTGGGTTTGGTTTGTTCCTGTTTCTCTAGTTCCTTGAGGTATGAGCTTAGATTATCTATGTGTGCTCTTTCAGGTTTTTTGAGTTAGACCTTTAATGCTATAAACTTCTCTCTTAGCACTGCTTTTGCTGTATCCCAGAAGTTTTGATCAGTTGTGCTACTATTATCGTTCAGTTCAAAGAATTTTTTACTTCCATCTTGATTTCATTGTTGACCCAAGGATCATTCAGGAGCAGATTATTTAATTTTCTATGTGTTTGTATAGTTTTGAGAGTTCTTTTTGGAGTTAACTTCCAGCTTTATTTTATTGTGTCTGCAAGAGTACTTGATATAATACTGATGTTCTTAAGTTTATTGAGAGTTGTTTTGTGGCCTATCATATGGCCTATCTTGGAGAATGTTCTATGTGCTGATGAAAATAATATATATTCTGCAGTTGCTGGATAAAATTTTCTGTAAATATCTATTAAGTCCATTTGTTCTAAGGTATAGTTTAAGTCCATTGTTTGTTTGTTGACTTTCTGTCTTGATGATCTGTCTAGTGCTCTCAGTGGAGTATTGAAGTTTGTCACTTTTGTTGTGCTGCTGTCTATCTCCTTTCTTAGGTCTAGTAGTAATTGTTTTATAAATTTGAGAGCTCCAGTGTTGCATGCATATATATTTAGGATTGTGATATTTTCCCATTGGACTAATCTTTTTATCATTATACAGTGTCCCTGTTTTTTTTATCATACTTTAAGTTCTAGGGTACATGTGCACAACGTGCAGGTTTGTTACATATGTATACATGTGCCATGTTGGTGTGCTGCACCCATTAACTCATCATTCACATTAGGTATATCTCCTAATGCTCTCCCTACCCCTCCCACCCGACAACAGGCTGTTTGTTTTTTAAAACTGTTGTTGCTTTAAAGTTTGTTTCATTTAATACAAGAATAGCTCTATTCGTGCTCAGCTCTGGTTTTCATTTGCATGAAATACCTTTTTCCAGCTTAAGTTTATGTGAGTCCTTATGTGTTAGGTGAGTCTCTTGAAGATAGTAGAAACTTGGTTGGTGGATTTTTATGCATTCTGCCATTTTTTTTTTTTTTCGTTATTTCTATTTCAAGAGTTTTTGGGGAACAGGTGGTGTTTGGTTACATGGATAAATTCTTTAGGTATGATTTCTAAGGTTTTGGTTAACCCGCCACCCAAGCAGTGTACATTGCACCCAAGGTCTAGTTTTTTATCCCTCATCCCTCCTCCCACCCTTCCCCTCAAGACCCTATAATCCATTATATCATTCTTATGCCTTTGCATTCTCATAGCTTAACTCTCACTATGAGTGAGAGCATACGATGTTTGGTTTTCCATTCCAGAGTTACTTCACTTAGAATAATGGCCTCCAACTCCATCGAGGTTGCTGCAAATGCTATTATTTCATTCCTTTTTATGGCTGAGTATGGCTGAGTAGTATTCCATGGTGTTTGTGTGTTTATATATATTTATATATATATTTATATATATATATATATATATATATATATATATATATATATATATATATATATACACGCACACACACACGTCACATTCTCTTTATACACTTGTTGGTTGGTGGGCATTTAGGCTGGTTCCACATTTTTGCAATTGCGAATTGTGTGCTATAAACCTGTGCTTGAAAGTGTCTTTTTTGTATGCTAATTTATTTTCTTCTGGGTAGATACCCAGTAGTGTGATTGCTGAAACAAATGGTAGTTCTACTTTTAGTTCTTTAAGGAGTCTCCATACTGTTTTTCATAGTGGCTATACTGGTTTACATCCCCACCAGCAGTGTAAAAGTGTTCCCTTTTCACCACATCCCTGCCAGCATCTATTATTTTTTACTTTTTATTATGGCCATTCTTGTAGGAATAAAATGATATAACATTGTGCCTTTGATTTGCATTTCCCTGATCATTAGTGATGCTGAGCATTTTTTCATGTTTGTTGGCCATTTGTATATCTTCTTTTGAGAATTGTCTATTAATGCTCTTAGCCTACTTTTTGATGAGATTATTTGTTTTTTTCTTGCTGATTTGTTTGAGTTCCTTGTACATTCTGGATGTTAGTTTTTTGTCGGATGCATAGTTTGTGAATATTTTCTACCTCAAAAGCTTCTGTCATCAGGAACTGCTTTCTGCCCTTTTATAGCATGCCTTTTCATATCTTCTGGTCTTTGTACATATAGTTCAGTTGTTTAATGATTTATTTCCCATTTTGACCTTTTGGACATCTCCAATTTATATTTCATGACTTTGATTCAATGTTACTTCTGTGAAAACTCCCATGAGTTAGTGAGGCAATTCCAGTAAAGATTTTGTTGTTTTTCTCCCTCGCTGTGTTCAATGGTCCTCTGTTCATAGCACTTGCTGTATCACTCTATCCATATTATTATTATAGTGCATTGTAATGCATTGTAATTATTTATACGTATGTCCTTCCACTGAGATTGGAATTCCCTTGAAGTCAGTAATGGTGGCTTACTGTTTTAGCTCCAGTGCTTAGGCTCACATGTACATGAATTTGTTGCTCAATAAATGGTGGAATAAAGAAAAATGAATGCAACCAAATAAGTAATTCTGGAATCCCTTTTCAATTTTTTGACTCTAAAATTAGTATTTTCCCTGGTACATTAAGATGTCTCAAGAGATTTTGGTTTCTTAAAAAAATTAACATATCCAGATATGTTCTTTTTTTCTTTGCTCACTTCAGCATCACATCACAGAGATAATGCATTTTTCCTAGATATTATTTCCTATGCCTAAACTTGTTCTGAGGATTAGTCTATTTTATCACTTTAAGTCATGGAGAAATAATATAAAATTCTCGGTACAAAGCTAACTTGTATATAATTGTGTTCAACAATACAAACAAAATAATACATAAAGCATAATATTAGTTACCTATAATTTGATTTTTCTCCAGAAAACCTGGCTACCATTAAGTATATACTTTTGAACATCCTAATTTTACAACAGCCTCTACTTTTTCACACTTTCATTTAGATAGGTAGAATATAGATTCTCTAAGGCAATAAATCTGGGCAACACTCTAGTATTATAAGCTTTAGGACATAGTTCCAGATATGTCAAGTTGTTACTAACTCATTACATATGGCTTGCTCAAGTTACTTTAAGTAAGTTGCTTGAAAACTGCTTAATTACATATGATTGTTCTGGGACAAAATTCTCCATGAGTTTCTTGTGTTTCCACACATTTTGCATGTGAGACACTGGCTGCTATTTGTTCCAAACCATTTTTTTTTCAAAGACGTTTGATTAGCAATCGAAAATGAAAGATTGAGAGTATTTCTCCCTATATCAAAGATCAGACATGCTTACTTCCAATTATAAAATGTTTAGGTTCCCTAAACTCATATTTCCTCTCTTGTAACATAATATACTACAGAGATCATGTGTTCCTGTTTGCATTACCATGTAGGTGGGAACTGGGGCTTCAGTATCTGGCAATGAATAAATAATAAAATAAAATAACTGGTACTCTGATTACAGTTATTGCTGTGTATAATAAACTATTCTTCATCTCTGACCCAGCAGTCTCATGTCTTTCATTAGCATCTGTGAAACTGTGGTGGGTTAACTTGTTAGTTTACAAACTGGTTAAAATTTCAGTCTTAGACTTCACAGTTCTTGATAGGTGGCTGGTTGGTCTTCTTGGGCATATAACTAACCTATAGTTCACAGACTCTTTTTCAGTTTTGTGTGGCTATGTGACTGAGTTCTGGCCAGTGGATTGTAGATGTACGCACTCACCTGCAGGACTTGCCCATAAACTACTACTCTTCTTTCATCTCTTGGTCAGACGTAGGGAATATAGTGGGGAAACTCCAAGGTTAGAAAGATCACAGAGTCACTGGATGAGGTGCCTGGATCTCTAAATGAGTGCATCAATTAGCTCTCTGGTGAGCCTCATTAGACTGGGACGAGAAAGTAGGGGAAAAAATCTTCATTAGATTACACTTTTCAGATTTGGGGATAGTTTGTTAGAGCAGTGAGACTTACTTAATTAGTATACACACTACAGTCAAATTCATATTTAAAGTCTTTAACTGCTAAAATAAATGTAACTGCTGTTTAGAAATATATTATACTAGCGTGATTCTAATTTCAACCTGTCTTTCACAGGGAGTTGGTAATATTTCCCTACTCAATTAAGACTACCTAGTTTCATATCTTAGTCATGCTGCTTTAATCGCTTGCCCTCTTAGTTTTCCCTCTTCTTTTCCCTCACGTCCTTTTTTATCCATTTCTTTCATTGCTTTTTGTGTTACTTCAGGGGATTTTGCATTCCTCTAAGTCACTGTTTTTCCAATTATTATGTAACTAAGGCCTTCCCACCCAACTGGCAGAGCCCTAAAAATGTATTTTCACTTCCATCCACATACATTTTTTTAGTTTCTCCCACATATCTCCACTTAATTGGAGATGTACTATGTATTTACACAAAATCAGTGATTTTTTTATTGTTTGATAAAGTTTCTGTTTCATACTGGATCATTCCTTATATTCACAATCCCAACTCCCTCCTTACAGAGCACACTCACCGAGTAGCTTTCATTAAACTGATTTTACTTCTATGAAACTTTTCTTCATCACATCTCTAGGTAGGTGGCATGATCTATTGCTAAATGTATTCATTGTTTATTCAATAAATACTTAGGGAGTGCCCACATCATTCTAGGCACTAGACTACAAATTAAATAAAACCAACACAAAGTTCTAGAATGTAAATCCCAGAATTTACATTCTAGTGGAGAAAGAGACAATAGTAGCTCAGTGGCTCGTGCCTGTAGTCCCAGCATTTTGGGAGGCTGAAGTGTGTGGATTGCTTGAGCCTACTATTTTGAGATCAATCTGGGAAATGTGGTGAAACCCAGTCTCTACAAAAAATACAAAAACTAGCCCATCATGATGAGACATGCTTGTAGCCCCAGCTACTTGGGAGGCTGGGGTGGGAGGGTCATTTGAGCCCAGGAAGTGAAGGCTTCAGTGAGCCATGATCGTGCCTCTGTATTATAGCCTAGGTGACAGGGTGAGACTCTGTCTCAAAATAAAATGGGACCAGTTTTAAGGGGACCAGTTTGGAAGGTTTGATAATAGACAACAGGAGGCAAAGGTGGAAACAGGGGGAAATGTGAGGAGGTGTTTATAAGAATCTCAGTGTACCTTGGAAGAGGGTGTTAGGAATGAATGTGGTAAGAAGTGGTCAGATTTGGGGTATATCTTGAAAGTCTAGCTTACTGGATTTGCTGATGGATTGTCTATGAAGTGTGAGAAAAAGAAAAGAGGCAAGGATGACTTTAGATGTTATGTTTTGAGCAATGGGAAGGATGATGTTGCCAACCTTCCAGATAGGCAAGATTGAAAGATGGGAGAGATTTAAGGAGTTCAGTTCTGGAAATGTAAAATTTTCCCAGGAAACATTTAGGTGAACATGTCAAGTATCCTGGTAGATATAAATTTGAAGTCCAAGGAAGACATCTTGGCTAAGGAAATATAAGTGTGAGATTTGTCAGTGCAAAGATAATTCTTAAAGGCTGGATAAGCTTGCCAAGGGAATAGGTGTGAACTGAAAAAAAGGGGGTCTATCTGGGTTCCAGAGCACTCTCACATTCAGAGTTCAGGGAGATGAGGGGAGAGCAACAAACAATGTGGAGATCACTGGTGATGTTGACAAGAGCAGCTTCAGTAAAGCTGGAAGTATTGAATGGGAGAAGAAATGGAGACAACAGCATAGAGAACTCAAGGAGTTTTGCTGCAAAAGACGGTAGAAAAGTAGGACAATAGCTAGAGGGGTGTATGAAATTATAAGAGGTATGTTTTTAAGTAGGAAATTTTTACAAAACTTTTAAATGCTTATAGTAAATCCACTAAAAAAGGAGGACAAGATAATGAAAGAGAGGGGAAACAATTGCTGAACAAAGCACTTGAGTATGTTGGAAGGGATTGGATCACATACACAGTAAGGGATGGCACAGTTAGAATGTGTAATAATAGCAACACATACCCAATATAGAATCAGCCTCAAGGAGAGACTGACAATCTAGTTGGAGTGTCAGGGAAGGCTTCTTGGGAGGGAGCTGAACTTTGAATGATGAGTAAGAATTTCCTAGGAAAACAGAAACAGTTCTATTGCATGATATTGTATGGAGAGGTGAGTAAGCATAAGCACACTGAGAACTGGAAGGGGATGAGGCTGAAGAGGTGGACAGGAGCCAGATTATGATAAACCCTATGACAGGGGCTTCTTTGACTCTTACAATAGTCAGGATTGGGACCAATGCAGAAATGCAAGTGCATATGTAATGTTAAGGAATTTGAATTATACCCCATGTATTATGGAGAATCTTTAAAACATTTTTTTTTTTTTTTTGAGACGAGGTCTTGCTCTGTCCAGGCTGGAGTTCAGTGGCACAAACATGGCTCTCTACAGCCTCGACCTCCTGGCTTCAAGCAATCCTATGGCCTCAGACTCCCAAATAGCTGAGACTATAGGCACATGTCACCACACCTGGCTAATTTCTGTATTTTTTTGTAGAAATGGGGTTTTACTGAGTTGCCCAAGTTGGTCTTGAATTCCTGAGCTCAAGCGATCTGCCCACCTTGGTCTCCCACAGTGTTGGGATTACAGGTGCGAGCCACAGCACCCAGCCTGAAGAATCTTGAGCAGGTGAATGATATCCTTTATTTGATTTTAGCAATATAACTTCAGTCATAGTGTGGAAGATGCGTTGGAAGGAAGCAATTTCAGGTGGAGCTGATGAGTACTGAACTAGGAGTATAGCAGTGTAGATAAAGAGGAGGGGTTTGGTTTCATTATTGCAGAGGAATGACTTTGATTAATTATAACCAAATAGCCAATTAAGCAACTAGTTAAATAAGGTGTGATGGACAGAGGCAGCATCTAGGGTAGTTTGTAGATTTCTGAGAGGTGAGGCAAATAGATGTAGAGAATATAGATAGAGGAGAGATTTAGTGGGGAATATGTATGGTTTAGATTTGTATATATTGTAAGAGGACCTTATGGCATATCAAGGTGGGGATAGTCACCAGGCAGTCAGAAATGTGGATCTGGAGCTCAGGAGTGAGATCTGGCATGAAGGCACAGCCTTAGACATGACTGGTGTATTTCCGATAGTTGAAACTTGGAAATAAATGAAATTACACAATGGGAATAGAAGAAAAGGAGAAGAGGGCTAAAAGCTGCAGGTACTACTAGGAATACACCAAAAAAATAAAATTCAACTATCTAGAAGCCAATTATTCAGCAGTGAAATTAGCAAGAATCCCCTTGTATGTGAAGAAAAAGCGTAAATTTTAATGGGAACAACACTATAAATCAGCATTTATCAGTGGTCTAAAAATAACAACAACAATCATATGTCCTTTAATTAGTCCAAATCTAATTTTTTTTTCATTCTTGAGAGAGTAGATTGAAAATAAATCTTTCTACGGATGAATCTAAAGCGTTTCTAGATTTTGGTCATAAAAATGATGAAATGCATCTAGTGTGTCCTAGTTAAAAAAGCAGGATGCCAAGAGGAACATTTTAGAGAGACTATTACTAAGGTTAATACTGTTTTTTTTAAGTTAAACATAAGCCAGTTAGTTAATCAATCAACCAGTTCTCAATTTCTAAGGAGTTGAGTTAGACCAGGTGTAGGGTATGTATTTATCAAGCTGCAAATAGCCTTCACATCACAACTGGAAAATTTATATTTTTAAATAATACTGTTTTAATGAAGGTACCATTTAATTCCTTTTCTGAGAAAACAACCAAAGAGCACAGCCATTTTTCTACTTGTCTGACAGTCACACTGCAGGGCCAGCGTCTTTCAGCACTTTAATAGTAATCCGAAGAGTAAACAGACTTTAAGAAATAGCATTCATTTGCACCATTCAACTTACTTTCTTTTTATTTTATCTTATTTATTTATTTATTTATTTATTTATTTTTTATTATTATACTTTAAGTTTTAGGGTACATGTGCACATTGGGCAGGTTAGTTACATACGTATACATGTGCCATGCTGGTGCGCTGCACCCACTAACTCGTCATCTAGCATTAGGTATATCTCCCAATGCTATCCCTCCCCCCTCCCCCCACCCCACAACAATCCCCAGAGTGTGATGTTCCCCTTCCTGTGTCCATGTGATCTCATTGTTCAATTCCCACCTATGAGTGAGAATATGCGGTGTTTGGTTTTTTGTTCTTGCGATAGTTTACTGAGAATGATGATTTCCAATTTCATCCATGTCCCTACAAAGGACATGAGCTCATCATTTTTTATGGCTGCATAGTATTCCATGGTGTATATGTGCCACATTTTCTTAATCCAGTCTATCATTGTTGGACATTTGGGTTGGTTCCAAGTCTTTGCTATTGTGAATAATGCTGCAATAAACATACGTGTGCATGTGTCTTTATAGCAGCATGATTTATAGTCCTTTGGGTATATACCCAGTAATGGGATGGCTGGGTCAAATGGTATTTCTAGTTCTAGATCCCTGAGGAATCGCCACACTGACTTCCACAATGGTTGAACTAGTTTACAGTCCCACCAACAGTGTAAAAGACACAACGTACCAGAATCTCTGGGACGCATTCAAAGCAGTGTGTAGAGGGAAATTTATAGCACTAAATGCCCACAAGAGAAAGCACGAAAGATCCAAAATTGACACCCTAACATCACAATTAAAAGAACTAGAAAAGCAAGAGCAAACACATTCAAAAGCTAGCAGAAGGCAAGAAATAACTAAAATCAGAGCAGAACTGAAGGAAATAGAGACACAAAAACCCTTCAAAAATTAATGAATCCAGGAACTGGTTTTTTGAAAGGATCAACAAAATTGATAGACCGTTAGAAAGACTAATAAAGAAAAAAAGAGAGAAAAATCAAATAGACGCAATAAAAAATGATAAAGGGGATATCACCACCGATCCCACAGTAATACAAACTACCATCAGAGAATACTACAAACACCTCTATGCAAATAAACTAGAAAATCTAGAAGAAATGGATAAATTCCTCGACACATACACTCTCCCAAGACTAAACCAGGAAGAAGCTGAATCTCTGAATAGACCAATAACAGGATCTGAAATTGTGGCAATAATCAATAGCTTACCAACCAAGAAGAGTCCAGGACCAGATGGATTCACAGCCGAATTCTACCAGAGGTACAAGGAGGAACTGGTACCATTCCTTCTGAAAGTATTCCAATCAATAGAAAAAGAGGGAATCCTCCCTAACTGATTTTATGAGGCCAGCATCATTCTGATACCAAAGCACCATTCAACTTTCTACTGTATCACAATTCTTACCAATTGAATGCCATCTTCTTAGATTCCTTAAAATAAAAGAAATGACATATTTCACCGGCAAGAAGAAAACAGGTTCTGGAAAAACTCTCTACAGCCTACTTCCAAGTCGTGAGATGCTCCTTCGACTCTCTCAACAGTCAGGATCAGGGCCACTGCAGAAAAGCAAGGAGCCTCAAGACGAGTCCTGAAATACAGCATGAGAATATCGCGCCAATATCTCTGTTTCCCCAAATTTCCTTTTTTGGAATGACACTAGTCTTGGCCCACTCTATAGAAGTAAGATCTTGCTAGGCTTGTATCAGCAGATCTTAGAAAATTGTGGGTTCATATGTGCTAACACAATAGAAGCTTTGGGTATTTATTTCTGTAAGTGATGAGGAAACAAATATCGAACTTGCATTTTCTGCCTTGGTTGGCTCTTTTTGGTTCTTTACTCTTTTTTGTTTTTTTGTTTTTTTTTGAGACGGAGTCTTGCTCTTTTGCCCTGGCTGGAGTGCAGTGGCAGGATCTCGTCTCACTGCAAGCTCCGCCTCCCGGGTTCACGCCATTCTCCTGCCTCACCTCCCGAGTAGCTGGGACTACAGGCGCCCGCCACCGCGCCTGGCTAATTTTTTGTTTATGTTTTTTTTAGTAAAGACGGGTTTTCACCGTGTTAGCCAGGATGGTCTCGATCTCCTGACCTCGTGATCCACCAGCCTCGGCCTCCCAAAGTGCTGGGATTACAGGCCTGAGCCACCGCGCCCGGCCCGTTCTTTACTCTCTTGCTAGAGTACTAGCAAGCTGGGAATGCCTTGGGTTGTCCCCCAGGAGACTGCAGTCTATGCAAGGAGGCTTTTCTAAGGGATAGCAGCGAGTAGCCATATCTCTGTCCTGTAGTGAGGAACTCATCTCTTTGTTCTCCCACTCTTTATCTTACTTGCCTTCCCTGTCCCTATAAATCATTTCTAGTGTTCTCTCAGACCATGCTTTCTTTTGGATGTGGGTGGGATCCAATGTGTAAAATAGGACTACAGCCTTCTAGAGCTGGCAGGAAAGTTAGGCATGGTGTAGTTGAAATGCTTCATTTACAGATAAAGGAGTGTAAGCCCAGAAAGTAAGGGATGTGGTTTGAATCACACAGCTTGTTTAACTACAGAGTTTGGACTAGAATCCACATTTCCCCATGTTCAGTCCAGTGTTCTGTATTCAACCCCACCTATGCAAAGACACAATTTTACATGCTATATGCTCGTGGGAGAAACTTTTTCTTTAGATAGATGTTAGCATTTTTTTTCTTTCTTCTTGACCTTCCTTGCACCTTTCTGACAAAAGTGAAATGCACAGAATTTTGCCTCTTTTCACCCATGAGTTTCCAAAGCGTGTTCTGCTCGTGAGTAGGTCCTCTCCAAGCTAGACCTGCAGTGTGAGAAAGAAGGAAGCAGAGGAGGCAGTTAAAAGACACTTCTGTAAGGCTAGATTAAAGAATGAGAACATAGCTCCCTTACCAGGAGATGCCAAAGTATGATTTTGGTTAAAGACCTTTGAAAAGGAAACAATAAACAACAACAAAAGAATTCTTCTTTTAAATAGTCCTTTCAACATGAAAAATGCACAGTGTGTGTCCAGATCAGAGTAAATAAAGGAGTCAATGATTTTTTTTAAGCACATGAAAGTACCTGTGCGTGATCAGGTACAGATCACTTTTCTGAATTAGCAGAATGCAGAAGCTAGTTCAGATATAGAATTGGTTATTAATCCAGTGGTTATTTATACATAAATTTATGATTTAGAGATGTAATCGTGCAAGCATTTCTTTTGGAATTTCCTTCCTAAAAAGCTGACAGCCATCACATGGAGGACTTGAGACATTAAAAGTCAAAATGCTAAGTTCAAATCCTGGCTCTGCTTCAAAGTATATGAGCTTGCACAGGTCAGATAACCCTCACAGCTTATATTCTCATCTAGAAATTGTCATTGATATTTGTGCTACCCATATTTCAGTTATCTAGTGAGCAAATTGGAATAATACATGTAAGGACAGTGAACTTCAAGAAAGAAAACAATACATATCATCACTACCACAGTACAAGAGAATAAAATATATTCAAATGCGTCTAAAATAAATTAAAATATTCTAAATTAGACAATTCCTTTCCCCCTATATCAAAGGGCACATTTCCCATCTTCCCTGCCTTTTTTTTTTTCCTCCAAACCCCCAGTATATTTTAATGTCTAACCTGATATTTTGGCAGTAAAGCTGTGTTCAGGTTTTGTGAGAGCTGAAAGATATATTTCAGGGAGTCCTCTTTAAAGAAAAGGATACAAAATTTGACATAAAAGTAAATATTTCTTTAGAATGAGAAAAGAAATCACAACAAATTAAGATTCTTTTGAACCTAACAAATACTAGAAGCATAAAATTTAGAATCACATTCTGTTTTCAATAACTTATTACATTACCAACTCTGTAATTATATTTTTCACTACATTATTGGCTGCATACTGTTTGATCACCTCTTCATATGGCAACAATTTTGTAATATCAGTTTCTATAAAGATAGCAGTCTCAGGATAGAGGCTTTCCTCTAGCATGGCCAATGGCAATTTCTTTTTTATTGTTGAGAGTTGGGTTGCAGAAGACTTGTGACTTCATACACAGATCTTGCTGTTTGCAGAATGGTCATGGTTTAGTGCCTTACAAACACAGAGAACCGAATATATTCTATTCTCTATGATTTCCATCCAAATAGTGTAGAGTGTATTTGTAATCATATATGCTGCGTTATTGTGTGTGTTTCTGACAGAAGAGAAATTTCATTTTGACTAGGCATCAATGATAATTACACAATGGTAATTATACTAAGCATCAATAAGAATTGCAGTCCTGCACATCTGATGATTGGAAGAATTATTGTCAGAGTAGCTTCTAGCTTTGTACATTTTAAGCCTTGTTCTTTCTCCTTTACCAATGTCCTTCTGTTGTCAGAAGTCTCAGGACATGGCCCTATCATGATGTTATGTCTGGACCTGCATTTTTGGGTTAACTCAGCAGACCAGTTAACAAAGTGGTCACTAGGGGGTCTTCCTACAGCAGGACAGTTAACAATAACTTCAACATGAAAATAAGCAAGAACACGTAAATATAATTTAATAAACCCAAACAAAATGTATCCTTATCTCAACTTCTCATTAGATAAATCTCTAAATCATTTGAGCACCTCAAATACCATTGAAACAAGGGAAAACAGGCGTGGAAGAAAAATTGGAGAGGGAAAAAAGCAATCTTAATCAGCTGTGATAAAAACATTTTACTTATGTAAACTGTACAACAATCCATGATCATATGAACAGACTGTTGGGACTCCTTCCTGAAAAGCACTAATGCTGAACCTTAAGTGTTCTTGGCTTCTCAATGACTCTGCATTTCCTAGACCAAACTCCTTTACTACAGAGAACACCCTTACCTTTCAGGTGCTGCATCTACATTACAAACTGCCTCTATCACTTACTTGGGGCTACCATAAAAAATTTCTATGAACTTAGTGGCTTAAAAAATATATACTTATTCTTTCAGGTTGTGGAGGCCGGAATTCTGAAATCAAGGTGTTGGTAGGGCCTGGCTCCCTCTGAAGGATCTAAGGGAAAATCCTACCTTGTCTCTTCCAGTGTTTGGTGTCTCCAGGCACCTTGTGGTTTGTGGCTTCATAACTCCAATCTCTGCCCTGTTTTGCTTAAGTGGCCTTCTTTCTGTTTCTGTCTCCTCCTCTGTCTCTTATGGACACTTGTCATTGGATTTAGGGCTTACCAGATAATCCAGGGTGATATTATCTTAAGATCCTTAACTTAATCATGTCTGCTAAAAACTCTTTTTTCCAAATAAGTTTATATTCATAGGTTCTAGGGGTTAAGACAGGGATATATCTTTTAAGGTGCTACCATACAACCCATCTCACAGCCATTAACACATATCATTTGGAAATAGTCAGAACATAGGTCCTAGCTAACTGACTTGAGACAGAAATTTCATTGTCCATACATCATTGTATTATCTTCCAGTTTCCTACAATTTCAAATTTAACTATATTCAAGATTTTAAGCCAGGAAGGCTTCCAAAAACTATTACCAACTATTTTTATGCCAAACTCTCCTAAGTTATTCAAAGTAAAATCAAACTTTGTTTTCCACAGCTGAGTATGTCTTGATCTATGAATCAAAGGGATACAAGGACAACCTAGAAAACCTAGTATTAGGAAAGGCTAATCCAATTACAAAGGCAATAAGCACGTGTCCAGTCAGTGGCTTTGTAATGCTGTATGTTTTCATCTGACAGAATGTGGTCCCCCTGTGGAAACATTTATTAGTGGAAGATGTAAGTGCAGATGTGTTCTCTAACGGGTGTTATAGGGTAGTACTATCTGTCTGGTTCCACAGAATCTGTGACTTAGGGCTACACTAAAACAAGTTTATGAGACCTGCAGGCGAGCTCAGTGGCAAGATTACAGTCAAATCTAGGGATATATTACTAGGATGTGGACACCCATGAAAAATAACAATTGCAGAATAGTGTTAGGATGTGCGCTGTAACATTCCCTTCTGACACTCTCTGAGCAATTCATCTGCAGCATGTTTTTACTAGATCAATCTCCACAGCCAAGTAGAAAGGTGGAATGAAGATTACGTGTGGGTAGGAACTATAAAGAAGCAATGAGCCCCTCAGTGCTTGAATTTCACCAACACTGTACTAATTGGCAACTGTAGATATCTCATTTTGATAAAGCAATTGCTCACAAAAGTTTCCCAGGCTTTTTTTTTTTTTTAATGTTAAAGATGCTTTGTTAATTTTTGGAAGTTTTTTTTTTTTCCATAATAGCTGAGCTTTAAAATGTAAGCACGCTGTGCAATCATTTGTGGGTTGTGCGTACAATGAATATAATTTGGATGAAAGGAACAGGAATTTTAGAACAGGTGGAACAGTAAGTCAATTCCTTGTATTTTTTTCTTCATGTCTTGCACCTGTGCTCTATTCTTTAAAAGATAATCAGAAAAACCTCAATTTTATTTTGCAATAAGATCATGTCCTTACTTCTATTCTTAAGGTTGTAAAGCACTTGAGAGCAAAAATAGTTCTTGGGGAGTTTATATTTTATGTATTCATTCATTTCTTATACAAATACTTATGGAACTCCTGATACATGCAAGGTATTGTACATGATTTCATTTGGGACAACACAAGTTTAAACAAATTTACTTGTCTTGAGTAATGAACTTTTCTGACATGGAGTAAAATAAAATAACAAGATTCATTTGCCTTTACTCATTAAATATTTATTAAGTGCCTTATGTACACTAGGCACTGTGTTAAGGCTACAACCCCACATAAGATGAAATACCTGCACTCTCTGTTTGGAGACACAGCAAGACAATCAACATTGAAGGTGGAGTTCACTGTCTTACCACAGACTTGTGCATAGGGCAATATGAGAGTAAAGAAAAGGGCATCCAAATCCCTGTGAGTCAAGGATATCTTCTTGAAGGAAGTAGCACTTAGGTGAATTTAGAAGAATGGAGTTTGAATTAGACTCATGAAGGAGCGGAGATAGGATCTAAGCAATAGAAGCCACTCAAGTAAAGATACAGAATTTGACAACTTATTACCATGTTGAAAACACTTTGAGTAGGGAATTTCATAATTAATTTCTATAGCACTTTCCTATATAAATTTCATAAGCTTGGCTTGGTAAATCCAGGCATAAGATTTTCTGCCTTTAGAAATAATTACAAGTCGATGATAGATAGAGTAATACATAGAAACAAACTGCTATGTGATGCAATGGGAGTATGGATGAGAATTAGCTCTGAAAGCTATACACTTTATAAGTCTCACAATTTCTTCTTATGTTCTATAGCCAGACAGTGATGTTGGAGTCGCCGTAAAATGAACCTTCAAAAAGCTGCACACATCAATGTACATAGCTCAATGAAATTGCCTGCTAAATGGGCAATGTTGGCTGAAAAACAAATAGAATGAATTTCCTTAATGGTGTTTTTGGAGCAGCAAGTTTTTCTTAGCATCATTTCTGGAAATACATTTGGTAGAGGAGAGAGGAGGATCAAATTTTGTTGTGAACTTGAGATTGGAATGCATAAAAATAATTTTAGCATTGCATACGAAATGTACAAATATGAGAAAATATAATTGTAGAAAGATCATAACAACATTTTGCTGTAATACATGACACAGATGAAAGAAGGAAATGAAAAAAATGACAGAACAGAACTCAGACGAATGTAATTATCAGTATACATTTATATCTGAGTACTCAATTGGCCAGTGTCTGAGAAGATTGTCTAATGACTGCAATGGAGAAGTTTAGAGCACAAGTTCTGAAACTGTCATTTATGACCACTTACTTCACAGGGCTATTGGGAGATGCAATAAATATGAGAGAAACTTTACTCTGCTATATAGCCTGGCAAAATTAGGTGCTTTAGTAGGTTAAGTGAGTCAGTGCTAAATCAATACAAAGACAGATGATTTGGGTTCATAGGCTGGTCAGCCAAGTTTATTTCCCAGGCATATATCTCCCTACAAAGAAGGTGATTAATATGCTCACCAAATCAGGAGGGTATCTTTATAGGCAAGAGGAAGCATGAAAATTGATTTCTTGGGCTACAGATTTCATCTAATAGGTACTGGTACCTGCACATAAGTTCAAATACTATTCACACAACGCTTTGCTCAACACCAAGTAATGATGAGCTTCTTATCACTAAATTGTAGGAATCATACAGCATTATATTAAGACCATTGTAAAATTCCCAGAGACTCACAAAGGGATGCTGGGCCAAATTCCTCAGGCAATAACCATATAATCTTGGGTTATCTTGGACTATTAGGACACATCCAATTTTGTAGGTAACAGGTTTTAAAGGATTCTGTTCTGCCTTAATTCAACTGTATTTTACAATCATCTTTAGACCAATCAAATTGGACCTGACATAAAAGCCTTAGTACACATAAAAAAGAATGTCTTGTACTTGAAAAATAATGATCAAATAGCACAGGGTTATCTCCTACTTATGTCTTGAAATAACAGAGAGCATGACACCAAGCTGGTAACTGTTCAACATTCCTAAGGAACAAAGAGGACAGGGTATTCTAAGAAGCAGGAAAATATGTGCAAAGACCCTGAGTGTGGATGAACTATAGGATATTTATGGAAGAGAGGTGGAGGTCAGGTAGGGAAAATGCTCAGGAGGTAGATCCTGCACTGGTTGCATGCCATGTTTAAGTTTAGATTTCACCTTGCAGATGATGGACCCTTGATGGACTTTTATCAGGAAAATGAATATGGAAATTATTTTGATTCATCAGTGCTTGCTGCCTCTGAAGAGAACCTGGATCAGATCTCAAAGAAATAATTAACTCCCACAAAACATGGCTTACCATATGCATCAGGGATTGTGTAAAGATCATAATTCAAATTGTACATACTTGTTGTATTAATCTGTTCTCATGCTGTCCTGAGACTGGGTAATTTATAAAGGAAAAAGATTTAATTGACTTACAGTTCTGCAGGGCTGAGGAGGCTTCAGGAAACTTGCAATCATGGTGGAAGGAGAAGCAAACACATCCTTCTTCACATGGTAGCATCATGAAGAAGTGCCAATCAAAAAAGGAAAAGCCCCTTATAAAACCAACATACCTCATGAGAACTCACTCACTATCATGAGAACAGCATGGAGGTAACTGCCTCCATGATTCAATTACCTCCCACCAGATCCCTCCCGTGACACGTGGCAATTATGGAAACTACAATTCAAGGTGAGACTTGGTTGGGGACACAGCCAAACCATATCACTTGTACGGAGTTAGTTACTGATAGACACACTCACATATCTTATTTACTCCTCTCAGTTATCCCAAGGGGATATGTATACTGTGACTCCCTTTTTATTGATGAGAATTGAGGAAAAAAAGTGGTTAATTTTATTGTGCCACATGACAGAGGCAGTCAAAGTAACATTCTAGAAATTGAAATTCTGATCCAATGGAGCTGGCTTGTGGGTTTAATTTACTAACAACATTTTGTCCTGATTCCCTGCAGAAGTTCACCAAGCCATCTAAATAGATACTTCAGGGTGTGGAGCATTCAGTTATGACGTTATAAACTACACTTTATTATCAGTGGTGGAAAAGAGAGTTGTACAAACATTTTATTTATATTTTTCCTTATACAGTATTGATAGAGAAAACAAGTATTATTTTAGAAATTGAACAGACTTTGGTAATAGTCCTGTAATAAACTCTTCTCATGCAACAGTGTAGGAGATTATTTTCTAAAAAGTTTATCTATAAATGTTTATATAGAAGAGCAAACAGCAAAGAAGAGCTGAGACAATTTTAAAGAATAAGGTTGTGTTCCTAGAAAACTCCAAGCACTTGTAAGGTAGATTTAAAATGCTTGGGAATGATAAATGTGAAATTGAGTGTGCTCGCACTACTTTTCCTCCTGGGTATGCCTTTTCTCTGGATATCTGAATGACCCACTTCCCTGCTTTCTTTAAGTGTCTGCTCAAATAGGCTTCTTTTATTTAAAATGGTAGCTCTCTTACCCCCGGCACTCCTTAACTTCCTGCCATGTTTTCTTTTTCATAGCAAGAATCAGTTCCTAGCTTATTCTAGAATTAATAATGTCTGTAATTTGTTATTGTTCATTTCATCTACTAAAACAGAAGCTTAATATGAAGCCAGAAGGATTTGCTCCTTTTGATCTCCGATAAATTCCAAGCCCCTAGAAAAGTTCCTGACACATAGTATGTTCAAAATCAATATTTTCTGATCACATGAATGAATGAAAGTAGGGACTAGGGAGACCAGACAGCAGGACATAGCATCAAGCAACAGAAATCAAAGCAATGCAAAGTGGTCAAATAGCATGAGGTCCAAGAAATAGGACAGAGAGCCCAGAAACAAACTCAGACTTACATGGAAACTATATAAAAACAGAGTGCCATTGCACACTGGAGAAAAAAAGTAGCCTATTAGGTACATGGTGTTGCAAAAATTAGTTGTGTCTATGGAAATATATATATATATATAGAGAGAGAGAGAGAGAGATAGAGAGAGAGAGAGAGAGAGAGAGAGAGAGACAGGGTCTTGCTCTGTCACCCAGGTTGGAATGCAGTGGCACGACCATGGCTCACTGCAGTCTCGACTTCCTGGGCTCAAGTGATCCTCCTGCCTCAGCCTCCCAGATAGCTGGGACTAAAGGCACATACCACCATGTCCAGCAAATTTGGAGATGGGGGCTTCACTATGTTGCCCAGTCTGGTTTCAGACTCCTGGGCTCAAGTGATTCTCTTGCCTAGGCTTCCCAAAGTGTCGGGATTATAGGCATAAGCCACTGCACACAGTGAAAAACAAATCTTTACATTATATTTTTTCCAGAATGAGTTCTAAGTGGATTACCCAGCTATGTGTAAAATGAAAACTTTAAAACTTTTAGCAAAAATTATGCTTATAACCCAAGATTAGGGAAGAATTTTTATGTAAGATAAAAAAAGCAAAACATCGTAGGAGAAACAAATGATAAATTTGACATTAAATTAAAAATCTCTATTCACCAAATGCTTTATAAATAAAAATGAAACAAGCAACAAACTCTGCAAAGAATATGCGGCACATAACAGTGGCATAGAATTAGAATCCAGAATATGTTTTTTAAAAATTACATATCAAAGAGAAAATGACAACTTGATAAAACAGCAACAGCATTTCCTAGAAGGAAAAATACGTAAAATAGCAGTCATCCTCAGTATTAGCCATGGAGAGGGAAATTTAAATCATAGTAAGATGCTATTTTATGTCCACCAAGTTCACAAAAATGAAAAAGTCTGACAACATCAAGTATTGGCAATGATGTAGAGCCTAACTAATTCTCCAAACTACACAGTTGGTATAAATTAGCAGAGTTTTGGAGGAACTTTTGGAATTATTAATAGAATTTATATTAATATTAATTTATATTAATGTTAAATAAAATATTGAATACAAATAAAGACACACATCCTGTTTTTTTCTCCTATCTAGCCCACGGGAATCTAAACTTTCCTGTTGTCTTGATGTTAGACGTAGTTGTGAGTCTTGCATTGGCCAAGAAAATGCAAATGGAAGTGATGCATTTTATTTCTAAGTCAAATACTCAAGAGCTTTTAGACTGTACTCTATGAACTCTCTTGCTCTGCTCCAGCGACCATGTGAGCTTATGGTGGTATGGAGTTATGGTAAAATCAGAGCATTCTATACCTAGACGATAGCTACCCTAGAGCATCACTTGGACAGCAAAATTTGTGTGAACAAGTTCTCAACTGTTTTATGTTAAGCTACTGCGATTATAGAATTATTAATTGCTATAGCATAACTAATTTATCTTGATTGATAGCCCCTAAAATCCAGAAGTTTTATGTCTATATATGTACCCTATGAAAACAAAACTCATACATATACATAAAAGGACATGTATTATAATGTTTTAAATAGCAAGTGTTTTAAAAGGCAAAAATTCAGAAACCACCTCATCAAAAAAGGAGGGGCATATTATAGTATAGACAATACAATGAAATGAAGCAGTGAAAATGAATAAATTGGAGTCACTCATACAAATAAGGGTAAATTTTAAAAGCATCATGGTAACCAAAATAAATTTGAGAAGAACATATATTGTAGTGTCCATCCTGTATGTATTTATATACTCATGAAGATCATGTAAATGCATGCAAAATAATACTAGCTATTACTTAGGAACAGATATTTGCATTAAAATGATAAGGAAATACCTAGAGGTGTTGAACACCAAAATCAAGACAATGGCTATATCTGGAAAGGATGAGAAGAAATGTGACTGAGGAGAACTTCACCAAAGGTTTCAATTATAGTGAGAACATTTTATTTCTGAAGCTGGGTATATGAGTACATGGGGAGTTGTATTAGTCTTCTTAACTTTTGCATATCTTATTACTCTTAATAATAAAAATACTAACCATTTACATAAAGATAAAATATGCAAGCAATTATGGGTTATCTTGCAAAGTCAGTCCTGTAATATGGACTGACTGAAAAAGGGATGAAACTTTAGGAAATGATAGCACTCCCAAGAAAAAAAGCTCTGGTGTGCTTAAAGGTATACATTGGAAATTTCATATGCAAAGTACTTCCAAATTCTGTTATTTGTCAGTATATGGAAATTAATGTAAAAAATCAATGAAGTTTATGAAACTTTTAGGAGCGTAAGAAGCATCGACATGCATTTAAATATGTGGATGCACTACACATGTATTAACCAGGGTAGGCTACTAGATAAAAAAATAATATCCAAACGTTCAGTGGCTCAACTCAACAGAAATGCATTTCTTGTTAACATAGCAATTCGATGTGGTATATGGCAAACAGACTTTTATAACATAATCTAGAGACCAAAGTCTTCCATCATGTGGCTCTGGCCTCCTCTAGGTCCCCCCAGAGTCCTTTTCTTTTAGCCAGGGAATGAAGAAAGCAGGAAGGATCACAATGGGCAGTTTGGAGATCAGCCCTGAAAGTGGTATACATCACTTTCACCACATTCCAGTTGCCTGATACTAGAAATATAGTCACACCTGACTTTAAAGGGGAGTGAAGTAAGTTTGATGAATGCTTAGCCAGCCTTTGCCACATCATATTTAATATAAATGAAGTTGGAAATTGGATCGTAAACCAAGGGCTGGACTCTGAGTGTCAGTGATGGATCCCCTCTCAAGCAGAATTGGTATGCACTAGGATCCTAGTCAAGCAGAGCCAGTCAAGACTTTCTTGCCAAGAACTGGGTATTTGATGTTGCAAATAAGTCATCATGGGAAAAATAACTCTTTTTAGATGCCCTTATACATACTTTCTGTATTAGGATGGTTTAGATTTTTTTTTTTTTTTTTTGAGACAGAGTCTCACTCTGTCATCCAGGTTGGAGTGCAGTTGTGTGATCATGGCTCACTACAGCCTGGAACTCCTGGGCTCAAGAAATCCTCCCACCTCAGCCTCCCAAATAGCGGAGACTACAGGTGCGCACCACCATGCCAGACTAATTTTTTTATGTTTACTTTTAGTAGAGAAAAGCTCTTGCTATGTTGTCCAGTCTGGTTTTAAACTCCTGGCCTCAAGTGACCTTCCCGTCTCAGCTCCCAAAGTGGTGGGATTACCAGAGACAGCCATTGTGCCCAGCAGGATGGTTTTAGTCTTAATATCTTGGGGATGCACTCTCAATGTTCTTTTTATTGCTTGCGTCCTCTGAATAAATATTCTCTTACCTTAAACCTTTCTGAGCTGGGCATGAGTGAGGAGGGAATACCAAGCAGCTGGGATAGGGAGGGCAACGGTGGGGCATCCAGCATGCTTGGCAAAGAAAGGCAGCAGGGTGGGCAGAATGGCAGCAGGGAATATTGAATTTGGAGTTACAAAATTTAGGCTAAATCTTAGTGCCGACTTCACTAGTCATAGAATTGTGAGCAAGTGATTTCTTCTGTTTGTATAAAATTCCTCCACAATACAATAAGAGAACAGGAGTAAATATTTTCTGAGTCTCTTTTCTAGTAATGAGGACAGTCTGTCGGTCTAAGTTAGGTACCTAACTATAACCCTTCTCGCATTAGAGACAGGCATTCAATAAAATGTGGCTCTTTCTGAGCAAAACCAGTGGACAGCTAGCGGGTCTAATAAGCAGATAGTACTTACAAGGCTTTGTGGGTGGTTGATTTAGTTACTTTCTTTTAAGACATACAAGAGAGAAAAGATAGGATTTTTTTAGACACATCTGCAGATATTGCACTTTTGAAAACTTATGAAATCTTCTTTCCATTTCACATTCCCTAAACATTATTGTGATTTGTTTTTCTCCAACAACAATGTATCATCAAGATATTTATTTTTGTTTATTTTCTGGTTTCTTCCATAAGAGTGTAAGCTCAAAGAAGGCGGTTTTGTCAAGTTTATTAATGTTGTATGTACCCAATGTCTAGAACAGTACGTGTCATGTAGAAGAATATTCAACAAATATTTATTAAATAAAGGTTATAAACTCATGGTAACTTCAGAATCATCAGGAGAGTTTCAAGAAAGCAGTAAGGAGGAATACTACAGTTTGGAAGTGAAAATCGATTTGAGAATAGTAATCTGAATTTTGCATTGCTTTTTAAGTCACAGGAAGAAAACCAGACTTAGAGAAGGACAATCCTTTTGAGGGTAATTTTTCCTAAGGTTGAAACTTTTGTAAACCTCATCTAGCATTTCTTAAAATTGTCATAAAAGATGTATAATTTCCCATGAAATTATTTCAATGCAGACTACTCTAATGATATTTAAATAGGTTAACCGAGTTTTGCTTGTAAGTTCAGGAAGAATTTTCATGAGGGTTCTAATACAATTTAAAAGCAGCAAACACAAACAATTCTTAATCTGCTCAGTATAAAACAAGGTAACAAAACCACACCACACAAATCTACATGCTCCCTACTTCAAATCAACTCTAATTATCAATGTTTATATATTATTCCAAGTTCTCATTCATCTAACTCTAGACCACAATTTAATCTTGATGGATTGTGATGGAGCATCATTTGTGGTGCAGGCTATGATCTGTTATGATTCCTTTGCAAAATTATTATGATGAATCACACTTGTCAATGATTTTTGAATGAGACAAATCCAAAACTAATTTGCTATCTGCAATCCAGATGTAATTGGCTATGTATCATAAATCTTCCATGAAAATATTCTTCAGTTCCATTTCTGTCAACAAACAAAAGTGTTCTTCATAGTTCATTCCCCAAGAAAAACAATAGAGTATAATTAGAAGGGAAGAGAGAAAGTGCATAGTTGACTTGAATATAAAAAACAGAAAATGCCTTGATCAAATTGGCTGCACAAATGAATCTCTGTTATCAAAATCATTATAAATTGCATCTCTCCATTTTTAGTCCAGGAACTCAATACTTTAAGAGAGCCATAAAATATTTTACCTTCACGCTAAATTGTGGGAATTAAGCAATGCTTATAGCATTTTCTATAATTTGAAAATGACTTACATCTTATTTATTTTGAAATAGAAGTTCAATTACAAAATATTGAGTGGGGAGAAGTTAGCATTCATTATTGCTGTACAGTGAACATAAGAGTTTTAAAATTTTTGTTTTGTTCACTGGAAGGAGCTTTGGTCATTAATTAACTGTGATCCAAACAAAACACGCTAGGGTTTCAAACCATATATAGGCCAGAAAGTTCTGTACCTGGGCATACCAACTACAGCATTGACTCTGAGGAGAATGTGTGTGTGTGTGTGTGTGTGTGTGTGTGTGTGTGTAATCTATAATATGGATATCCTTGTTTGAAAGGGAAAGTAGTTGAGAAACTCTATAGGAGTATAAACCTCTCATTTCTATTTTGAAAATTATTTACAATGCTTATTTTATCAGTGGTGCGTCAGTAACCTTTTCTTCCTATATATGAAACATAGCACTCTTTATTATGGAAATTTCTAGTATTGGTATAATACATCCTGTAGGAGTATATGAAAGAAAGCATTTTGACCAATCGAATCTCAGAAAATATAAATATATCCTTTCTCAGAAGAAAACCAAATCTTCTCTGAGATGAAATGTGTCTAATCACAAATCTCATTTCTTTTCCCCATAGTATATTCCCTTGTGCTATTCATCTAGTCCATGCTTCCAAACTAACCTCACATAATAACACCATTAATAATACTTAACACTTATATAGAGTGCATTCCACCTTCAAAGTACTGAATAAACATTAAACAATTAATGCACATTGAAAGAAGTCAGCAAAAGTCCAGAACTTCCAAATTCTTATGAGGGAAGCAAAAATATTTATTAGTAATTTTTGATGATGTGGTTTGTTTAATCTATTTTTAAAAAAATATTTTTGCCTTGTCATATAAGAAGAGGAATGTTCATGATAGGAAAGTATATGAGCCTATAACTGGCTTTTACAGATGATTAAATGCTCAGGTTGAAGCCGAGGCTTTTGATAACTGCTAGAGCCATTTATGACCTCATATACTACTCCACTTTGGGATATTAGGCCTTAAATAACATCAACCATGTGCTTTTACTAAGAAGAAGAGAAATAAAAGTAAAATGCCCTTTCAATGAAGAAAAAAATATCTACAGAGAACTCTATGGAAATGTCATAAACACACAGGAATAAATACACAGAAATAAATACACATTAAGGTTCTGCAATAGTTTTGGGAGCCAGGTTATCACTTGACACCTGTCTGGGTAGTTTTTGGATAGAATACTTACAAAGGAACAGTTCTTTTATCCATGGGCATAAAAAGTGCCTTGGTTTATAACAGGCACTGACATCAGTTACTGCTATACAGAGGACTCTAACATTCACACAGTGAATGTTGGTGCTTACAGTGTTAACCTGCTTATATCGAACATGGTCTCTGTAAGTGGGCAGTTTGCCAAAATCACATCTAAAAATTTCACTAGGTGGACAATGTCATGCAAAGCTCTACATAGTGGGAGACTTCCAGTGTGAAAATGTGGCTAGAGAGGTGCAGGGAGCAAAATAAAATCTCATATACTGCTTTAAAACATATCTGGCAGAATGCGAAGATTATTGCTCCTCAGGTTGCCCCTTAAAACATGCTCATCAGATTCTTAATTCTTGCCATATTTTTCCTTGACCTTTAAGAATCTAATATACTGAATGACATTTCTCTGATAAAAAAAAGAGGCCTAGGAGGAAGATCTACATAAAAATATGAATAAAAAACCCATAATAAATAACACAAATGGTATGATATAGAAGCATATTTATAATGATTAGAAGAAATAATAGTTAATATTTATGATTCATGTTATAAAAGGAGTATTAAATTCTCTATACACATTGGCTTTCTCATCATAACAATCCTGTCAATGACATTGCATTATTATTCAATGAAGACCCTGAGATTTAAAGACTTTAGTAAGATCCTAAGTAGAAGAGCCAAAATCTCAACCCAGCTGATCTGATTCCAGAGGTTGGACTTTTATTACCATGACATGCCTCAGTAATAAGTGTTCCAGTGTCCATAGGTACTTCTCATTGGCAAGCACTTTACATGTATCAATTATTACAAAAATATTATGTACTTACTGTGAAAAAGATGGAGTCCCATAAAGCAAAAAAGCAAAACTAGAGCTCACAATTATATTATATGTCTGATTCCAAAACCTGTGCTGGGTTTGAATATACATAAGCAATTCTATAATTTTAGCTTTGGAAGTGACTTCTGCAGCTTCTAATATAGACTTTCTAGTATTATCATATTTACCAGAGAAAAGAGAAGTGATCTACCACAAGTTGTATGGAAAAGTAATGTTAGAGCCTAAATAATAATTTCTTTATTTTTGTAGTGAGAGTAATTTTTCCCCGCAGCTGGTAGCATTATTCCTCAATATTCAAAATGGAAGAGTTCCTGGAGATAAAAACAATGACTGCTTGAGTTGTTCTAATACCTATTATCTTTGTATCGAGACACATGAAAAAATAATACCATTGCATTTACTGTCAGGAAATTAATGGTTAAAACCCAGTACCCAGTATCTGCTGCTGTCATAGGTACACCTAATGATTCTAACAGGTAATCAGATATGATTAAGCAACTGATCTGTATTATTACATTTAAATATATTAATGGCTCACATTTTTTGAATGCATATCATGTGCTAAGCACTGTATTCACTCATTTAATCCTCACATCAATTATATGACATGAGTACATTAACATTTTACAGATGGGGAAATTGAGGCACCAGAGATTAATTAAAGAAGTCAAAGTTGCCCAGTGGGTTAATTAATGCTGGAGACACTAATTTTGACTGTCTGATTCCAGAACCTACTCTTACACCAACTTGTCTGAAACTATCTTTTGAGTATATTTCTAATAATTTTTAGCAGCAATTGGAAATTTAATGCCCATGAATTTCTCCTGGCCTCAAGGGAATATGTAAGTATTTTTCAAAAGACATACATATTATAAGAACTATCCAACAGGATGCTTTAGATTGCCTGAAAGTGATATCACTTAGGTTACTACTTGTGCCTAATTTAATCAATGATGTTTGATATAGATGAATGTTTTTCAAACTAGGAGTAATGTGGTTGCCTGGAGTAACACTAAATTATTCCATTATCTCTCTGTATGGGAGAATAAACACCCACAAAGTGGCTTCTTTTCTGCTCACTCAGACTTTCTTTATATTATAAAACCATTTCTTCAGCTTCTGTGATATATCTAAGTTATAAGGAACAATGATGTGCATAATTATTAGTTATTAAAATATGCATAGGTATTTTCATAGACTTATATCCGAAGCTAAATCTACAACTGATGTCCGTTTATAACTAATAAAGTAATAATCATTTTCATTTATATAGGCCCTTTCATTGCAAAGTGCCTCATTGGTCTCCTTCTTTCAAATAGGAAATTTCCTGCAGTAAAGTGTTAAGTATGTAAATGTGATTTCACAACAGATGTGCAAAAGTCATTGGTATTCTAGTTAACATTAACTGCATTCTACAGATAATTTGTTGGGTGCTCTGCTTAACAGTACAAATGGCGATCTCATACAGATGCTCACCACTTCCCTGTGGCTCAACAGGATGCAAGTGTGATATGTGTACATCTGAGCATTTCTCTCCTGAATAGTAAGTACTGATTTTTTCAAACATGTGCCCAATTAATATAGCGCATGGGCAGAATTTGATCAAGTAAAGTGTTAATTAACCCAGATGTGCATTTCCAATTAGCAGTAAACTACAGTGTAATCGAGAGTAGCATTCATTTTTGTCTTTCTAATGGATGTTATTTGGGTTATGATATGTGAATATCAGTTTTTTTCCTTTTTGCCACAACATTCTTCTCATGGTGGTGGCAGACAGCAATGGCAAGGGCAAGGACAGTTTTATTAGACTAGTACAAACTTCTGTTTGCATCATGTCTGCTAATAATTCATTGGCCAAGACATGACATATGGCTAGGCTCAAGGGAGGGTAATTATATCAATCATCTTATACCTACCATGGAAAAGCATTGAAACGTTACATGGCAGAGTGTGTGAAGACAAGAAAAGGTAAATTATTGGGTTGATAAGTGTAAACTAGCACAGTCTTCACCACCAGCCATAATTATTCAAGAATTTCTAATATGTGAAATGTTTCAGCTTTATTTCACCAACCCCTCTCCAGCCAAATACCCAGTTATAATATCAGTCTCACGGGATCCAAAATTGTATAATCTTAAACAGGTTTCAATATGGGTTCTTGATCTAGATAACTATAAAATAAAAAGATAAATTATCTGCCCTTAAATACTCGAATTAATTGGCCTCAGCAATATTTCTGGTTAAACCCAGCCACTATGTTGTGAGGAGACCAAGACCAGAATGTCTTAAAAATGTTATGCTCAACAGGTAAAGTTAAAGTTCCCACCAACATCTATCACCAGACATCTTCATGAACAAACTTCAGATAATTGTAGCCCCTACCCTTCAAGTTCCTTAGCAGAAGTGCCAGAGATCACTCAGTAGAAGGAAACCATTTCCACTGTTTCCGATTCAAATTCGTGACTCACAAAATCCATGAACATGATAAATATCTATTTTGGGTCATTCATTCAGGGAAAGAGTAACTACAATAAGCACTTTCATTTGAATAAGAAAAAAGAGGAGGCACCATGGCAGTCACTTGTCTGTATCAATTCTAAAATCTCTCCAGGGAAAATATTGCCAGCAGAACATATTGGAATGAGATATGTTCTTTGGTTAAGCCTTGGTTCCATAAACTGAGAATGACCCAGCCCCTTTAGGTGTTGCTTTTGCTATGGCAACTGTCTTTTTTATTGTTGTTTTTTGGTGTTTGTGTTTTTTTTTTGGTTTTCAGTAGCTATTGAAATTTTATTTATGTTACAAGTGTGACTATCTTAAAAACTTCATGGCTTTTCTCTGCATCAGATTTGAGTTCATTGTGTGCACCAAAAGTTACACCCCAATTGTGCACATATTCATTATGTGCACCAAAAGTTACACTCCAGTTGCCTACCTGTTTAGACTTATGGTTACTGGTATCTTTCTTTTATATATATATATATATATATATATATATATATATGTATATCTTATTATACTTTAAGTTCTAGGGTACATTGACAACGTGCGGGTTTGTTACATATGTATACATGTGCCATGTTGGTGTACTGCAACCATTAACTCGTCATTTACATTAGGTATATCTCCTAATGCTATCCCTCTCCCCTTCCCCCACCCCACAACCGGCCCCAGTGTGTGATGTTCCCCTTCCTGTGTCCTGGTGTTCTCATTGTTCAGTTCCCACCTATGAGTGAGAACATGTGGTGTTTGGTTTTTTGTCCTTGTGATAGTTTGCTGAGAATGATGGTTTCTAGCTTCATCCATGTCTCTACAAAGGAGATGAACTCATCATTTTTTATAGTATTCCATGGTGTATATGTGCCACATTTTCTTAATCCAGTCTATCATTGTTGGACATTTGGGTTGGTTCCAAGTCTTTGCTATTGTGAGTAGTGCCACAATAAACATACGTGTGCATGTGTCTTTATAGCAGCATGATTTATATTCCTTTGGGTATATACCCAGTAATGGGATGGCTGGGTCAAATGGTATTTCTAGTTCTAGATCCCTGAGGAATCGCCACACTGTCTTCCACAATGGTTGAACTAGTTTACAGTCCCACCAACAGTGTAAAATTGTTCCTATTTCTCCACATCCTCTCCAGCACCTGTTGTTTCCTATTGTTTCCTGACATTTTAATGGTCGCCAGTTAGAAAACTGGTGTGAGATGGTATCTCATTGTGGTTTTGATTTGCATTTCTCTGATGGCCAGTGATGACGAGCATTTTTTCATGTGTCTTTTGGCTGCATAAATGTCTTCTTTTGAGAAGTGTCTGTTCATATCCTTCGCCCACTTTTTGATGGGGTTGTTTGATTTTTTTCTTGTAAATTTGTTTGAGTACTTTGTAGATTCTGGATATTAGCCCTTTGTCAGATGAGTAGGTTGTGAAAATTTTCTCCAATTTTGTAGGTTGCCTGTTCACTCTGATGGTAGTTTCTTTTGCTGTGCAGAAGCTCTTTAGTTTGATTAGGTCCCATTGGTCAGTTTTGGCTTTTGTTGCCATTGCTTTTTGTGTTTTAGACATGAAGTCCTTGCCCATGCCTATGTCCTGAATGGTAATGCCTAGGTTTTCTTCTAGGGTTTTTATGGTTTCAGTTCTAAGCTGGTATCTTTACAGGTCAGGTTGTTGTGATACAACCCCTTTAGGATTCCTAGGAGTCCATTTTTCCAGCTGAGGAGATCTACTTGGCACCTTTAATTCTTCAATTTTTGTCTTAACGAAGCGTCTCAGAAAGCCTTGATTCAGTCTTTGAATTAAAGCAATGTATTAATATGAGAATCTTTTACTTGTTTGAGAGGCCGAAGCTGAGAATAATTTTTATTTTCCAAACTAGCAATTTTCAGAATACCTAAGCTCTCCACCTGCCTGCTAAATGCTGCTTGGAAACTGTGCAGTGCTTTATCCTGCATTTTTCTTTTAGAAAATTACCATGAACAGCCAAATGCAACCAAAAGATGTTTTCAATACTTTTCTTGAAGATCTCTTCAGTCAAGCCCCAAAGTTTATTAGGTATATTTTCCAATTTTTGCACTACTTGTAACAATTTTAATAAATGCGACATAACTTCATAACACAAGTTATAAAACTTTAATTTTCCTGTAGCAGTCTTCTCCCAATTTTTCCAGCCTCCTCTGATGGTATTTTTACTGCCTGTCTCCTGGTCCCCAAATCAATGGACTATATTTTTGTTACAGCAGCACTCTATGTTCAGTACACATTTTTTCACTATCTGCCTCTAGCCTTAATAATGATGTGAAACAAGCAACAACAGAACTTTTGTGGCAAATAACTGTGAGAACTTATTGCTCATATGGTTGGAGTGGTCCTAGCAGCAACTCTGTTTATCATGCTTGGAGGTTACGTGGTTTATCAGGTGATCTAGTATGGCCCCACCTGGGAAAACTCAGAAACATCAGCTGTTCTCCATGTGTCTCTTATCCTGTGTCAGGCTATCTTTGAAATGCCTTTCATGATAGTAGTAAAGGGAAAATGTGAGAATGAGCCCAGTTGTATAAGTTAACTTCAATCTTTTATTTGCATTACATTTTTTAACATCTCATTGGCCAAATCAATACATGGCTGAATGCAGGGATAGAAATTGTGTCTGCCCCAACCCCATGGGAGGGGATTGCGAATTTATATGACAAAGCATGTGGATACAAGAAAGGGCAAAGCATTGTGACGGTCTTTGCAAAGTGTCGATTCTAGATCTTCTGACTCCAAACTTCGAAGCCTTATGAACAAGACCAAATAAACATTGTCAGCTGGTTTAGTTTAGATTTTATTTGATGTATCTAACTATTTCACTTTAAATTTTGCAGTGCTTCTAACTTATTTTGTATATTTAAAGATACTGATTAAAGGAAAAATTTCTTTGTGAGGACAACGCTCTTTATATGCCTTAGTTAACGGATGAGGAAACCTCAGCAGAGGGTTTAAGACACTTGCTAAATTTCCTTCTCTTCAGAGATAGTCAATGGTGTTTAGATTCGTTCCGTTTGTCAATGGAAACATTTGTTTCTGCAATTAAGCCTTATTAAATAGCAGAAAAGTGTACTTTATTGGGTGTAACTTTTTTTTCTTCTGTGTTTTACAGCTATATTTTATTTCCTTATATATTAAATATTTGAATGAATTTTTCCTAATCATGACACAGCCAGACTATATTTTTTCAATACTATAAAAGGGTTAAATATATTTCCATATGTGCAATACATGATTGAATATACATTGATCAATCAGGATTTTCCTGAAGAATACATAAAATTGTCATGGATAACTGTTAGTAATTATGTAGATGTCCAGAATAATCACCAGTTGTTACCAAAGCTGTCATATAAGAAACCACACCTCTGACATAAAAGTACACCTTATTTCCTTTAAACACAGAGTAACTGAATTTTATGGGAACCTTTTACTCTTCTGTGGTCCTTTATTGCCCAAAGTGATCACTAAGAAAAATTAATTAATATTCAAGGACAGGAATATGATATTTTTGTGACTTTCAATCCCAAGAGCAAAACCCAATTGTAGCTATAGGTTTTTCTCTGCAGCAATGAACCAGTGTATAATCAATTTGTGTTAGTCTAACACTGTATATATCAAGATGGTAAGTCTTGCTGGGCCTGTGCATTTGTTTCCTGTCTGAGCTCATATCAGGTTGCATATCTTTTAAGTCTAAGAGATGAGGCACAAACTGGGGTCTCAATGGTTGTAAAACACTTCTTTGTGTTTGACCTCAGTCATCTTTTAACAATCTCTCAGTGATGAACATTTATTTTAATCAATAGCTTCCATCTAGGTAAAACAACTTAATCATTAAAATTTCTGATACTTTAAATGAATTAATATTAATAATAGGAAATACATTTGCCCAGTGTTTTCAGTTCTCTCTTTTTCTTTCCTTCTCTTTCTTTCTTTCCTTCTTTCTTAATTGCTCTTTATCTGTTGCTCTCTTTTATTTTTCTCTTTGTTGTATTGTCAAGAATAGGTTTTCCTTGGATTATGGAGACTTTTGGGTATTGAAAAATGTTTCCTGTGATCTTAATCCAAAGAAATTAGGCTTTTAAAATATTTTTAAAAATTGAAAATACAATATACAAACTTGTAATTTCAAGCCTGAGTTTTGCACTATATGCACTGATTGAAATGTTTTTCTGATTTTTTCAAAAGTTTTTTATTTTGTAGTTTTATTTTTATGATTACTAACCCACTTTTTGCATAGTATGCAAGAAAAAAATATGGTATGTTGGAAAGTTTCTGCTAACTTGGAGCTAGAAATTCTGGCTCTGTAACGTTGCAGGCATCATTTAACTCTCAGGTTCTTCGTGTCTTAAATTTGAATAACAGTAATAATACCTCCTTTCTCTACTCCGACAATGGTTCATGAGGATAAAATAAATCACTAATGTGTGACTACCTTCTGTGTATTATAAATCTTTCCACAAATGCAGAGGCATGAGTTACAGAAAACAGATCTATTTCTTCTGATTTTTAAAGAAAATACTATAGTAAGATTTTAAAAATCACTCTCTATTGCTCTGTTGAGATAGGGTGCACCTTACATACCCACTTTCCTTTCTGAGCTCATGGGTCATACTAAACTAGGATTTAAAAATAATATTTGTTTGGTCCTTGTAAAGTGGCAGAAATCCTGTTAACAATAGCATGTGCCAGGATTTTGTTAAAGAAGTAAGAAATATTATTAGAAAAAAAGGTTTGTCTCTCTTGTAAGTACTTTGAGTCAACTTCAGGCTAGACAGAGGTATTCTCTGTGTTATTTCAGTCTAAGAAGCCTCTGATTCTACCCAGCTCCCATCTTGTTTATCATCACGATGACAGAAGGAAAAACCCAACATACTGGAATAATTTGTATCTAGGTTTGAGGCCTAGAGAAGAAAGAAACAAAAACAAAACAAAAACAAAAAAACAGGACTCCATGAGGAGGTAGATGAATTAAAATGCTAAAAAAATCAAGATGAGAAGAGAAAAAAGAGAGTTGGAGAGATTCTGTATGATTAACACAGATTGAGTCAGTATAAACTGATTTGGCACTGGAGGGTAAAAGTAAAAACCCTTTTGTTTTACACTCTAAACTCATGTGTTTAATAATACAATAATAAAACTTTTCAGAAATGAATTATTCCTTGCTGCATATACAAAGGCATAGCCAGGAGGCCACAATGTTTGCACTGAAATCAGGAATATACAAGTCTCAATCCTTTCCTCTTTTTATCAAGGGCCCAATGAAGCAATAATATGTATTCTAATCAACCAATTTACAAAGATATGATAAAGCAGCTCTATCCTTATGTTAATGAAGGTGTTGTTTACCATTTATTGAATGCCTGCCAGGTACCAGGCAGTGAACTGAGGAAATAAATTACAGTTGACATTATACAGTGACTTTGATTAAAAAAAGGTGAAATACAATTTATACACACAACTTAGAAAAAAACAAATCATGGTATGCTATATTAAGGAACATTCTTACTCTTTTACCACAACCACTTGCCCCAAACACACAGACACACATTTTCACATTTTGAAATCTGAAATTTAAAATATTTTCTGTGTATTCTAATATATTCTTTTTGTTTAGAGAAAAATTAATAGATACTAAAATGCAGTATTTATATGGAAATAAAAAAGAACTAGTTAAAAATTTTGTCAAAGAGTAAAGTGCAATGAATCACTCTATCAAATTTTAAGATTTATTATATGACTACCATAATCAAGTCTGTGTGCTATTGATGAAGAAAGTGTCTCATGAATTAATGGACAAAATAGAAAATCAACAAATACACCATCTAAGAGGAGACAATTGGTTTTTGACAAAGATGCAGAAGACATCCAACAGTGAAAAAATATTATTTTCAACAGATGGTGCTAGAAAATGAAATATTCATCAGGAAAAATCATTAGAACCTCAACCTAAATCTCTCATCTTGTATTAAAATGTATTGAAACTGAAACATGGACTTAGATGGAAAACGTAAAACTATAAAACTGTTAGAAGAAAACACAGTAAAATGTCTTCAGGACCTAAAATTTGATGACGAATTCTTAGACATAACACAAAAAGCATGATCCATGAAAGAAAACCAATTTGTATTCCAGAAAAACCAAACAATGCAATTAGAAAATGGCCAAATTCATTTCACCAAAGAGAATATACAGATGAAAAATACATGAAAAATTACTGAACATCATTAGATATTTGGGAAATGCAAATCAAAGTCATAGTGACATATTTCTTTACAACAATTAGGATGGTTATTATAAAAAAACAGAAAATAACAAATGTTGGTGTGAATGTGGAGAAATCAGAACACTCAGTCATTGCTGATGGGATTGAAAAAGGGTGCAGCCACTTTGGAAGACAGTTTGGCAGTGTTTTATACAACTAAGCATACTCTTAACATATGATGCAGCAATCGCTCTTCTTGGTATTTACCCAATTGGGTTGAAAACTAATGTCCACACATAGATCTTCACGCAAATGTTTATAGAAGTTTTGTTCACAATTGCCCAAACTTGGAAGCAACTAAGATGTCCTTCAGTGAGCGAATGGATAAACAGTAGCACAACATAGGATGAAATATCATTCAGTGTTAAAAAGAAATTATCTAATAAGCCATGGAAAGACATAGAAGAAACTTAAATGCACATTGCTAAGTCGAGGAAGCCAATCTGAAAAGGTTACATTTTGAGATTTCAACCATATGAGATTCTTTATGGAAAAGGCAAAACTATGGAGACAGCAAAAGGATCAGTGGTGGTCAGGGATTGGGAGGGAGGGAGGAATGAATAGGCAGAGCGCAGAGGATTTTTAGGGCAATGAAACTATTTCATATGATACTATAAAGGTGGATACCTGCCATTTTATGTTTATCAACCCCCAAAGAATGTACAAATTATAGAGTGAACTCTAATATATACAACTGACTTTATTAATTATAATATGTCAATACTGATTCATAAATTATAACAAATGCATCCCACTGATGCAAGATATTAATAATAAGAGAAACAGTGTATGGGGCAGGGAGAGGAGGGATTATATGGGAACTCTATACTTCTTGTTATAGAACAAGGGCCTATTAATTTTTAAAAAGTAAATATTAATAACAAAAAAGGAAAACAAAATCATATGCATTCGCAATAAAATACCACTTCACAAGCACTAGGATGGCTATACTCAAAAAGATAGATTACAAGTGTTTGTGAGGATTTAGAAAAATTGGGAGCAATGCCAGTTGTCTTAGCTGGAGCTACTAAAATCAAATGCCTTTACCTGAATGATTTAAACAACAAACACATATTTCTCAAAGTTTTGGAGGTATAGAAGTCTGAGATCAGGATGCTAGCAGGGGTGGGTGTTTAGTGAAAGCCCTCTTCTCAGTTTACGGACAGCAATCTTCTTTCTGTGACACACATGGTGGAAAGAGTGCTAGCTAACTCTCTGGACTCTTCTTATTGAGATACTAACATCATTCATGAGTACTCCAAACTCAGGACTTAATTAATCCCCAAAGGCCCCAAATATTATCACAGGGTTTCAACATATGAATTTTTGGAGAACACAGTGAGACCTACCACTACACTGGTGGAAAAGGAAAATGCTGCAACCACTTTTGAAAACAGTTTTGCAGATCATCAAAAGGCTAAACACAGAGTTACCATATGACCCATAAATCCCACTACTTTACTTATTTAAGAGAAATAAAAATATACATTTACACAGAAGCTTGTACACAAATGTTCAGACCAGCATTATTCATAATAGCCTCAAAGTGAAAATAACGCAACTGTTTATCAACTGATGGATAAATGAAACATGGTATATCCATACAATTGAATGCTATTTATCAATAAAAAGAAATAAATTACTGATACATGCTGCAATATGAAATCAACCTTGAACATATTTTGCAAAGTGAAAGAATCTAGTCACAAAAGACCACATATTGTCAGATTTCATTTATATTAAATGTCCATAATAGCCAGATCAATAGAGACAGAACAGAGATGAGCAGTTTTCTGAGTCAGAGGTCTGGGGAAGAGTGTGAATAGGAAATGAATGATAATGTGTATGGAGTTTCTTATCGGGTTAATGGAATATTTCTACAATTAGATTTCGGTGATGATTTTATAACTGTGAATATACTAAAAGTCACAAAATGTGTTAAATTGGTGAATTTTATGGTTTGTGAGTTGTACTTCAATCAAGGTGTTTAAAAAGGAGTCAAAATACCCACCAGAGCCAATAAAATACTGAAGGAGAAAAACAGAGTCAAAGGACTGATGCCACTTGATTTGAAAACTTACATGAGATTTTTTAAGCATTATTTTCATTTTCTTGTCCATTTTTGTTAATAAAAATGGCATATTGTACCAGTGGCTCCGAGGGAAAAGCAAAAATGTCTTATTCATAGTATATTTCTATACTGGATTCTTCCTATTTTAAATTATCGACAATTCTGATATTTTCAGCAATATGACATTTATATATTAGATACTTGACAATTGTTATGACAGCCATTACATGGCCCACTTTCTTAAACTCAGAGCAGTAAGAGGAAAAAAAGACAAAAAAGAAATTCTCTTTTCATGAGAATTCATCTTTTCATGAAAGGTTTTGTTCCCATAAAATTTTTGGCCATTAATTTTTTTCTTTCCTTTAAATCTTCCGAGTGTGTGATTTTGGAGCATTCTTATATATTATTATGTAGCTTCAGCTAAGTTTCTCCTGCTGATGTACCTCTTCAATGGATTTTTAAAACTGGAAGTGTCCATACACATGCACACACGCACACACACACACACACACACACACACACACGTAATTATAAATCATATAAAATACCTTTGAGTATTTCTTAAGTAGAAAAAAAGAGAAAGGAGGAAAGAAAGTACTAATTATCTACCTTTTCTAGTCTCCATCCCACTTTCTGATAGTAGATACAATATAAAAACAAAAGCTTGCTCTGGCAATAGTATGGGGAGCTGTGACATCACTTTTTTATTAATGTTGTGTGAACCTTGGAAAATGATAAATACATCTTTGGTTAGTACCATGAAAACCATCAGACCTTTAAAAACAGATATTATTCATGTAATTACTTGTTCAAGACTTGCTAATGTCCATAGGAAAATGTAGACCTTACCTTTCTTTGGCCTTTTGTGCTAAAAACCTTGTTTCTTTTATATATTTGCTGAATAGTTTATGTATTTTCAGAATGCAGGTGCTTTAAAATGATTGCAGGTTAAACAATGAAATTAGGGGATCGTCACTTTTAATTTTGCTGGGATATGAGAGCTTCATTGAATGCTTGGCTTGCTCGAAGATTCCATTTACATTATTGTTAGGAAGAACTTTGTATTATTAATGGTTCTCCGGAGAAGTGGAAACAACAGAATGTGTATGTGTGTGTGTCTGTGTGTGTGTGTATTTACTATAAGGAATTGGTTCACAAGTTCAGACCTAGGAGAGCCACTGGTATAGTTCCAGCCTATGTCTGAATCCAAAGGCAGAAGACAGATGTCTCAACTCAGTGAAAATCAATCAGTCAGAAAGAATTCTTTCTCACTTAGCCATTTATTCTATTCAGGACTTCGAGAGATTGGATGAGGCCCACACACATTGGGGGAGGACAATTTGTTGCACTCAGTCTACTGATAGAAATATTAATCTCATCCAGAAATGCTTTCACAGACACACCCATAAATAATGTTTCACCAAATATCTGGGTATTATAGAGCCAATTAAGTTGACACAAAGTTAACCATCACAGACTTATTTACTCTGCAATAGTCACTGGGCTTGCTTGCTTTTTTTTTTTCTTCTGCAAACAGAATAATAGAAAATCAAAACAGGATGGATTTCTCTTTATTAAAAGTCTCCAGACATCCTTCTTTTCTCATTTTTTTTCACCAGTCTTATGAACCAAAAAAAGCAACTCAAAGAAAAATCACTGTGCTATCCAAAATGTAGTATTTACTGCTTTTCCCCCAATTTGCTTTTCCTGACACTAACTAAATTTGATATCTATTTCTCCATTTAGCCTCCATAGAAGCACAGATCACCGTGGTACCCAGTAACTCTGGAAAATCCACTGGTAAGTACAGATACATCAGGAAGTAATAGAAGCTGTTTCTATATTATATAATTAAAGTCACCAGTGGTTAATTTTCTTACTAACCAATGAGTGTAAACATAGTATCAGAAAAGAGACAATAGCAGCGGTTATACCTGTCATAAGCAACCATATGAAACTGCTGTCTTTAAATAGTAAACTTTTTTCTTCTTTTTTTTGAAATGGAGTCTCACTCTGTCACCCAGGCTGTAATGTCGTGATACGACCTCAGCTCACTGCAACCTCCGCCTCCCAGGTTCAAGTGATTCTCCTGCCTCCGCCTCCCAAGTAGCTGGGATTACAGGCATGCAGCACCGCGTCTGAGTTTTTGTATTTTTGGTAGAGACGGGGTTTTGCCATGTTGGCCAGGCTTGTCTTAAATTCCTGACCTCAAGCCATCCACCCACCTTGGCCTCCCAAAGTGCTGGGAAAAATTGTAAACTTGTTTTAGTCCGTTCGTGCATTGCTATAAAGAAATACCTGAGACTGGGTGATTTATTTATTTTTTAAAAAAGAGGTTTAACTGGCTCATGACTTTACAAGCCGTACAGGAAGCATGATGCTGGCATCTGCTCAGCTTCTGGGGAGACATCAGGAAAGTTACAATCATGACGGAAGGCAAAGGGGGAGCAGCTCTTCACATACCCTGAGAAGGCGCAGGAGAGAGAGTAGGGAGGTGCCCCACACTTTTAAACAAGCAGATCTCACAAGAATTCACTAACATGACAACAACAGCAAGGGGGATGGTGTTAAACCATGAGAAACTGCCCCCATAATCCAATCACCTCCCACCAGGCCCCACCTCCAACACTGGGGATTACAACTGAACATGAGGTTTGGACTGGGATACAGATCCAAACCATATAAAAACTGTATTTATTTGAACATTTAATTGTGTCATTTATTGAACACTCATTAGTGAAACATTGACTAAATTCAAAGTATTGCAAAGTCTTTTCAGGTAACATAAAGATGAATAAAATATTCTACCTTAGATTTTAGCAGGAAAGATATGCAGGAAAACACCTAGCAATAGGGTTTAAACCTAAATAGCCATGCATCTATCCAATGTGAAGAATGAGGTAATTGACAGATTCAAGTAATTTTTAGAAGTCCAGGCAGGTAGCACTAAAAAGGCCTGAAAATGGCAATAAAGCTTTGGCCAGTTATGTGAACCAGGAAAATATGTCCAGTCTCTGACTGAGACTGAAAAAAGCAAAGAGAACAATGAAGAAATAGGTCAATTACCACAAGTGGAATTTCGGAATGGAACTCTATTTAGAAGAATTGGAGCACATCATGTGAGAAACCAGACATTTAGAATTAGGTCAGAACCCATTCAAGAGAAATACGGCACTTTACTGGGATCAGATTAATATCAAGGGCAACTGATGCTTAGTCAAAAATGTTGCTAAATTTAAAGGATTGTAGATATTACTCATTTCAGTTGAGATTTGATTTGGGGTTTTGGATGCTTTACTGAAACTTCTAGTGACAGAGTAACAAGTTACAGAAATCAAGGTCCCCAGCTTCGAGAAGCTGAAGTTTTACATCTTTTTCTTTCTTTCTATTTTATCATAGATTTTCTTCAGGCATAGATGATAAAAGGCACAGGTTTTATAGTTAAATGAGCTAGGATCAACACTTTTTGTTACTAAATGGGTGATATTATGTGAATCATTTAAGCTTCTCATCATTAGTTCCTTTACCTTTAAATGCTTACATGGTAAATTGATTGCATTGAAGGTCTTAATTTTTCACTTTTCCTATTGTGGGTGGAACATTTTGGCACACTCATTGGCTCTGGAAATAACTATGTGATATGAATTGATCAATGGAATTTTACCAAACATAATGCATAATAGAGTTTTTCAGTTATTTATTGCTGCATAAGAAATCACTCCTAAAATTAGTGACTGAAACAAAAACTATTTTATTTTTCCACAGTTTTGTGGGTCACAAACTTGGACTTGGCTCAGCTGCAGTTCTCTGCCAGTCTTGCCTGATGTGGCTTATGCAGATGCATTTATCTGGTGGTTGGATTTAGGGACTGGTTTTCCTAGTAGTTCTCAGCATGGTGGCTGGTCTTTGGCTGGGCTCCAAGAGGTCTCATACTCCAGTAGGCCTTATGGAGTTTCCTCACATAGTAATACAACTTTCCAAGAAGATGAAAGCAGAAGATGCAATGCCACATGAGGCCTATGCTCAGAAGTTAAACAATGTCACTTTGCCAAATTGTATAGGTCAAAGCAAATCACATGGCCACCCCAGATTCAATAAATGTGTAAACAGACACATTACAAAGAAGCATATATAAAGAGATGGGAGAAATAATTGTGGCTTTCTTTATAAACGATAAGACATACAAAGTGTGAAAAGTACTTGAATATTGGGTCTGGCTCTCTTGTTACTTTGGTTTAACTGCTATTACGCCCCCCAGCTAGCCTGCTGGAAGATGAGACACATGGAACAGAGCTATATGACTATATAAGCCCATTCTCACGTTGCTGTAAAGAACTGCCCAACACTGGGTAGTTTGTAAAGAAAGAGATTTAATTGACTCACAGTTCCACATGGCTAGGAAGGCCTCAGGAAACTTGCAATCATGGTGGAAGGGGAAGCAGGCGTGTCTTACATGGCAGCAGGTGAGAGAGCGTGAAAGGGGAAGAGTCCCTTATAAAACCATCAGATCTTGTGAGAACTCACTTATTATCATGAGATCAGCATGGAGGAAACGGCTCCCATTATCCAATCACCCCCCCACCAGTGTGCTCCCTTGACACGTGGGGATTATAGTGATTACAATTCAAGATGAAATTTGGGTGGGGACACAGTGCCAAGGCATATAAATGACACATCATTCCTATACTAGACTAGTCAGGAATCAGCTGACCTCCAGACATGAATGAGTCCAGCCAAGACCAACTAGCTAACACACAGCTGACTACAGATGCATGAGGGAATCCAGTCAAGATCTCAGAATCACCAATTTGACTCAAAGACTTATGAGCAATAAGCATTTGTTTTGTTTAAGCCACAAAATTTTAGGATATTTTAATAAAGGTACATTTTCAGAGGAGTTTTTTTGTGCAGATATAGGAGTGTGTATGTGTGGAGGGGTGCATGTATATGTGCATGTGTGTAATAAATGTGATAAAGGCTCTGTATAGTGCCTAGCATACAGGATGGTCAACAAGTGTCCACCAAATGGATAGATACAGATGCTAATGAATATTAGCAAATATCACAAAATTTTCCTCAAGAGTCTGTGGCATTAGGGTGTCACAAAAAACCCAACTTTGGATAATTGTAGATACATTTCTTTTTTTTTAAGTAAATTTTCTTTGGTGGATTGACTATGTATTTGAGCTAAGACTGATTACTTATATTATTTTACAACATACATCAGTGGGTTTCTCTGGGGAAGCCAGAAAAGCAGTGTGCTTTATGAGGCTGCTTTGACCGAGAACAATCTACTCAACGTTATCAAAGCTTTATGTTAAATGATTAGAAAACATGGATCAAAAAGTGACCTGCTTTGTTTGATCGCTTTCATGATTAATACAAAGTGATTTGATCTAATGCAAAACAGATCACTTTTTTCATTAATCATGAGAGTGATCTTTGCGTTAATCATGAACAAGTGATCTAAATCTCTGTTCGGTTAAGCTGCAGCAGTTACTATTACATTTTAGAGTAAGATTGTTTTCCTCTAGAAGCTTTGTGTCAAGATAGGATTTCATCATACAAGAAGAATATATCAAACACCCTCTTCTATGAGAGACTACTCCCAAACAGTACATAAAGAGGTAAAATTTGCTTTGGTTTGGGTGGACTGAATTCTAGCTAGTGTGTTTGCACATAGAATTTGTCTAGAAGGCAGCCTTAAAGTCTAACTAGGCATAATTTTACCATGTTTTAATGCATCATATGTTTAGGGCATTGTTTTTCAAATCTTTTATGTTTTCCACTTAGTTTTCAGAAAGAGAGAGAGAAATGTTTGTCAGTTGAAAAGAACTTACATGTAAAATAATTGAAAGATCTCATTCTGAAGCCCCTTAATTATTCTAATCTTGTTTTTATTGTCAACTGAAGAATGACAAGGTTCATGAATTTGGAAAGGAGAGCTTTATTTCTCATAAAAGGTTGCAGCTTTCAAGGTGGCCATTTTGACAGGCTAGGAAGCATAATCTCTGACTAGAAGTCAAAAACAGACACTTCAGGGGAGGGGAAAAGGGAACAAGAATTTTTACTGAACAGAATGGCCAAATATACATATTCAATAATCTATACGAGGAGTCATGAATATTTATGAGGAGAAATGTGTGCATGTGCAATTGAGATTTATGCCCCTCCATGAGTCCCATGTACAAAAAATTGCCACTTTAGCATAATTCTAGGGTGAACTTTTTGGCCCTCTGACATCAAAAGGTGAAGCAAGGACACAAAATACTTTACTGTGCATTCTCCATAGACTGGACAGAACCAGTGCATGGTTGGTGGTCTCTTATTAGGCAAGAAAGAAGGGGCAGCATCAGGTGGTTTGTTGATACCAGCAGTGGAATCTTTTGAAAGAGTTTGTTTCTGTTAAACCCTTAGGGAAGAAAGCATAATTATGGTTAGCGAGAGAGGGGAATAATAAGGTTTGTCTGACCATCCCCCATTCTATCATGGCTGAAAACTCAGTTTTCAAGTTTACTCTGTGGTCCCCTTGACCAAGAGAGGGTTCCCTCAGACAGTTGGGGCACTTAGACTTTTATTTTTAGGTTACAGTCTCCCCTTTTAGGCCAAAATCTGTCAGAGGCAACATCAGTGGCCAAAGTTTTATTTTGTTCCATATTGTTGCTGGGGTGGTGTGGCTACCTGCCCCAGGTTCACTGTGTCCCTCAGTGGGACCCCTATGGCCAAGGGACTTAGAGCCAAAAGACTTACAACCAGTTTAAACATTCTAGGCCAGACAGGAATGAAGGTGGGCAGGCACCCACCAACCCTTAATACCTTTTAAGCAACACAACCAAAAACCAAATCTAAAAAGCAAGATTACAAAACTGACTTATCCATAAGTTCTACATGTTAAGTTACTTTAATCTTGGCTTTAGTTACAGACTTGCAGCAATAAATTATACAAAACATAAATGTTTTGCTAAAACCATTTAAGTGAAGGAATCTAGAGACTTTTATTGTGTCATAATCTTTTTGTGATTTCTTTTTTAATCTGTTCTAAGGTGGCCCAAAATTTCTTGTATCTCCATTTATATAAACCCCATAACTGGTAACAACTATACCCAGAAGATTCTGTCACCAGATACCTTTTTATCCTTTCAGTAATTTTTTATGGTTGGGATGGAAAAAAAGCAGCCCCATAGTGGCCTAGCAGGCAAAGTCTCACAGTTTATCAGCTTTTTTAGGCATATGTGTGCTCATCCTTGATTAAGAAAGTCTGAACTAATTCTGTCCCTTGACACTGGCCCTTCCAACCTCATGCACTCTTCTGCAGTAGTCTCTGGGCCTAGAGGGAGGGTGCTTCTGTAATTTTAACAGCAGGATGTTGGTAATAAAAACCAGATCAGACCCAACGGGATTCCAAATGAGGAAAATTCAAAAACCTTGACAAGTCATCTCTAGCCTTTGAAATATCATGATTCTGATTTTCTTAGGAAAAGTAAGACAATAAGAGATAAATAACATTAATAAATAGACAATCAAAAGAGAATTAGTGTCAGAATGGAAAAAGAAGTTTATGCGATTAGGAAGCTAACTAAAACATCATGAAGAAAATGACAACCTGGTTATTCTTTAGAGGCTTATTGTAGCCAAGACGTAATTCATGATTCAATCCACCCTTAAAAACAAAGGTCAGGGCAGAAATTTAGTAATAGGACAGTTTTCCTTTGAAACATAATTTCTGTCTATCTAGTCCCCCTTTTCTACCAAAGAGAAATGATAGTAAAACCAATATGTGTGCAAATAAGTCTTAGGCTTATTTTTTTAGGCTTATAATACGTGACCTGATTGAAGTATCAAGTACAGAAAGAACTGATTGGCCATATAGGCCCTTTTTAAGTTGGCTTTGCTGGAACTTTACCTGCAAATATGTTATTCTAGTCAAAGCCTTGGTAAAACAACTGTGTCTCCAATTGCGTCCGGTTTCAAAGGAAAACAGATTCTTACTGAACTTATGCCAATAATTATATAGCCATAGAAGAAGAATACTCACGCATAATTTCCAGATTTTGAGGAACTCAGGAAGAGAAACTCTTCCCAAACTCTTATGGACCTCTTTTGGGGACTTCATTTGTACACTACTGTCTCCATTAGAGTGATTCAGCACAGGGTGTCCGGATCATTTTATGTCCTTCAGTCATGGGAGTGACTTCAGGTAGCATCCTGTAACCAGATAGTTAATGCCCCTCAAGTGGAAATTCTCTAGTCCAAATTCACAGTAGTTGTCATTGGAAGGCACCGTATTATTCCATTCTCGCATTGCTATAAGAAACTACCTGAGACTGGATAATTTATGAAGAAAAGAGGTTTAATTAACTAACAGTTCCATGGACTGTACAGTAAGCATGGCTAGGGAGGCCTCAGGAAACTTACAATCATAGTGGAAGGTGAAGTGGAAGCAAGCACTTCTTCACATGGTGACAAGAGAGAGAGTGAAAGGGGAAGTGCTACACACTTTTAACAACCAGGTCTCATGAGAAAGAACTGACTATCATGAGAACAGCAAGGCAAAGTCAGCTCCTGTGATCCAACCACCTCACATCAGGCCACTCCTCCAACATTCAAACCATGTCAGGGACTCACAGACTTTGGCCATATGCACCAGTAAACACTCCACAAAGGGCTATCAAGTGGAGAATTTGTCCATACCAGTATTCCAGCTCCCACTCTACAGTCAGTGGACTCAGACACTTTCCTTTCTTTCTTTTTTTCAGTCATGGTCTCATTCCGTCACCCAGGCTGGAGTGCGGTGGCACGATGACAGCTTACTGCAGCTTCAAACTCCTAGGCTCAAGTGATCCTCCCACTTCAAACTCCCTAGTAAGTGAGACTACAGGCACAAGCAACAATGTCCGGCTATTTTTTTTTTATTTTGTGTAGAGATGGGGTCTACTATCTTGCCCGGGCTAGTTTCAAAATTCTACGTTCATGTGATCCTCTCACCTTGGCCTCCAAAATTGCTGAGATTACAAATGTGAGCCACGATGCCTGGTGGCTCAGGCACTCTTACTGGTTCTTATTTGGCATATCCAATTAATATTGCTTACCAGGCAGACTTACATGTCTTCCTTTTTGTGGAATTGGGTAGGGGAAACATTCCCGAGTCAGATACAGTATCCATTTTCATAAAACATTTAGGTAAAGGAGTCACAACTACTTTACATAAAGCCTGTTTTAAACATTCTAACTTTCATAATCCTATATCTAGCAGTTTTAATTATACCTATTAACTACTATTCTAATTCTTAGTAACCCTGATTTTTAGTGAAAACCCTAGGATTAGTTAATTTATCATAACATGACTTTAAGATTTTTTTTACTGAAGAGAATTTTGAAACTTGTTTTATTTATCAAAGATTGCCAAAGTCATGTATACTAAAAGGCATTTGAGCTAGTTTCTATTTTTCTGATACAATATTTGATTTAAGCACTGAATTTTTATTTAAGCCAATTTATCAGAGCTCTTTCATATAATTTGGCAGTGAAATCAAAGAGAGAGGGGGAAGGAGTAAGGGAGGGGAGAGGAAAAAGGGGAGGGGGGGACCTGTAGAAAGAAAAAGAGAAAAAGGAGAATGAGAAACAGAAAACTCTTCTCCCTTCTCCCCCAAGGCATTTAATCACCTCTGAGTGTTACTTCAAGTGTTTCTTCCTTTTCAGAGCAAGATCCACCTATTAGCCTTGTATTATGCTGCAGAGGCAAATCTTTGAACAGAACAGAAATAGATTACTGACATAAGGCAAAAAAAAGTGAATGAAGAGATAAAATAATTTGGATTTTATTGACCAAAATCCAAGCACTCTTAATGTCCAAATCTGCTCTTAGATGACTGGAGTTTAATCTCTTTTGTGACTGTAACAAATATAATAGTGGGCTAGCAGTGACTGATGTTACAGGTATGTATCCAGATGCACAGAACAGCACGAAATTTATTTCTAAGAAGTCCCACATAATAAATAAACAGAGTTGCTATTATCATTATTACTAATAAGTGACATAAATAGAAAAACATGCTTTCAAATATTCTATCCCAGATAGTAGAGTATTTTTATAAGCAAAATATTAGCTTCACAGATTTGTTGTTCCTGGTTGCTGAAGCAAAGAATTCAGGCAAGGAATTGGAGGAATTTGTTTCTCAACCTTTTCCCATTAATACCTAGTCAGTATTTGATCTTGGGCAAGTGCCCCAACCTCTGAATTTTAGATTTTTTCCAATTTAACTTACTTGCCTAAAAATATTGCAAACAAGATAACATTTTTATGAAGGAAAAATACTCTATGGAAAGCAGTATAGAGGATAAAGTTTCATTTTTGCCTATACTTATAATAATAATTGGACTTAAAATAATAATTTGGACTCTTTCATCAGGAATAAACTGCCTACTTCATGAGTTCCTATATAAATAAATCTAATATTTTCAGTTGTTGTTCTTCAGAGTCTTTAAATTACATTGTATTTTTTATAAAAATAATATTAATTTCATCACTCATTATTCTTCCTTATATGGGGTTCTCAATATTAGAAGCTTTCTTTCAAAATTTATAATCATTCCTTGATATTATTATCATTTTATAGATAAAATGACCTTGAGTTTAGAAGATTTAATTAACTTGTTCGAAATCATTGAAGAACTAGAAATGTATTCCTATTATGTGAGATTATATCCAATATGTATATAGCCCATGGCTACAAGGAGAGTGGAATCTGGTAGCAAAGAAAAGTTCAGATGTAACTGTTACTACAGTTGAAGAGAGATAGTGGTAAACACTATAAAAGTAAAATAGAAAAAAGTAAAGAAATATTGGAAATAATAGAGATTATCTCTACATATAGGGATCAAGAAGAAGCTAAAATTTGAGAAGGATATTAAAGGGTCTGGAAATATAAAAATGCAGAGGCAGAGAAATATCAATTTGACTAGCAGAGCCTTAATGATACATTTGTGGAAATAAAATTAAGAGATGATATTTGGGACATTCTGTACATACATTTCTCTTTTGTCTTTTCAAACACATGACTTTGCTCTGGCTGTCTCAGGGTGTTCATATGCCTGGAGTGACAGTGAGACTTGTTCTCATGGAAAGGAAAATGGAGAACTGAGGCAAGATTTATAATATGCAAAAAGGAGATGTTTTTGTCAAAGTGATTTTAAAAACAAAAGAAATATCTAAAATTATTTATCATCCAGTGATCATCTCAATTACTAAATTAGAGGGACTTAACTCATCAAATTTCTTCCGTAATGTAGTAAACAGAACTTTTTCTCCTGGAGTAACCAAACTATAAGGCTAGCTTCTCCAGAGAGAGAAATATTTGATTTGAGGAAGGAAAAGAAAATCTTTCATGCTGAATCAGTGAGTGTCTAGAGGAAGAAAGAGAAAGAGGAAGGCAGAGGTGATTAGTTAATAAAACTAAATAGGGGTGGAGTGGGGTTTTGCCCATGGCCTCTATTGGGCTGTCTGGAAAGAAAACTATTTGCAAACCATCCTGTACTAACCTGATGCACAGTGAGCTGTGCTGTCCTGGGTACTCAAATGTCATACACCAAACAAGACATGGCCAAGGTGCCTGCAGGTAAGTTTCCAGAGGCAATGTCATGGCAGAGGCAGAGTAGCTCTTTTGTAAGTTTTTCCTGTGAGGGAGCCATATCCAAATAAAAGTCATAGTGAATTATCAGAGGGTTCAAAGTCAAAGTCCACAAACTAGGAGAATGTGAGTTAAGGCATACTCAGCTAGAGTTACCAGTTTACAAATATAAATCAGAAATGTACAAGAGCTACAGTTTCTCTGTATCGTCGTTAATACTTAATATCAATCAGTACTGGTATTGTGAATGAAATAAAAAATGTATATCTATGTATAATTACAGCATTCTGGTGGAGATGTAGTGTCTCATTGTGATTTTAATTTGTTTTCTGTGATGACTAATGGTACTGAATATACATTCATATGCTTATTAGTCATTTGCATATCATTTTTAGTGACACACTGTTTTTCAAATATTTTGCTCATATTAAAATTACATTTTTGTCTTTTATTGGTTTCTAGAATTCTGAATTCAAATCCTTTTCTGTACCTATATCTTGGGAATATCTTCTAGTGTGTAGCATGCCTTGTCATCCTCTTATGGAAGTATTTTTGATGGCAGAACTTTTTAGTTCATTAACTTTTTTCATTTATAGTTGGTGCTTTTGTGTTTTGTTTCAGAAATATTTTCTATCCAAGTTTGAAAAAATATTGTTTTACATTTTTTTCTAGAGGTTTTTTGTTTTCTTTTGATATTTAAGACTATGATATATTTTAAATTATTTTTGTGTACGCTGTGAGGTAAAGGTTAATTTCACACTTTTCCCTTAAGGATATCTATTTGATCAACTACATTTATTGATAAGACTATTCTTTCAGTCTGAATTGTGGTGGTACTTTGCCATAAATCAGGTCAATAAGTACGTGTGGGTATATTTCTGGATTTTATATTATGCCCTATTAGTTTCTTTGTGCAGAAAGTTTTATTATAATTTTGTTTATATTTGGTATCAATTGTAATATTTGTGATTTTAAATTTTCTTCCATAGAAAATAAGTGCAAAATATGTACTTTTTGTACCATTAGTCATTACCTTGTTGTTTTTATTCTGAAATACATATGAATTGTTTGCTGTTAAAGCCTACTTAATTTTCCATAAGTAATCACAAATTCAGAATCAAAAGGGACATTTCTGCATTTGTTTTATGTATTGATTTATCAATATCTGTCTTTATAGACATTGATTTCATGTTCAGTCTGCATTATGTTGTTTATTCACATATTTATTCATAGTCTGTTGTAGGCACTGGTGCCATTACCTCCCACATTCTAATCTAGGTACTGATACATGGTATGTGTTCGTATACTATTGATTTGGACCTAACTGAAGCAGAACCTAGGGCACAAGGACCACAAAGTAGAGGTAGGAATGGGCTAGGTTGAAGGATGAAAATTGGATTCTGGGGATAGGGCCTATGGCCCACAGGAGAGGCCAAAATTTGCATCTTGTGTAATACCTCACTATGAAAATGCTGAGAAATAATAGTGATGCATTGTCCATTCTGAGCAATTTTTTTTCCTCAGAAAGACCCACTGATAGAGACAGATTTTTAATGCTATCATGTGATCTAATTTAAGTCCAATTATTAAATACTTCTTATTTAAACAGAAGATTTCCCATTTAGAACATGGCTGACACTACAGAACCCCCATGGGAGAAAAAGCTACTAAAAATGCCATTAAAAATGTATTGCAAGTAAGAGCTGCGTTTTTCATTTTTTTAAAAAAGAAAATACAAGTTACTTGATGATGGTATCAGTTTGCTTTGAGTAGTTTTTTATCACAGATTTCAAAGGGAGATTGCTTTGAAGCACACCTTTGCTGAGACATAAAAACAAAATTTGGCTAAAGCTGACAGTTTGCTACAGTGGCTTAGTCCAGAATATAGGAAGAAATAGGGGGCCTTCTCAATTGCAATGAACAACTACCAAGCCTGCCTCCTCCTTTTTACTATTGGGTATGTTGAACATTACACATCTTTTCTGCTGAGACAGCATAAATTTTGTCATTGGCCTTAAAATTGATGATATTCTTATTAAATTCAAAGAGTATGCTTTAACAGTATCATGTTTGGCTCCCAAAGAGCAAAATGGGAGGATAAATGTGAATCAGAAAACTCTGTTTTTCAGTAAAACGATTGCGTATGTGGCAAAGGCAATGGCCAATAAGAGTTGATATGTGGTGGTCATTAACTCTGCACAATATTCTGAAGGAATTTTTCCCCCACATTTTCCTTTCCCAAAAGGAATAACCAGACAGAATTTCAGTAAGCACTTTGAATCAGTTATGTGGGTTCTTAAGGAACAATACTCAACAGAATAGTTCAGGTGTCATGAAATAGATCATTACCATTTTCCTAAAGCAGCATAGTAATAAAAGAACCAAAAATACAGCAGTTGGGCAAGTAACTGATGGCTGCTTTCCCGGTCTAAAAAACCTAACCATTCTTTAAAGACATAAATTAGAAGATTTCTTGTAATCACTCCAATATACTGGATTTTGATGTTTTTGTAATTACGTTATTTTCACCTATTCATCCTACTTAAGCATCTTGCAGATAGAGTCTTGATGCAATTTGTTTAGTATGACTACAACACCTTTCTAAATATTTAGTATATTGGTTATAGCACATAACACCCAGAATGCCATTACTCTTAATGCATCTGTTCTCAGGGACTGTGTCTTCTCCTTCAGAATCTTTTTACTCTGTAATTAACAAATAAATATATTTCATGGCAGCGTCTGGTAGAGTCTTGACTTTAAAAGATAGATAATTTCTACTGCCGCACAAGTAAGTTTTTATCTACATTAAGGAATCACAAAAGACATTTATCAAAAAATTTAGTCAATCAGGATATTAGCAGAAAACAGGAGGCACACTCCAAGAGTCAGAAGAAGGGACTGATTACAAAGATACAAACAGTCAAAAAAAGAAAAAAAGCAAGAAAGGACGGTTAAACATTTGGGGGTCCACAACAGTGGAAAGACATTACTGTGCCAAAGCTTTGTGGTGTATCAGAACCCAGTGATAGCTGTAGCTGTGGGAGATGGGCTGCCCAATAGTAGCTGTGGACACCCAGCGAGGAACACAGCTACTGTTAAAATCATGGCTTGGAAGCTGAGGTGTGGTGAAAATCCGTACCTGATAACTTTGTCCTCTTAACCCTGATCTCTGTGAGTATTTTTTATTAGTTGAAACCAATAGGATGCCAGAGGGCAAGAGATGCCAAGTGATGTGGTTCTGGGACAAAGATCAGGGCACAGGATGAATTCAGAAGGGTAAAAGTAAATGATGGGTAATCAGTACAATCCACCTTTTCCCCAATTAAATTCATTCCTGTTCTTTATTTAGATAGATAAATCTGAAACACAACAGAAAAATCCCCCTAAACAGGGGAAACATAAAGACGTATTAATCTCTTCATCACCTTGAGGAGATGTCAATGTAGCTAGAATCCCACCAAGAACCTTAGTTGGAACATTATTGGGCATCAGTGCCCTTCACATAAAAGTATCAAATATCAGGAGTGGATGGAAAGGAGAAAAATAATAATTAAGAGAAAACATAGCCGATTACAGTGCCTACATGTGTGGCTGACTATAAGGCTTACGTTACAAAGCTCATTGAAATATTTACCTTCCTTCTTTGTTCACCAGTTTCATATTAAAAAAAAATTCTCTGCCAACATCATTTGGTGAGTTTTGTTTTTTTCCTGGGCGGGGTTGGGGGGGTGTCTCCTGGGCGGTGGTAGGGTGGGGATTAGTTTACATGAATCTTCATCCCTAAAGGAACCGAGTACCTACTGGTCCTGTCTTACGTTGCCTTCATTTCCTATTGGCAACTAATAATAGAATGGCTGAGCCAACATGTTCCACAGTGAGTTGCCTGGGTTTTGAGGGGTCTTTTTGCCCCCACTAGTTGGAAGAAAAAAGTTTCCTTGGCAATTGAATTAATTATTCAACCCATAGCATTGACCCTTTTCTCTGCCTGTTGGTACATCAAAATGAAAAGTTCATGTTAGCTCGAGATAAGTCTTAATTTCTATTTCAATAGAATCATGATTATGCTCCCTGATGGAAGCATTAATTCTTTGGATACTCACTTTCCTAACACACTGATGCCACATCTACTTTACTACTAGTGTAATGTAAGAGGGGCTATTCCCACATCTACTTCTTGTTTCCCAGATCCGTTCATATATTATATCTGCAGAGGGGATGGCACTACTTATTGATTTAAGGCATATTCTACATCATGTATAACAGCATCACAAACAGTATCACCACCTACCTAATATCATTATTTAGCCTTTGGCAGCCAGTTTACCACTTTGGCAAAGCAGCTGCTCTCTGAGGAATATAAGACCAGAGAACACCTTGAGGGAAGCCATTGGTACATTTCCTTCATTGTAATATGTGAAGGAAACATTTTTCAGAAATGTTTCGGAAAATTTGATTTCTTTCTTCCTTTTCATTTTTGCGTGTGTGTGTGTGTGTGTGTGTGTGTGTGTGTGTGTGTGTTTTCAGGATACAGAGATGATGAGTAAGGAATTTTGTTGGTCCCTGAGTAGCAACAATAAGAGAGTTTGCAGACACAAAGGCAAATCTGTGTTTGGAATATGAATCTATTCCTATGTGTACAACATTTTTGATAAAAGGAGCCTAAAGTAATCAACTTTCACCTGGTGAATATCTGGCTTCCCAGGAAATGTTCATATTAGAGGCTTAGTGTTTACTTCTACTTCTGCTTTTAGCATGTTGGATACTCAGCAATATCTGTGACAAGATCAGCTTTAGTGAAGGGAAATCTACCTTATTAAGCCCATGTACAGCCTCCACCCCTGTCACTATGGCCACTTTGTAAATGGGCCCATTAAATGAGCAATTTATTGGCCAAGGGTAGAAGCTGACTTATATTTACACAACAGGTAATTTTGTTCACTTGATTAGTGACAACCTTTACTTCATGGTGGAAGATTGATGTGGCCCATGAGTGTGGCCCACACTCTGCCCATTCTGAGATGTTTATTCACAACCCTCTCTCCTAGAATCCTTTGTCATTCATCTCTTAATCTGGTTCTTTCAATACCATGATCAATAACTAACCTGTTATCTTCTGACTATCAATTAATGTAAATTTCATATCAGGTCATTTATCTCTCCTTCCAGATGTCCATGGAAAGTGGACAAACAGATATAGTGACCAAGATTTCCCATTCCTGTTTTCTAGGATATACTTTCTAACTAGTGGTCATGATGTTAGCATAAGAGATCTGAAGAAATTGTACTTTTAATTGACATTGCATCTCTACAGTATTTACAATAAGGCTTTGTACCTGATCCACAGTCATGTCTGCAGTCAGCTATGTGAGATAAGCTGTGTAAATGCTTTCTGCATTTTGAAAAGAAATTTCAGGCTTTGAGTTTATTTGTGTGTGTGTGTTTGTGTTAGTCAAAACCAACAAGCCTATTTCCACTTTATAAATCAACAATGTGAACACAGCAACTAAGCACCATAGCAAATTCATCTCCCAAAGCTTCCTTCCACTATGCTCCATCTCATTCCACCTCTGAAAATTTGAATAGCTATGATTCCACTGTATTCATGGAGTACCAGTGTCCTATTGCCCCCTAGCAAAGAGGTTATCTGTGTGCTCATCAAGTATGTGAGACATCAATCCTGAAATGCAAATTTGAGGGTCTGTTTCCTGGCAACATTCCTGGAAAAATTCTTGTATCAGCCATGGTTCTGGCAAAAATCATTGACATACTCAAAGAGGTTATTAAAAATAGTGTAAAAATGGGATTATTTACAAAGTGAGGGCAGGATTAAGGGTAATAAAAGAATAAAGTTCCCAGGAGCTAGCAACAGTTACTAGGTAACAGTTACCAGGAGCAAGGTTTTGCCATGTCTAGTCTTAAAGGGGAAAAGAAGAAAACATGTTATTGGACTCCGATGAGAGAAGGCACTGGCTGAGTGTTGAGCATGCAGAAAGGACCCTAACATTATAAACACCGCAGGCCATTAGGAGAAGCTAATGGGCTCTCTCCTGCTCCCCACTGTCCTTCCAGTGCCTCCAATGGGTTGACTGCACCTGGACAACAGAGGTCAAGGGATCCTGACAGATGCAATCCATTAAGTTCAGCAACCAAGGTACAGAGAAAGGTGGGCCACAGAGCTGGGAGAGTAAATGAAGAATGTCCCGTACAGAGCATAGATTAATTACATTTTTGGCTAATAAATGAATGTCTTCAGATTAGCATATTTCTGCTTTCTTCTTTTATCTATAAATCTATATTTTTGTTATTTTAAAACATAATATCCACAGAGTCCTTTGAGGTTGAAACAAAGAAAAGTTTTAAAATTTACTCTACCCACTGGAATATGGGTCATATCAGGGTGGGAGATACCCTGCTCCAATCCTATATTAGTTTCCTAGGGCTGCCATAACAGAGTACCACAAAGTGGGTGGCTTAATCAGCAGAAATTGATTGTCTCACAGCTCTGGAGGTCAGAAGTCCAAGATGGAGATGTCGGCAGGGTTGGTTCCTTCAGAGGGCTGTGAGGAGGAATCTCTTCCTAGCTTCTGGTGGTTTGCAGGAACTCTTTGGTATTTCTTGTGTTACGGAAGCATCACCCCAATCTTTGTGCTCATCTTCACATGGTGTTCTCCTTGTGAGTGTAGTGTGTATACTTGTGTCCAAATTTTCCCCTTTTTAAGGACACCAGTCACATTGCATTAGGGACCCACTCTATTCTCCAGTAAGACTTTGTACATTAACTTATGTTAAGTTACATCTGTAATGACCTTCTTTCTAAATAAGATCAAATTCTGAGGTACTGGGTTTAGGATATCAATGTAAATTTTGGTAAAACTCAATTCAACCCATAACAGATCTCAGTGCCTAATACAATGTATAACTCAGAGCAGGTGCCCAATACATGTGTTTGAATAAATGTGTGGGTAGTAAAAGAGTAAATTGGAGTAGAAGAGTAGATCAGAACCAATTTATTTATTTATTTTACAATTTTGGGGTGCTCAATTATACTCTATCCATTAATGTACATCTGATTTTCCTGAAAACTATTAAGTTAAGATACTTGAACTCTTTTCAAACAGAATCTTCTATTTGCCCCTAATGATTCATTGGTGATATAAGAACTCTTTTGCATGTTGCTTGATAAATCTTTCTACCTCTGATGGTGCCCACTCAGCCAGTTTTGGAGACAGATAGAAATCTCTCAAGCCCATAAATGTCATTCTGACCTCTGTATGATCAGTTTACTTCCTAGATCATGAAGTTTGATTTAAAAATTATTGCCTGAGCTGGTTACCTGAAAGGGCTTTTAAAGCTCATAAAATAATTCAATCACTTTAAAATCTAATTTTGATATTTATCCCAGTGATAACCTGTGCATAAGAACAATTAAGATGATTTTTCCCAACACCCTTTGAGTCATTTACTCAAATTAATTTCACTTGCTGTCCTACTGCGGGTCCTGCTACCTATTGCAATTAAATTCAACTTTACTTTCTAATATTCACAGGCAACTTGTTCCTTTCCAGTATTTAAAATTCACAGGAAGCCTTGTCTTTTCCAGTAAACACTGTCCAACATTTTTGAATGTGAAAAACAGTGATTCTGAGGTTTTCAGTTTTCCCATCTAATTTTCTCCTGCCAAATCTAAAGTAACAATAATATGTTTACAAGGTTTTCTGCAGGAGCTCTAGTACCTTACAATGTAGTTTTGTGTAGACAGCCCTGGAGTTGGAACTCGATTTTTAAGTTAGGACCCAAGTTAGGAATTTATGTATTAAATATGATAAAGCTGTATATCATTATATATAAGCAAGTATTTAGTTTTATTTTCTGTATTTAGTTATTATTTGATCATTTTGTATTCACGGCAATCCCATTATAAACCCCCTTTAACAGATAAGGACATTTTAAGAGAGATTAATTAATCTACCCAAATGTATGACTAGGTAGTGATGGCAGAATTAGATTTAGAACTATCACTGTCTGCACACAGAGTCCACCATACTTTACACCATCATCTACTATTTAAGAGCAACAAAGTAGGCAGGCTGGACCCTCCTCAAACCAATGCTGGTTTCTATGCCTTGAACTCCCTCTGCATAGATAACTAGGTAACTCCTTCTCTTTTTTTGAGATTTTGCTTTGACATCAGTTATGCAGAGATACCTTCCTTGCCACATTTGTCATTCTCTTTGGTGAAATTTATTTCACTCATAATTTCTTGTTTAATGTCTCTCTCCCTCATACGGTGGTAAACTCTTTTAGGAAGGGGTGTCTCTGACTTGTTTACCACCCTATTCCCAGCACAAACTATAGGTATGTGCTCTGTATATGTTTCTTGATACATCCATGAGAAAAAACACACGTCACTGTGTTTATTTTGCACATGCCCTAGAAGGCAAAGAAACATCCCAGCAAGCCTTATGCTCGGTGTGTCTCAAGTAAAATTCAGACAGAACAGTCAGGGTTTGTAAAGAAAGCCCCTCCTTTCTCTTCAAATGTTCTGAAAATTTATGCAAGAGATAACAACAAAATGCCTGTTTTAGAGGCCATTAAGACTCCATGAAATGCTAAAAAAACACATACACATACATAACACATAATACTCTTTTCTACTAAGCTATATAAGATGGATGCATTTGATTAAAACAAGAATTAGTACTCCAAAAGGCACTAGCTTGGGTAATATTTTCCATTTTAATTGGGATTCTTATTGTTCACAGCATGTGTTCTCACACACACTGAACCTATGCTTTACATCTCCCACTTTAGAGACCATAGTTTACTTATTGGATCAGACCTATTTAAAATTCACGTTAATAAGGTTGTAATGCAAGTATGGATTACAAATAAGAAGTAAAGTGGCTTTCATTAAAACATATGAAAGAATTTGTTCATATTACGATGATTAAGCATAATGAATTAATTTAGGATGCTTGTTTCTATGGAAAAACCCATAGATACCAGCTTGGCAAATTTCAGCCCAATAACTTCTAGTCAAGTAGTTCTTAAAGCTTCCTGAACATCAGAATAATTTGGGGGAGTATTCATAGGTTATGTCGAAATAAAAATGGAGAGATGAATCTCTAACATTTTATTTGGGAAGAAAGAATTGCAATTCAGGGTGTATATGCAGACCAAGCGGTCTTCAGTATGTTTGAAGGACAAAGAGAAGGCTAGAGGTTTTATAAAAAAGAACAAATGTTATGCATGATCTTGAGAAAGTTCATTGGCACTAGTAAGAGTTTGGGGAGCTGGCAAGCTCCAACTGGTGAATGATGGCAGTGAGCAAAATTAGTCCTAGAGTTGCAGCAAGTTATCTCACAAACTGTAGATAAAAGTGGTTTCAGGTTATACAACAAGCAGTTTCATCAGTCAGTCTTGCAGAGAATTACATTCTTGGATCAATGTTTTATACCCTGAGTGCTTTCCTCCCCTGGCTTCTTAATTCTATTTTAGCTGGATATGACAAGAAGGACTCAATTTGTATGATCAGATTTCACAGATAATACAAATGACAGTGGCCTATTCTTTGAGATTCTTAGTATATTTGGGTAGGGGCCCTAAAATCTGAATTTCTGAAAAATTTTCCAGTGATTTAGATTGCCATATAGGTTTGGAAATCACCAAACTTTTGAGTAATGGATAACAAACCTGGCTTTGCTGCATACATAAACCACTTCTTAATGATACATTAATAGCATAAATAATTAATGAACTAATTATTTTAGATAGTGATCACTCAAACCTTCACCATTCTTTTTCTACCCAAAATACAGAGGCAGGCAAGTTTCATTTATTCTTTATTTAAATAAAATGGGAGGTAAGAATAGGCAGTAATCTTGGGGATGAAATGAATATAATGGCACTTGGGTGCAATTATTTTATGCACTGATTTCTGTACTAGAGACTGACTATATTTCAAAGTGTAGTAGGAGGCCACATAAAACTCATTTCACTTCATATATATATCTCTTCTCAACATGTGTTTTTCTTTTAAAAGCAGGCTAAAGATTCATGGCCAGAAAATTGAGCTAAAAATGTGTATTAAGAGTATGTAATTTTCAAATCTTAATTTTGCTATTTCTTAACTTAAATCCCAAATTACTTTCAAAAGCCTCCATTACTCTTGTATTATATAATGCTTCATTTAATAGGCCAACTTTTGGAAGAAAGTGTAGGAGAACTTTGCTTAGAGCTATTATGCAAGAATACCAAGACTACCTTAGCCAAATTTCACAGAATTGATGCACGCAGAGATGGAGGTGGGGTGGAAGAAAGCTTTTATTTTGTTTGAATGCTTTTATTCTTCCCTTCACAATGCTATATTTAACTGTGAAATCATTTTCCAGGTCCGAACTGTATTTGTGTAAGCTAGGATCTCAATAAATACTTTTGTACAGCAATCGTCAAGGTGTCTGACAGAAACGTTAATAATAACAGAAAAAGCAGTTTAGACTGGTATTTATCATGTCAAACAGACATCACAGTCATAGCCAATCTGCATGAAACAACATGTAGATTAAATATTATATTTGACTCGAGGACAGAGGATTCTTCTCTATTGAATAAGAATCACAAAATCTGAGTGCCAAAATAGATAACTTCTGAGTATCTCCATGTCTCAATTTTCTTTCCTAAAAATCTAAAATGAATGACTGATCTAATTTGGAAATTGGGGAAGATGAGTTTGCAGGTTTGATTCCTAAAGTTTTTCAAATTGTGTACTGTACAATCCTAAGAAATGCTTTATGGTAGTTTTGGGAACCAGGAGAAAATAAAGTAAAAATTTTCCTTTTCCCTAATATTTTCCAATTTTTCCTATTTTTTGAAAATGTTAGGGAAAAGGAAAATTTCTACTTTTGGAAAATATTTACCACTTTAATTGGAAAGCAGTTTAGTTCTTAGTTCCTAAACATTGTCCCAACAATTTGATATGCCACATAATGACAGCACAAAGAACATACATTAGAGAAACTGAATCATTATTTCAAATAGTCCTTTAACATTTGTGGATTTAATATTTGAGATTTCAGCAATTTTCTGGTGATCATAAAAGTTTATGCAAAACACTATTGTTTAGACAAAGCACAAATTTAAAATTCATGTGTTGAGACTCTGGAGCATGTTCCAACGTAGGAACTTCGCCAACTGTGTCTCAGGTCATCTTTCCGCTTCCTACTCATTGTCACCCCTGAAATGAGTGACTTAAGGTCCCAAACAGTTTACACTTCATGAAAAAATAGATAAAGAAACAAACTTTGTACAGGTTGAAAAGGTAGTTAAGTAGGAATATATATGTTGGAAACATACTTTTGCTTGAAAATAGGGTTTGAGAAAAAGCTGGGAGATTGTAGTCACATTTCCTCATTTGCAAAGGAATCAAGATTTATCATGTCTTGAATGTCAAGATTTATCTCTCAAATGTCAAATGTCTGAGGTAGGAACCTTTATTTTGGTACGATGAAATTTATTATTTCTTCTCGTGAAAGCTGTCATTAAATTCCAGAATAGTTCCAATCCAAGTTTAAGGGTGGGGGAAGGTGATTTAACCCTCAGTATCCTCTTTAGTTTTTTGCATTATCCCTTTGTGGAATGGTAAATTTTAATAATATGCTTCATAAAATCAATTTCCTTAGATGACTCTTTCTCTCTTTTTCTCTCAATGATTAAAAACTTAGCTATAAAGAGGTCTTATTTGGAGCCATGGCTATTAAACACACACACAGACACACACAGGTTTCAAGTTTTCCCAGAATTTATTGGTTTTGTGTGGATAACTCTGAAGAATGAAACTATGTATTGAAATACGCATTTGTGTTATTCTGGCTGTAAGGAATAGAAGATGAGAATTTATGTACATGCTCAAATTACAAAAAGTAAACAATACAGAAGTTAATATGAGGAGGAGAAATTCATAGGAGTAAATTACTATAGTGTGGAGGAGAAGAGAACTGGGTTTTGAAGCCCCATTCCAGATAAGTTAGAGACTTTACATTTATAAGCATGAATGACAAGCATGTATCATCAGTCTTAATGGGGGAATCTGATTGTAAATCATGTGAATTGGAAGTAACCTTGAAATAAAAAGAATATATATGAATCAGAAATGATTAATTCTGGTGAAAATCTTACATAGCTATAATAAAACATACTGATAACAACAAATTAACTTCTCAAACTTTTGGATACTCTTGAAATAATTAGGCTTTCAAAACACCAAGATGCAGAATTTTGGCAAATTATAGGCAGGTAAAAAGAAACGGAATTGAGAAAGGAAAGTTAGAAATTCCTTGTTATAGAGAGACAAAGAGCTAATATAATAATATAACAATAACAATAATAACACAGAAAATCAGTCAAAGAATAAGATCAGGGCAAAACAAAATGACAGAAGTTTAACACACGTGTATGGTTGTCTAAAATAGATTTTTATGTAAGTTATAGAAGATATTAAGTGATTAAGAAAATAGAAGATATTAAGTGATTAAGAAAATAGAAGATATTAAGTGATTAAGAAAATTTGCCATGTAATTTCAATTATTGAGCTGAGAAGCTAAAAGATAAACTTTGGGAATGAAGAGAGAATAATGGAAAGGATTCAGAGTGAATTAAAGGAGACAGAGAGATGATAAAATAATATTAATAAATTAATTGGCTAAATAAAATTGTAGGTTTTGAAAAAAGAAACATTGGAAAGTGGCAAGTACCTTTTCAAGTTTGATTGAATAAAGTTATATTTCCTTTAAGACTATGCATGAGGATATTTATAGAGTCAAAGCAAGTCCAAACAAAGTCCAGTAGTATAGAAAAGGCTACAGAAACTATGGACCAAAGATGCAAGAGAGTGGTATGAGTTTGTGCAATGGAGGGTAATAAACAGCAATGCCAGACCAAGGGAAAATGTAAGCACACTGAAGACATGAAACATGTAGAGTATTCCTGAATCTGAAACAATTCCGACCAGTGAGACAACCTGAGATAGAGAAAGTTAAATGAATAACCTCTTCCTTTTAGACCTCACCAAGAATGTTTTCTGTAAGTGATTATTTAATTATTTTTCAGGACCCAATAAACTGTTAAATGCTGTACAAGTTCTTTTGGACTTTTGATTTTGTCTGTGGCCTGCACACTTGGTTTTAGTGGAGAATGAAAAACAGACAGCAGGGCTGTCACTTCCCACCATTCTCTTCATCCATGATCTGTCTCCTGGACTTTCTTGGGTTCTGCTAATTTAGTGTTAGCTATTATATATAAATGGTGTTTTTCTCATCTTCACTTGTGGGGAGCACAGAAAACCTCCTGGAACACATCTGAAATACAGAAACACATCTGAACTCTAACAAACCCATCATTTCTAGAATTTTGATCAAATATCCTTGTACTTACTTCTTGAGAATTTCATTGAATAGTTAACTTACATGAATCAGAGTCATTCTTTTCTACCCTCTATCACATCTACATTACGATAATATTACAATCCCTGAAAATTTAACACTAAGGAATATAAAAATATAAGAAGCTATTTAACCAGAATCCTGTCATAACAACTAATTTAAATTAATTTGATCCCTGTTGTTACGCAAAAGCACATGCAGGTTTCATGTGGGTGTAATCATAGTGTAGAACACAAACTTACCCTGCCTCTTTCCACGTGCTTTGTAATAATCATGATACAGTGCTGTATAACAGAAAAGTGATGACTTTTTAATGGTTTCTTAGTATTTCTTTAAGTATCAGTAAATGTTCAAAATAACTAATCTTTCGGGAAATAAAATTAAAACTACACATTGAGATATTACTCTGTGCCAACTAGAATAACTAAAATTTTAAAAATTGGCAATAGTAAGCTTTAATGAGGCTGAGAAACAACTATAACTTTTTGCACATTGCTAAAGAGTGCAGAATGCCACAGGCAAGCTTAAAAAATCACTTAGAAATGCATTTTGGAACCAGGGAGGCTGAAGCAGGAGGATTGCTTGAAGCCAGGAGTTCAAGACCAGCCTGAGCAACACAAAGAGACCCCATCTCTAAAACAACAAGAATGAATAAAAAATTAGTCAGATGTGGTAGTGTGTGCCTGTAGTCACAGCTACTTGGGAGGATAGATCACTTGAGCTCAGGAGTTTGAGGCTGAAGTGAACTATGATCATACCCCCATAGTCCAGTTTGGGCGATAGTGCAAGACCTCATTTCCAATAAAATAAAAATAAAATTAAAAATATACTATATAATTTATAGTACACCTTACTAGAACACCCAGTAATCCCAATTTTAGGTATTTACCCCTGAAAATAATCATCAAAGTACACATGACTTTCACATTTGTAAAATTAGAGCCCCAAAGCTGAAACCTCCCAAATGCTTATGAGCTGATAAATGGATGAACAAACTTGGATACAGCTATATAATGGAATGCTACTCAATAATAAAAAGGAACAAACTGCCAATAAATGCAACAACATGGGTGAATCTCTAAAGTGTTATGATAAGCAAAAGAAGCCAGAAACAAGACTATGTGATATTATCTCATTTATATGGAATTTATAAATTGCATTGTTTTCTTGATTTCACATTCCAGTATTTGGTGCCAAAAACTAGAAATTTAATTATTGACCTAATGTCCTACAACCTTGCTACACACATTTATAACTTTTAGTGTTGCCTTGTACATTCCTTAGGCTGTCTAACACAGAGATAGTTATGTCATCTGAAAATGAAGAAAGTTTTACTTCTTTGTTTCCCATCTCTGTGAGTCTGAAATTTTCTTTTTGGGAAGCTCTAAAATTTTAAATTCAATTTCTGTAATACATATAAGCCCATATGTCAAATATAGAGCCATTTAATACATATATTGAGATTTGAAAATTCTTGTCTTTTAAGGGATTTGTTCATTACATCAAAATTAACAAATTTATTGATATAAAGTTGTTTATAATATTCTTTTGTTTTCTTTCCATTGTTTGCAGTGACTTCCTTTTCATTCTGTATATTAGTAACTTATATTTGTTTTCTAAATCTTAAGATAAATGGTTATCCATGATTTCATGATTTTTTCCCCAATTTAAAGAAATATAGTTGGCTTTATTAATTGTCCCTATGGTTTTTATATTTTCTACTTATTTGGTTTCTGCTTTTATCTTATATTTTTCCTTCTGCTTAATTTAGGCTTAATTTTTCTTTTCTAGTTTCTTGTAGAAGATAGGATTTTTGCTTTGAGAACATTCTTCCTTTAATATAAATGTTACATGCTGTAAATTTCCCTCTAAACAATGCTATAGCTGCATACTCCAAATTTTAAATATTGTATTTTCATTTTCTTTAGTGCAAAATGTTTTTATATTCTCTTGTGATTTTTTCTTTTATTTATTATTTAATTATATAAATAATTTTATTTATTTATGTGCATGTTTCTCATTGTAAAATATTTGGAGATTTCCCAGATACCTTTTTTGTTGATGATTGCTTATTTAATTCAATAGATAGAAAATAAACAGTGTGATTTCATTCCTTTTAAATTTTTGGAGAGTTGTTTTCATTTAAGTAGATAATCAATCCTGAGAAATGTTTTAGGCATATTTGGAAAAAAAATTGTATTCAGCTATTGAGTGGACTGTACTACAAATGCCAAATGCTAAATTAGGTTAAATTCCTTGATGTTGCTGTTAAAGTCTCATCTCTTTACTGATTTTTTGGGGGTGGGTGAGGGGAGGACTACATGTTTTATTAATAGAATGCATGTCAGGGTGTGTGTGTGTGTGTGTTTCTGTGGGGTTTTTCTTACTGTGTGTGTATGTCTATGTTTCTTTGCCTGATATTAATATAGTAACTCCAGCTTTTTTTTTTGCATGATATATATTTTTTATCTTTTCACTTTAACCAGTTTAAGTCTTTATATTTAATGTAAATATTTTGTAAATAGTGTGTAGTTTGATCTTACTTGTTATTTACTCTGACACTCTCTTCCTTTTTAATTAATGAATGTAGACCCTTTAAATTTAATGCAGTTTGACATAAAATCTGTAATGTTGGTATTTGTTTTCTAGCTTTCCATCTCTTGTTGTTTTTCTCTTTTCCTATATTCCCTTAGATGAGTATGTTTTATATTTCTATTTTATTTCTACTTTGATTTGTTGCCTATATATATATATATATATATATGTTTATTTAGTGGTTTCTCTTAGGTTTACAACAGGTTTTAAATTTTCCCAGCCTATGTTCTAATGATACTAAACCAATTCATATATAGTGTAAGAAACTTTCATTTACTCTGTTTTGGCTTTTGTACTAAGGTTGTCATGTGTTTTATTTCTACCTAAAATATAATCTTGACAAACATTATTTTTTGCTATATGACACTGATTCATATTTTAAAAGATTAAAAAATCAGAAAAAGTGGCTTTGGTATTTATTTTTATAATTGCCATTTCTAGCACTCATTATTTCTTTGTGTAGATCCAAATTTCTCTCTTGTATCATTTTCCTTTTGCTTGAAAGGCACTTAATATTTCTCGCAGTGCAGTTCTGCTGGTTATTTCTGTCAGTTCATTTTGTGTATACAAGTCATTATTCTGCCTTCATCTTTTGAGCACATTTTGTCTGGGAATAAAATTATAACTGATATATTTTTAAAACAATTTATAAATGTAAATTAAATTTTTGTGTGGCTTACCTAGTCTTTGAAAAGAAGTCAGCTGCCATTGATACACACACACACACTCACACACACACACACACACAGTCATTTTTCCCCTCCTGTAGCTGCTTTTAAGATTTTTATCTTTGTCACTGATTCTTAGATTATAATGTTTCCTTATATATTTTTTCTGTTTGGGCTTCACTGAGCTTCTTCAGTCCGTAGGATTACAGTTTTCATTGAATTTGATATTGTAGTAGTGATTTCTTCAAAATTGTTTTTTTTACTCACACTCTTATTTCTTCTAAGACTCCAGTTACACATATTGTACCACTGGAAACAGGTCACAGATGCTGTGTTCAGTTTTGCACATTTTTTTTCCCTTTGGGCTTTATTTTGAGTCTTTTTTTTACCGTGTCTTCAGGTTCACTGATATTTTCTCTGAGATGTCTATTCTGATGTTAATCTTACAATTATTTAATTAAAATATTCTATATCTCTAGAAGTTCCATTAGTCTTTTTTTATAGTTTTTTTTCTGTTTTTATTCTGTTCATGTTTTTCTTTGGGTCTCTAAGCATGCTTATGATATTTCTATGTTTTAAGGTCCTTCACTATTTTGGGGTCTGCTTTTATTAATTAATTGTCCTCCTGGTTATGGGTCATATTTTCCTGCTTCTTTGTATACTTTGTAAGTTTTATTGGATTATGCATATTATACATCTTACCTTGTTGGATGTTAGTTTGCTATATCCCTTCAAACAATTATGGGCCTTTCTTCTGACGTGAAGTTAAGTCACTTTGGCTCACTTTTGAAGTTTGCTTTTAACTTCTTTAGGGTGTATCCAGAACAGACTTAATTATGTCTAATTTAGACACATGTCTGAGGTATGATTCTTCAGAAGTCTTCATAATTGTCCTGAAAATTTGATGTCTCTTCCCTCAACATGGTAGGAATGTAAGCCATTCTAAACCCTCTGTGAGCCCCAGGAGTTATTTGACCTACTTACTATTTTCTGACATTTTACTCCCTCATCCCATGGACTTTAAACTCACACTTATCCAGATCAGTACTCAACAAAGACTTTAGATCTCTGGGCTCTTTCTCTAAATAACTCCTTTCTTTCCACTCTGCCTTGCAAATTCCAGCTGCCTTGACTTTCCTGAACTTCTTTCACTATCCCTTCCTTCCTCAACAATGTGAAGCTTCTGGTCTCCATTGTGGCTCTTTCTGATCTGCAGCCTGGACACCACCTCCAGGTAGTAAACTCGGGGAATCAGGGTGTACCTCATTAGATGTTCTTCTATCAGGGAATCGTGTCATTTATTGCCTGTTTTCCAATGGCTGCAAACTGTAATTTCATGTATTTTGTCAGGTCTTCTATTTTTTTTATGGTGAGAGAGAAATCTCTGTGGCAGATACATTTTCCTTTGTGGAAGCAGACATCCTTTCCAAGAGTTTTCATAAGCACCAAATTCTTATTGTTTTGGTAACTATTGCTGACTTAAAAATTATCCCTGAACATAGCACCATAAAATATCAACTTTACTTTGCCCACAATTTTATATGTCAGAAATTTGGAGAAGTATGGCTGGACGGGTTTGCTTGCGGTTTCTTACATGGTTGAAGTTAGATGCTGTGAAGGCTCAAATACGTTAAATATCCTATGTGGCTCATTCATGTGACTTGCAGTTGATGCTGGTCGTCAACTGGACTTTGTAGCATGGTGCTCTTGGTATGGGTAGTCTTCTTACATGATGTCTGGCTTCCCTCATAGCGAAAACCCAAGTGAAATGGGCACAAACGTTATGGATTTTTATACTCTAGATTGGGAAGCATTATAGGATCAGTTGTAACATATTCTATTGTTGAAGGAGATACAAACCTATCCCGGTTCAAGGGGAAAGGACACCGATCCCGTCTCTCAATGGGAGGAGTATCAAAAAGTTATGTTCCTTTTTTAAAAATTATTTTATCTCTGTTACATTTATTACTATTTGGAATATCTAGAGTGGCTTGTTTTCCTAATTAAACCATGAATAATTCAGAAATTGGTACCATAATTTGTATGCTGCCATAACAGAATGAAAATAGGTGGAGTTGGTTTAACAAATAGGTGGCAAGCAGCAATGAAGAAGATACAGCAGCTAGAAGACTGGAGAGCCCTGCTACGTATAGCAAGATGTTTGTGATAACTTGGAAGGTAAAATCTTTCTAGGAGAAAGATTAAAAGAGAGTGACAGTGTATGCTGGCAACCATTGGTGACATTTAGCCAGGTGTTACAAGAAAGAGATTAACTCAAACAAGAATTGACTGGTTTTCAAGCAGAGATCAAAGGTAATAGAGAATGTCCAGAGCTCAAGTGCCTTACAAGATTGGAAAAACTGACTGCTTCTTGAAAGGAAATACTAAAGAGTTAGTTGTAAAAGGCCTTAAGTAACCAAGGTGTAGTAAGACTTTGTTAAAAAAAGAGAGAGAGAGAGAATCAAATGTGTGCTAATTTTCAGTTTAAGAATATTTTTTTCCTACCCAACCCTATTGTTTCAGATAGCCTCAATTACCTTGTTATTACTTTGAGAAAGAGAGAGATGGGGTGAGAAAGCAATGAAATAGTCAAACCTCAAGGCACAATCTAGAAAACAGCTTTGTATGGAGTTACTAGGGGAAGAAACTAGCTAGAAACAAATAAAAAAGAGCTACAAGCATAAAGGGACAAAATTTGCTCAGCTCCCAAGGAAGCCAGACATTTTTCCTACATAATTAGATAATAATGGGTATCAAATAAAGACATACTTCCAAGAGGGCCAAACCAGGGTTTTCAGAGAACAATTCTTGCCAGAAATAAGATTTTGGATATAATTAAGACTATTTTTTCATCTCAGGGTATGCGGCCTTTGCAGTGACTCCCCATCAAGATTTCATACTTTCTACGAGCCATTGACTGCCTCGTGCCATTCATTCTTCTTTTTTCCTAACAAGAGATTGTATTGGGTGTCTTCTTTTCCTGCTCCACCACTGAGTGTTTTAGGAAGATAATACGGATTTTGGTTTCTTCCTTATGAATCATGGGGCGATGCATCTGAACCTGATGATGAGAATTGTGCATCACCTGCAGTTTCTGGACCTTGAGCTGACTGCGGTGAGTGGATGGGACTTTGTAGAGATAGTGACTGAGTTCTGTGTGTGAATAAGTGTAAAATTTATTTAAAATATTTATTTGATTTTGTGTAAGAATAAGAGGCAGTATTCTCCTTTAAATGAGAATAAGAGAGTGGGAGCAAGTTTTGTGTTTATCAAAATGTGTTCCTGTTGACACACAGCTAAACTATGTTCTTATCTTTCTTTGAAGTTATGTGTGGCCATATAGCTAAATTCTGACTCAGGGAATGTGACACAAGTGATGCAAGCTATTTCCCAGCTTGATCATATAATAACATTACCTAAGGTAAGTGCTGTGGTTTGGATATAGTTTGTTTGTCCCCACCAAGTTCTGTGTTGAGATGTGAACTCCAATATGTTGGAGTTGAGAGGTGGGACCTAGTAGGAGGTGTCTGGATCATGGGGATGGATCTCTCATGTATGGCTTGGTGCCATTTTGGTGGTAGTAAGTGAGTCCTGGCTCTCATAAGAATGGATTAGTTTTCAGGAAGTGAATTAATTCCTGAGAATATGGGTGTCATAAGGCCAGGACACCCTTGTGTTCAGTCCCTCTTCACATATGCCTATTTCCACTTTCACCTTCTCCACTATGTTGGATGCAACACAAAAACCTTCACTAGAGGCCAAGCAGATGTGGCAACCTGCTTCTTGTACAGCCTGAAAACTGTGAGCCAAATAACCCTTTTTTCTTTATAAAGTGTCTAGCCTCTGTTTTTTTTTTATACCATCACAAAACAAACTAAGACAGTAAGTAATTTATAAAAGGATGTAAATACTCCTCAAGGCACACAGTAATCCTCTTGGCTTCCAAATCTGTAACAAAAGGTCCTAGCATACCTAAAGGGGACTAGTATAATGTGTGGTCTGGGGAAAGATAATTCTCAAACCTTAATAATTGCAACGTTTTGTTCATTTATGTCAACAGAATCCCACAGACTAAATGTGGGGGTTGAACTGTAAAAGTATTTGACCAAAGACAAAAGGGCAAACACTGGACAAGGATGAACTTACTTAAATGGGCTGACACTTTGTAGATTTTGATTCAAGGTTTTAGGTGAAGGAAATAGAAATGGGTTATATTGCTTTTTTGATTGGTTGGCTGAAACCAGGATGAATGGTTTGGAACCAAAAGTTCTTTGTTTTTCTTAAAAAAGGAATCCAATAATTTAATGATATAGAAATATTGAACTGAATTTATCATATGCAACTTAATCTCTCACTCCCATTATACACCTATATCCCACAGAAAATCACAGGATACTTACTTTACAGTAGCATTGGGAAATATATTTGTGAGGGAGCACCAGCATCCTTAAAAATCTTTGTAGCACCTGTTGTGGCAAGCTGGGGATAAACAGTGGTGTTTTATTCCACCATAAAAATGGGCTACCAAGGGCTTGATGGGAATGGCAGTACTCAATCATGTAAAAAATGAGTGTGGTACCAAATGGATAGCAAGGTTAGAGACACAGAGTGGCTTGGCTCATTCTGTCAAAATGGTCTGACAGAATGGTGTGACTAATTAATCGTAATGTTCCTCTAGCACTGAAATAAGTGGGAACCTACAAACTACTTGATTCATATAATTGAAAAAAAAAATAGGTTGGGTGAACAATGACCTGACTTGAAACCATGTAATCCATAAGGCTGCTGATATTGAGTGCACTCTGAAACAAGAAATGTTTCTTCAGCTGAGCATTACTAGACTCATTGGTATCTAAGATGTCTTTGGAAGAAGATACAGATGCTCTATAAACTTCTGGCAAATCAAAGTGGGAGAACACTATGCACTTTGCTGGTGTAATTAAGGTTATTAATCAGTTGACCTTAAAATATGTGATTATCCCAGTGGAGATAATTTAATCAATTGAGCCATTTAAAAACAAAGTTTTCTGCAGTTAGTACAGAGGAAATAGTCAAGATATCTGATGCATGGAAATGATTGGATGCACTATTGCTGACTTGAGGATGATGAAAGTCATATGGCAAAGAAACAGGAATCTTAGTCCTACAAACATAAGAAACTTTATTCTGCCAAAACCCCGAATGCTCTTGGAAGCAGCTTCTTACCCAGGGCTTCAAGAAAGAAACAGTTCTCCTCTTGACTTGATTTAAGCCTTGTGTGACCCTGAGCGGAGAACCCATTCATGACATGCCAGACCACTGACCTATAGAATTGTGAGTTAATGAATGGGTGTTGTTTTAAGCCACTACATTTATGGTAATTTGTACATAGCAATAGAAATCTATTGCACTATCTGATCCACTAGGCTGAGCCATAATGTTAGGCATATACAGTGGTACTCCATTAACAAGTGAAGCTGTGTTCTGTAGCCATATGTAAGCGTGAACAAGTCACTAACTTTCAAGGCACCTGCTACTGTTGCATTGCAATCTCTCTCTTTCAAGTCCATCTATAGTTTCACAGAGAGTTATGTCTGATAAACTGACTAAGAAAAAAGTACATTAGGACCTCAATTACATATGGTTTCATATTTTATATTGGCACCAACCTGAAATACTAGTATTGCAGTTTCACTCAGGGATGGCTACAAAAGCCTGGAGGATGGGAAAGATAAAAATACTCCTAATGGCCTTAATACATGTATGTTCAGTTTGTTTTGAAGGAACAATGGCCATAGATATGGATTTGTATCCATTTGTAGGCCAGGGCTAATTTGGCTGAATGGCTGGGGATCTGGAAAAACAAGTTTTGTGAATTTTTGACAAAACAAGTACAAAGGAAAGATACACGGATGGAACTTTGAGTATAAAGATATACTGTTATACATCAATCCTCACCAGAGGATATTCACTCATTAAAGGCTCATAGTGTTTAGGTAAAACATGATGACCCATTCTGTGAATGTCAGGCAGCCTCTTTCCTCAGTCCCTCTTGTACTTGTTCAATGGATTCCTTGATAAACCCTCCATAATGACAGAAGAAGGGGCCAGATACAGGTTAATAAAATGCACAACCACTCACCAAGACTACTACAGCTATTGCCACTGATAAATGCCCAACTTGCCAATAGTAGAAACCCATGCTGAGCTCCTGTAATGACACCATTTGCTGGGGAGACCATCCAGTCTCCAGATGGCAAGTGAATTACATTTGACCTCTTCCATTTTGAAGGGCGAAAAGATTTATCCTCTTTTTTTTTCTTTAGTCTCTTTTTTTTTATTATTATTATACTTTAAGTTTTAGGGTACATGTGCACAATGTGCAGGTTTGTTACATATGTATACATGTGCCATGCTGGTGTGCTGCACCCATTAACTCATCATTTAGCATTAGGTATATCTCCTAATGCTATCCCTCCCCCCTCCCCCCACCCCACAACAGTCCCCAGAGTGTGATGTTCCCCTTCCTGTGTCCATGTGTTCTCATTGTTCAATTCCCGTCTATGAGTGAGAACATGCGGTGTTTGGTTTTTTGTCCTTGCGATAGTTTACTGAGAATGATGATTTCCAATTTCATCCATGTCCCTACAAAGAACATGAACTCATCTTTTTTATGGCTGCATAGTATTCCATGGTGTATATGTGCCACATTTTCTTAATCCAGTCTATCATTGTTGGACATTTGGGTTGGTTCCAAGTCTTTGCTATTGTGAATAGTGCCTCAATAAACATACGTTTTTTTAATACATAAAAAAATAAACATACGTTTTTTTATAGCAGCATGATTTATAGTCCTTTGGGTATATACCCAGTAATGGGATGGCTGGGTCAAATGGTATTTCTAGTTCTAGACCCCTGAGGAATCGCCACACTGACTTCCACAATGGTTGAACTAGTTTACAGTCCCACCATCCTCTTTGAAAAGACACATAGTCTAAATATGAATTAGCCTTTGTTGTCCGTTATGCTTCTGCTAGCACCACCATGTGTAGACTTGCTGAATGCTATGTTTACTGCTATGTCTGACCAAGTAATGTTTTTATAGGCAAAGTAGTGATAAATGAGCTCAACCCAGAGGACTTACTTGTTTTACTATGTAACAAATCAGCCATTGTAATGGAAAAGTGATTTAATGGAAGAATGGGATAACTTATTAAAGACAACCTAACAGTCTTAGTAGAGTGATAACACATTGCGGTGCTGGGATGTAATCCAAAGATGCACCATCGGCCCTGAACCAGTGACTGATGTGGTGTGAGAGCGGAGGCATCTCCTGCCACTAATAGCCCACTCACAAATATTTTGCTTTCTGTCCCCACTTTAGGCTCTTCTTTAAATATGAAGAAGAATGTTTCCAACAGAAGATATAACCATTATCTCACTGAATGAGCAGTTGTGACTATAATGTATATACTTCTATCTTCTCACACCACCAAACTGACAGTCAAACAAGAGAGTTAAAGCACTGCCTGAAATCAGTACTTGAATGAAAAGATAAAGTGTGGACCAGGGAAGAGGACTGCTAGATAGACTTTGGGATGTTCACACTTACATAAAGGAGCTTTTTGTTATTTATCTGGAATTCAAACTCAACTGGGTTGCCTATGTTTTTGTTTTCTGAATCTGGAAACTCTTATTGAGGATAAGGACAATGCACTCTTGGAAATCAGAAGATTCCCAGGCACTATTGCTCTTTCTTTCCCTCTCTAGCTATTTTTAGTCCACGTCCTTTTCACCATACAAAATATTGTTATAGTCATAACATATGTGCTTGCTTTGGTTGTACCTCTACAATCAATCCTGTATACTAGAATAGGAAAGTGAAACTAAAAGAGCTAACATACCATGTCATTCCTCTGCTCAAAAATCATCAGAGACTCTTTGCTACAGAGATAAAGTTCAAACCCCTAAGCATGGAATTCAAAGGCTTTCACGCTTCATGCTTTTCTCTCACAACATCCTTAAGTGAACTCCTTAATGCAGCCAGAAGTGTTTTCTTCACTGATGCATGTTTCCTCTCATAAACCTATCTCAATCTGAGGCTTAAAGTTTCCGTTTTCTGTTAAAGTTTCTCTATCATTCTGTAGATCTGCAATCATATCTCTGTATACATTTTCCAAAATTGACAGTAATCTCTTTCCTTAGAATCACACTGAATTTCAGAAATACTTCAAATTACACGTGTCTTGAGAATTAACATGTACTGTGTGGTAGGGTTGATGCCAAACCCTTTATGTATCTATTTATATCTATCTCTATATTTTTATCTCAGTTAATTATCAACTATATTCAAGAAGATGTATAAGAAATTCCATTTCTATCTTCATTTTACAGATAAAAACCCAGAGGAAGGAAGAATGTAAGTAACTTGCCCAAAGTCACATGTGTGTAAATGACAGAGGTACAATTTAAAATCATCCAGTCTGACTCCAGAGGTTGCACTTCTACTCACTCTATTATACTGTCTTTACATGAAATACATTTTCCTGATTTAAAAAATGGGAACAAGAAGATTAAATTATTTTTTGATTTGCTGATTTGCAAAGTCTGGTTATTCACCCAGAGATAATTATTATAACCAGGTTGGTGTTCATGTTTCCACACCTTTTCCTATATATTTCTATGTTCATGAATATGTCCCTGTAGAAAGCACATATCATTGTTTATCTTTTAACACACATATATACATATACTATATATATACAGTATATGTATACTGTATATATATAGTATATAGAGTATATATAGTAGTATATAGAGTGTATATAGTATATAGAAATATATAGTATATAGTCTATATAGTATATAATATATAGCCTATATATAGTATATAGTCTATATAGTATACAGTATATAGTCTATATATAGTATATAGTCTATACATAGTATGTAGTATATAGTCTATATATAGTATATAGTCTATATATAGTATATAGTCTATATATAGTATATAGTATGTAGTCTATATATGTAGTATATAGTATATATAGTATAGAGTCATATACATATGATTACATACTATACATACACACTATGTATAGTATATATACTATACATACACACTATGTATAGTATATATACTATACATACACACTATGTATAGTATATATACTATACATACACACTATGTATAGTATATATACTATACATACACACTATGTATAGTATATATACTATACATACACACTATGTATAGTATATATACTATACATACACACTATGTATAGTATATATACTATATATACATGTATAGTATATATACTATGTATAGTATATATACTGTATATATATACTATGTATAGTATATATACTGTATATATATACTATGTATAGTATATATACTATGTATATACTCTATATACTATGTATAGTGTATATACTCTATATACTATGTATAGTGTATATACTCTATATACTATGTATAGTGTATATACTCTATATACTATGTATAGTGTATATACTCTATATACTATGTATAGTGTATATACTCTATATACTATGTATAGTGTATATACTCTATATACTATGTATAGTGTATATACTCTATATACTATGTGTAGTGTATGTACTCTATATACTATGTGTAGTGTATGTACTCTATATACTATGTGTAGTGTATGTACTCTATATACTATGTGTAGTGTATGTACTCTATATACTATGTGTAGTATATGTACTCTATATACTATGTGTAGTATATGTACTCTATATACTATGTGTAGTATATGTACTCTATATACTATGTGTAGTATATGTACTCTATATACTATGTGTAGTATATGTACTCTATATACTATATGTGTAGTATATGTACTCTATATACTATATGTGTAGTATATGTACTCTATATACTATATGTGTAGTATATGTACTCTATATACTATATGTGTAGTATATGTACTCTATATACTATATGTGTAGTATATGTACTCTATATACTATATGTGTAGTATATGTACTCTATATACTATATGTGTAGTATATGTACTCTATATACTATATGTGTAGTATATGTACTCTATATACTATATGTGTAGTATATGTACTCTATATACTATATGTGTAGTATATGTACTCTATATACTATATGTGTAGTATATGTACTCTATATACTATATGTGTAGTATATGTACTCTATATACTATATGTGTAGTATATGTACTCTATATACTATATGTGTAGTATATGTACTCTATATACTATATGTGTAGTGTATGTACTCTATATACTATATGTGTAGTGTATGTACTCTATATACTATATGTGTAGTGTATATACTCTATATACTATATGTGTAGTGTATATACTCTATATACTATATGTGTAGTGTATATACTCTCTCTATATACTATGTATATGTATATGACTACTATGTATACTATACATAGTATACATACACATATATACGCACATATTATATGTATACATATAAACAATATAATTCTACTAAATATCTTTTTACATCCTTTGGACTATGTCTGTCATGGAAGGTAGACACAAAACAAATACATTTTTAATTCTAAAGTGCTTATATTTAGTCACACTCTCAATGGCAGCATATGATACTGTTTCATTTCATTCTTAATTAATATGATTAAACTCTTTTTTAAATGTATAAATAAAAATTTGTAACTCATTGCTTGTAATTTCTCAAACCCAGGTTGAATTGAATTTGTTACCCTATGTTATTGGCCATATTAATATTTCATCTGTGAATTGCGTGAATTGCCCATTCACATTTCTTGCCTATTTCCATTAGCTCATTTTGCTCTTATTGATTTTAGGACTTTTATCTATCTCAGCATACTAACATTGTCTTTTATATATGCTGTAAATATTTTCCCCGGGCTCCTGCCTGAATTTTAACTTTGTTTGCCATGGCTTCTTTTGGTCATTTATAGTGTCTTTTGTTTTATGTTTTTTTAATATTTAAATTTTGACATACCCCATCCCTTGCAACCCATTCTACACCTAGCACTTTGAGTGATCTTTTAAAAATATAAATCGGACATGTCACTTGCCTTCTTGAAACACTTGAGTGTCTTCCTATTGCCAACATCTTACTGTGACTCTCATTCCCCTACAGTGTCTCTCAATAGATGTAAAAAAGTTTGACCAAATGCAAATTCCAAGCAGGATAAAAATATGCAGTAAATCAGAATTAGAAAATAATTAATCTGTGATACATTTTATTTTTAAGGTTGACCTGAAACCTTTGATTTATATTCCCCCCCAACATACTGGTGATCCTACCAAGATAAATTATTTTCAAAATGTATCTTTGTGTAATTAAACAAGTTAAATCCTATGTGAAATTATAGAATATGCCATCATCAAATTTCTTATAGTATCTACCACAAATAATTATTTTAAATTTTTTACTGATAATTGATGCACATCAATTCCTTCTGATAACACCTGGGTAGAATAGCAAATTATTCAATAAAGTCATGCCTACTTCATAATTTTAAAACTCTGCTTTGCATTTGATGGTGCATGTATGCAGATTTTCCAGTTGAGCCAAAATGACTTTAAAAATATATACACACACACATACGTGTGTATATGTGTATATATGCATATATGTGTATATATACATATGTGTGTACATACATATATGTGTATATATGTGTGTGTACATACATATATGTGTATATATATGTGTGTGTACATACATATATGTGTATATATGTGTGTGTATATATTTAAGTCATGTTGGCTCAACTGAATAATCTGCATACATGCATCATTAAATAGAAAGCAGAGTTTCTACATGTATATATATGTGTGTACCTACATACACACACATACACACACACACATACTTAAAGCAAAAGGAAGAGAGGTCAAAACAGCTGTGTTTACACTCTGAAATTATTTAACATATAGAGTTACTCTTATTTTCATAGGAGTATTAAGACACAATTCTATGTAGACATCAGTTGTCAAGGACCTTTCCCAAGCTATTGAAATTTAGCCCAAACTGATTCTTGTCCAGAGTCAGAACCTGAGTAAAGGCCAAAATAAGACTCAAAAATCATGAGTCTCTCCACTGTTAATATGGAGTGTGAATATGGTCAAGTGTGAACATTGGCTTAAATTTATCTTTCTGTCATATATAATATTACATATGAAGATATTATTTTAATAGTTTTATAGAATATAAGACCACTGTTAAAAATAAGTATTTGCTTTAGGAGAACAGAGAAAGATTCCCTAGACACTCTTGACACATTTGTCTGTGAAGATCCTTGTCTTGAAAGCACTGTGGAGTTTTATAAATCCAAATAAATGAGAATAAAAAGAAAAAGAAGCAGAAAAGTCTTCTGAATAAGAGGGCAGCGATTATATCATAATTGCAATAAGTTTGTTTGTTTCTATATAAAGGTATTGATTGAGCATCTACTATGGACCATGGTCTATACCTGGTCCTTTATATTTATTGTCTGAAATCTTCATTACAAAGTGGTGAGGTAAAAATTGTTATTCTTATCTAGCTGGTAAGAACATTGTGCTTTTGAGAATTTAATCTTGCCAAAAATTCACATGGTTGTCAGACTCGTGATTTAAGGACACTGAATGCCGAGTCCCATATTTTCTCCTCTCAACGACATCTTCTCTATATGACTTCTACTAGAATAATAGTATCTACTTTTCACTGACTACTTGCTTTACACTATTCTGATTTTTAAAATGCTGATCTCGGTAATTCTTAATAATTTGATCACCTTCTTCCACAATGCCAAACAGATGGCCTCAGTTCAAAACTCTTTGAAAGCTCTGATTCCTAGAGTAGTCATCTCTAAACATTTTGTTTGCACGTCTCATTCTTAAGCAGCTTTTAAGCATACACCTGACAGACTACATTTGTTTACTTATAAATTAGACACACACACAGAAATATATATAACCCACACTAAAAAGTAATAAAAATTAAAAGATGATATAAAATCAATTTAAATAGAAATTCTAATATATTCTTGTACTCCAATGGAATATATGAAGCATTTGGTACACTTACCACAAATAGGAGACCAATATCTGACATTATGAAATCCAACTCCTCCAATGGAAGACCATCTCTACTCTTTAGTTGTACTGAATACTTATGTGTGTTGCTCACACATCTCCCTCTGCCTGGAATGACCTACCCAGTATGTCAAAATCAATTCATCTTTTAAATGAAGCCCAGGCATCAGGTTCCTGGTGGCCAGGCTGCCCAGGGAGAACTGACCAGCTCTGGTTTTGTGACCTATGTATACATTAGTTATAGTACTTGTATTACTTTATTTCATTTGTCCTTGTTTATGTGTCTGACTCTTCTACTTCACTGACAGTTTCTGATGCATTAATTGAAACCTAGTCTTATTTGTGTATCTAGTATCTAGTGGAGCCCTTGGGAAATAGTAAGCAATCACTTGGGAATGAACGAATAAAAGTCATCTATCCTGTTTTTCTCCTATAATTTTCTGTAATTCTATATGTTCGCCAACTAGAAAAAGAAGTAGAAAAGCAACTTAGTATTATATATTCCTCAATTGGCTTGAAATAAATACACCTGCTAAGTACAGAACATAAGTAGAATCACTGAATCAAAGAATTTCAGACTTAGAAGGGACTGGGAACAATTCAGAGCAGAGGTCAACAAGTCAAAGAGAAAAAAAGGAGATAGAACTAAGGCAAGAGACACTGCAGCACTAAACAACAGAAACAATGGAAAAATACTTTGAGATATATAGGGTATGTGTCAGTGTGTGTATAGTGTGTGTGGAAGTGTGTGAAATGTGAAAATGGCTTTCTGAAACCAAAAGCCAGAAGCTTTATCGTGACATCTGTGGAAACCAAACAACTCTTCCCTACTACCTGATACTATTGGGTAGTATACTATCAGGTCTTGTGCAGTATTTACATATCCTATTTTCTATATTTTCCCCCTGTAAAGTAGAAACAGGAAAAAATGCCTTCAGTTTATCTCCCTCTAACCATCGTTCATTAAACTTTCCCCACTGTTATTTTTAACACTGCTTTATCAATGTGATGCTCCATCTCACAGTAGCTTCTTAAAATTTTTGTGGATGTGCAAATAAAAGTTGAATGTTTATAATAGCATCTTCTAAAAGGCTGTTGTAAGGAAACATTCAGTTATATATTTTTATAATTGGTTGTGAAACAAATTTCTAAACAACTAACTTGTGAGGTTATATGCCCTTACAGAAAAATAACTGAATGAAAACTTATACAGGTTATAAATCTGGAAAACTGCTTAGAAATATCTTTTCTTGTGTGATTAAAAAACAAAACTTGTCCAGTATATCTCATCCCTGTAAAGATGAGAAAAGTAATTGTACTTCCCCTGTACGTACAAATGGACGTATTTAGCTTTAAAATATTCTAATTAAAGTACTTGATAAATAGCAAAATATATGAACTTCCTACTTGCAATGTGGTATTAAAAGAGGATTTACTTATTTAATAAAACTGATCCATTTATTATTATCCTAAACTCTCTCTATTCCATTAAGTGATTTATGAAGAGTTTTTAGAATTTTAATTGATTCCTAGTTTGAATCAATATTTTTTAATAGTATATACTAAATACAGGCTTCTTGATGCCATGTAAAAATAAATAAAGAAACAAACAATTAAGGATCCAAAGCAACTTCATTGCAAATTCTCCACATTAGCTGATTTGAACGGAAGCCTGTAAAAGTTGGAATGGGAGGCAACGTTATTTTTTTCTCTAAGGCTCTTTGTGCCACAAAGGCAGTGCTATGCTATTAGGTGAAGCAGAATCCCAATGAAATCTTTCTTTATCTCTGCCTGCGATACAATCCCCATAGCAGTCTAAGGCACACAAGTTTATATAACTTTTGGAATTTGGTTTTAGATGTTAATTGAAACTCCAGTGAATGTCACATACACAAAAATATAAACTGAACCCTTGAGTACTATATAGTAAAATAAGAAACACAAAGATGAATTATGTACAATGCACCATTTGCATTCAAAGGGAAGGAAAGTGGCACAGAGGGAAGATTTTAAGGATGATATTGATAAATAGGGTCAATTGTTTCTCATTAGTCTGCAGTACGTAAAGGGAATATTTTATTCCTCTTGGTGCAGCTTTCACATAAAGGGCACAAATGTAGAACAGGTGAAAGATTGACAACCTGAAAGTCAAAACTTCTTGGTCTAAAAAAATAAACTCTAATTACTCTGCAGTCTTACAGTGTGCATCAAGAACGCGCCAAAGATGCTTCCTCTGGAGATGGATTATAGCAGCCTCTCAGCAAAGGAAGCATGATGTACCAAAGAAACATCCATATTTTCTTATAGTATGTTTCCCAAGAAAATGCCTAAATCATCATGTGAATTCATCTTGCATTTAAGGATCAAAGTAATAATAGTAACTAATACACACCTGGCACTACTCTAGATACATTACCTTACTTAATTCCTACCCTCACTCATCAGAAAGCTATCCCCTGTTTTCATCCCTATTATACTGTTAAGAAAGCAAAGACTCAGAGGTCTTACAAATTATCCAAGAGTACAGTATCAGCAATTAGAAGAGCCAGGCTAGACCCATAAATGCAAAATTTCTTAAAAAGAGAAACCAAAATCAGATTTAAATAACTTCTTAAGTTAACAGATAAGAAAATATTAAACATTTAAGCCAATCTTAGTCCTGTGTCTTCAAAAAATAAAGGAAATCATTTTCTATTCTGCATCACTTCATGCAAACATGCTCACCCTATCTCCCCACATACCCTTCTTATAATTCCTTTAAGAGTCAATACTTTAACAGCAAAGTGTTTCTAAAAGACTTGATTGTACTTTCTATTATCTGATACACTTATCTAAAAGTCAAAGCCTAATGCTATTGTATTTGAAAATATGCATGGTCAATTTTAAGTGATACTAAATTTTTTGGAGACACTCCCCATTATAACGATGCATAACCTAAGACAGTTTATCTTATATGCTACAGTCTGTAAATACAGTTAGCAGTTAATTCATCAAGTACAGATGCACATGTACCGTTATGGTTTGGCTGTGTCCCACCCAAGTCTCGTCTTTAATTGTAACTCCCACAATTCCCACATGTCGCGAGAGAAACCCTGTGGGAAGTGACTGAAGGTCTTTTCTGTGCCGTTCTTGTAATAGTGAATGAGTCTCATGAGATCTGATGTGTTTAAAAACGGGAGTTTCCCTACACGAACTATCTCTCTTTTTGCCTGCTGTCATCCATGTAAGACGTGACTTGATCCTCCTTGCCTTCCACCATGATTGTGATGCCTCCCCAGCCACATGGAACTGTAAGTCCAATAAACCTCTTTCTTTTGTACATTGCCCAGTCTTGTGTATGTCTTTATCAGCAGCATGAAAATGGACTAATACACATACATACCTTTTTTTTCCATCTTATATTATCAATGAATTCTAAACTCTTAGCAGTTAATATAACATTTTAAATGTTTTGTCTACTATAGAAATCACCCAAGTGCATATGTAAAAAACATTTAATTTTCTTTTTCTCTCAAGTCTTTTTTTTTTTTTTTTGGCTCCAAGTCTCTAGGAAGCTGATTTAAGTGGGGCTTAGAGGGAAAAAAATGACACAAACTCACTTCAAAGCTATCAACAGACACCAGAGAAAAAAGTAACTTTTCTTTTCATATGACAAAGTATAGTTGTACCCAGAAGTCATTAGATTTAAGAGAGTTTGCAAAGACTTCACCACTCAAAGTTTCATCATATGACGTCTCATGCTTTCCTAAAGAAAAAACATTGCTAGTCATTCTTTACCCACAAATGTGAACACCATAAAAACCGTCCAGAAAGCTAAAATATTTGGAGGCTTTCTTCTTGTTCTGTCTCCACGTCTGCATATGCCATTAAAAAAATACTCTCTAAATGAATGTCAGAGTGACCCTGACATAACAATCGGAATAAATTTGTGAGCATCTATTATAATTGAGATTAAATCTGCAAACTACAGCCCTATTCATACATGAAAAAAGCCATGAACTATCTCAAATTACCATCTATTACCAATGTCTTGGTATACATATGAAAAAAGGCTTTATAGTATATTGTTATTACGTTTAAGTCTTATCCATGATTCCATTGTATATGCTCTTTCCTCGTTCTTGTTTTCTTTATTTCTTATTTGTTGTCTGTTATTTGCTCCCTCTTTTTCTTCTGTTTCCTTTTCTTCTTCTTCTTCTTTTCTTTATTTTTTTTTTGATATAGGGTCTCACTCTGCTACCCAGGCCAGAGTGCAGTGGCATAATCATGGCTCACTGCAGCCCCTGCATCCTCAACGTCCTGGGCTCAAGCTATCCTCCCACCTCAGTCTCCTGAGTAGCTGGGACCACAGTCACGGGCCACCATGCTTGGCTAATATTTATTATTTTATAATTTATAGAGACAGGATCTCCCTATATTGCCCAGGCTGGTCTTGAACTCCTGGGATCAAGGGATTCTCCTGCCTCGGCCTCTCAAGGTGCTGAGATTACAAGTGTGAAGCACAATGCCTGACCTATTTGCCCCTTTTAAAAATTATTTCTACATTTTACCTTGCAATATAGTATTTTTATGAACAAGAAGAAAAACAAATAATAAATAAATAAGCAAGCAAAAAAAAAATCACCAACTGAGATAACTAACCACTGAAAGAAAGTGGGGGAAGCTTCACATCTTTCTGCTCAGATTCATTGAGTATCTATTTAGGACATGGAGAACTGAACTTGTGTGATACTTTTGTATGTGTTACTGTACTTTAATCTTTGATTTGGCAATAAGCACAGTTAAGATAGTTCTGAGAACATCTCAAAAGATGGCTACTGGCATATGTTTTAGTTTGTTTTGAAATTTATTCTGGATCTATTCTTGCATATGCAATTCTTTGACCCAGAAAGTGCAACATAATTCAGTAGTGTTTAACCATACTCTCTCAAACGTAAAAGGCTAATATATTTAACATATGATCATTTGGAAAAGATTTTGGTGGGCTCTTTCTAATCTTTCCATTTCCAAAAGTCTTGCCAAAGCAAAAATCATATGCCCACATTGTGAAATGCCATAAAAAAAATAGTAACAGGTGTTTATTTTTCACCAGAAAGAGAAAGGCCAATCCAAATTTCAAATGTTCCATGAACTTTGATAACTTAGAACCAAAGCTAGTCGAATATAGTCATGTTTATTTTGGGAGCTATATGCTTATTTTCCTGTGAAGGGAAAATAACTTTTTCTATTTCTGCTAACTAAAAATGACTGAAGGGGAATGAGGAGAAAAAGACTACCCCACACTTGGGTCTGCCAATGGATAAGACAGAGTGCTGTGGCCCTTTTTTAAAATCACACATTAATGAGTCTTTGAAAGTGAAACTGTAGTCTCAGAGCAAACTTAGAGGAAGTGAGCTAAATAAGGTGAGAAAATCTGAACTGAAAGGGAGAAACCACATTTTGGCCAATCTTACAAAAGGTAAACATAAAAAGCCATAAGGAGAGCTATAAGGAAAATGGAACAGTGGGTCAAGCAACCTGGTAAAAGACTCAAGCCAGAATTATGGCCAGTGAAAAATTCTCGGGGGCAAAATGGCCAAAGGATTTGTTGGGATAAGAGAATTTGCAAAGAGGCAGCCTAGAATTCTTTCCATTGCCCTAAAAGGTCAGTAAAGCCTATTACATATACGATTGATTTGTCTGGGTGGTTTGTGGAAAATTAAAAAGGGTTAGGCATCAGTCTAGTTCAGTATGAGATATACAAAAAAGGAATAAAAATTATGATAAGAGTTCAGTATAAAGAGGAATTTAGAGCCAGATGCAACCACAAGGCTATAACCCTTGGAAACCTATAGAAACTTAGGGAGGGTTTGTGTAGTGTCTGGGCTGGGAGCTCCTGATTATCACTTAAATCTCAACCAGTGGTGTGAATTTAGCTAACAACGACAACAACAAAATCAAACAAGCAAACAAAAAAACTAAAGAATTACTTTTTAAACAAAGGGGTATAAAGCTTAAACAAAATGTGGTAGGGGGTTTGAAACTTTACTTCTTTAAAGTCAGTCTTCCCTGAAAGGAGAGAGTTAATACAAAAACAATCACTCGCCATCTTTTCCTACCTCCACTTCTAACAGAAATTTCAACTGTGTTTGACTTGAATCAGAAAGGTTTTACTAAGAATATCATTTGAAATATTTTCACAGGTTTCATAAGCATTTGGACTTTTCATGAAAGTGGGAAAGGTGAGTTCTGAATATTGGCATTTGAGTGTCTGATTTCCACGGCAATGCAATGCCTCGAGTTTGGGAGACTTACTTGTCAGGAACCTGGTGCTAACACATCACAGGTAAAAAAGCAGATATTAGATGTTGTCATAGAAAATTGATATGGGTCCTCATAAAACATGAAGGTGTCCAGGGCATGCTTTTGGCTGGAGTTGCCACTAGTACTTTACTTTATTAGGATTCTTAAGACCCAGGTCAATATTAGAAAATTGGACATCAGCCCAATAACTGCATTTTGTTGACAGCTTAGCTGTGCCAGAACTTGAATCTCAGTTCCTCACATTTAGCAGACAGAATAGACTTCTGTTTCCAATAAGCTCTTGACAAAAAGAATCTATGAAGTCTGCCTGTTAACAGAAGCCTGTGCACTGTGAGGAGAATGTGAGAGTAGCTGACAAACTGCAGACACTCTGAAAGTGTTCTGCACCTAGGATTTCATTAAGTTTCCTGGATAAGTAAGAATATGAAAAGGTACACAAATTTAGAAATCCTGATGAGGAGTAATTCTGGGTGTGAATGTTAATTTTTAGGCAGTGTTATGTTTCCAAATTAATTGTTGTTCCTTAAGATCTGTATAAACTATCAACCAAAGTATGTATCATCACTGTGTGTGTTTACCCTAGTGAAGAAAGCCACATTTACATATTCATGTTGTACTAGACTGACCACATGTCAACGCATGGCATTATGAGACCAAATTAGAAGCATCACACAGCTATGTATTTTTAGAATCACTGTTGTTATTTACAACTGAGGATAAATTAATTATGTGCTAACGAAGTTCTGATAGAATGTTCATTTCCTGTTGCACTACAAAAATATTTTACTCACTGTTCTCTCTTATTTTGTTTGAACTTTCAACTCCCAAACTTCTATGTTTAAAGAGATGGCTAATGTCTCTAGATCCTTACCCCTTTAGATGTAAGAGGTAAAGAAATGTCATCTGGATTGTGCTACATCTGCCTTATCATCATCAAACTCATTTATCTGAGCAGGTTCTGCTTACAGGATGAAATAAAATATGGGTTCTATCTTTAATGTTAGTAATCAAAAGCATCCACTCATTCATTCATTTTCTTTATTTTTGAAGAGTGAAACAGGCTTAAGATACCATTTAAAAATCATTTTTCCCTTGATATTCCATCAAAACTTAATGTTGTCTAAATAGCAACATTCAAGGTGATGCTCTCCAATGGTTTGGACTTAAAATGCACGTACGTAAATCTGAAGTTTTATAAAACTGAGTTGGTTCAAAAAAGTGCAGAGATTTTTAGAAAGGAGATATATACATAGTAAACTAAAAAAAAAAGAGACATATAGTAATCTAAAAATGAGATTCTTTCCATTTAAATCCTCCAAAAGCTAAGACAAAATAATAGGAGGTAACTACCCACACATTCCAAATTAAGGTTTCTAGACCAGCTAAGCAAGATCTGCAAAGGCGATGCATTAGTTTGCCAGGGCTACCATAATAAAGTGCTACAGACTGGGTGGCTTAAACAATGTAAATTAATTCTCTCACAGTTCTTGAGTCTAGAAGTCTGAGATCAAGGTGTTGGCAGCGTTTGTTTCTTTCAAGGTCTCTTTCCTTGGCTTGGAGATGACTGTCTTATTTCCAGATCTTCACATTATCTTCCTTTTGTACGTGCCTGTTTCCAAATGTTCTCTTCTAATAAGGACACCAGTCATTTTGGATTAGGACCCAACCTAACAACTCCATTTTACCTCTGTAAAGATCATATCTCCAATACAGTCACATTCGGAGGTACTGAAGGTTAGGACTTTAACATATTAATTTGAGGGAACACATTCTATTTCTGTGCAAAGTAGAACAGAAGGTAATCAAATCTTGTGACCTGAAGCACAACAGAACCCAAGAGATAGAAAGAATTGAACTGGAGAAGCTGAAAGAGAAGCTACTTTTGGAGTTCTGTGGCATTTTCCCTATCCAAGCCGTAGGGGAAGAAAAGTAGATACAATCACGTGAGAAAGGTTCTAAAAGTACCAGTTGTATAGCTTGGCATATATTGTCTGATGTCTAGTAAACATAAGAAGCCAGTTTTTGATCTCTGCCTGAGAAATTTAATGTAAGAATATATAGCTTACATGATGATTAATTTTATATGTCAATTTGACTGGACAAAACAGCACCCGGGTTTTTGGTCACACGTTATTCTGGGTGTTTCTGTGGGACGTTTTGAGATAATATTAGCATTTTAATTGGCACACTGAATAAAGCAGACTGCCTGCCCTAATGAGGGTGGGCCTTATCCAATCAGCTGAAGACCAGAAAGAACAAAAAGACTGACCCTCCTGCAAGCGAGAGGAAGCTCTTCTTGTTGACTGCTGACCTGAGACGTTAGTCTTTTTCTGCCTTCAATATTCCACTGGAACTTTGGCTCTTCTTGTTTCTCAGGCCTGCTGTCTTTTGAACTGGAACTTATACTATCAGTTGGTTCTCAGGCCTTTGAGGTAGTGTTAGAACTACATCCTCAGATCTCCTGGGTCTACGGCTCTCTGACTAAAGATTTTAGGACTTCTCAGCCTTCATACTTGCATGAGCCAATTCCTTGTGTCTCACCCGTTTGCTCTCTTTATCTCTCTCCCCCCACTGTCTCTCTCTGTCCTTTTATATATATATATATATATATATATATATATATATATATATATATATATGAGACATACTGCAAGTATCTGTTAAACTGTATATATGTATACAGTTTTCCAAGCCGTATTTGTATGTAGTCTACAATATGCCAAACATTGTGTTACAATCTAAGTACATAAAAATGAATGACAAGTTCCCTTAAAGAGTTAATAGTGTGGAAGAGGAACATATATATATATATATATTTATAAAATATATATATATATCATATATATTATATATGATATATATCATATATATCATATATAATATATATATAATATATATCATATATATGATATATATATCATATATATGTGATATATATCACACATATATATAATATATGTATCATATATATAATATATATCATATATATAATATATATCATATATATATATAAAAAATTGTACCGAGGACTCCATATACATATACACACACACACACACAAATATATATATATATACACACACCATATATATGTACTATATATACACCATATATATACACACATGCAAACACACACACAGTTTCTCCATTGAGACACACACATATACATATATATATATATATATATATGATTGGAGCATTACTTCTATATACCTAGAGACTATATATATATATATATATACACATGCACACATACCTAGAGAGTGCAGATCTCTATATATCTAGGTGTGCATGTGTATTTATATACATATACTTATAAATGTGTATATATACACCTAGACGTATATATGTATATATACACATATATACTATATATGTACACACCTAGATATAGGTCAAAAGGTATATAAAAACCATATATATGTGCATATATATAAAGGGAGAGACTGTATGTGTGTGTGCATGTGTGTGTGGGTATATATATACAGTATCATATATACATCAGTGATTCCATAAGATTATAATGGACGTAGCATGGTGTTGTATGCCTGTAGTCCCAGCTACTCAAGCGACTGAGATGGGAGGGTTGCTTGAGGACAGGAGTTCATATCTAGCCTATCGACACAGCAAGAGTCCATCTTAAAAAAATATATACAGATTATAATGGAGGTAAAAAATATCCAGTGCCTAGTGATGTCATAGCTACAAAAACATCATAGTGCAGTGCATTACCTTTTCTATATTTAGATATGTTTAGATACGCAAATACTATTTGTTACAATTGCCTATAGTAGTCAGTACCATAACACATCTGTAGCTTAGGAGCAATAGGATATACCATATAACCTAGGTGTGTAGTAAGCTATATTACCTAGGTTTGTGTAAGTACACTCTGTGATGTTTGCACAATGAAGAAATCACCTGATGATGCATTTTTCAAAACATATCACTGTTGTTAAGCAACATCTCATTGGTTCCATTTCTCTAGAGAACCCTGACTAATACATCTAAATCTGTCAGTGATTATAATGGGAACAAAGGCTGTACTGCCTTTGCTGATAGAACAGAGGAGTGTTTTTTATGGTCCAGATGTGATCATGTAAGGGGAAGGTGCTCCCAGAGATTGTCCAAGAGGCCTTTCTGGGCAGAAAGACATTGGAGGTGTATTGTTAAAAGAGAAAGTTGAGGGGGTGTCACACAGCTCACAACAGTGAAGAGGCACTGCCTGATACAAGTAAGGCTACAGTCACTGAAATCTCAAAGAAAACCACTAAAGTGTTCCAAGATAAAAAGATTTGGTGTTGAACTTGAGCACACAAATGCCAGATTATTTCTTAAATGAGATTGTCTTGTCCCTTGTCTCTTCTCCTGACCCAATTCTACAGTTATCACAAGACAAGAGGGAGGAACAGAGAAAGATTATTGAATTGACTATGCTCACTCCCTTGATTCACTGCAGTCTTCCCAGACTACAGTCAGCCTATTCCAATTATTTGCTGAGTGTTTATATTTGTGCATTGAATTTGATATGTTCATTACTAAGGTAAAACTCTTATGCTGAGAGTGACCAGGAACTTTTGGATGGCTTGAAAATCTATAAAGGCTTCTTGATATTTGAGTCTGCAGAGTCTGGAGAAAGGAGTCCAGTAGGTGTGCAAGGATAGTTACAGAGAAAAAAACCTTGCTTTATGATTTTACTCAAGTGTTCATTTATTCAATGTACACATTAATAGTCATTCATCAAATAAGTATTTGTACAGGAAATATGTGAATAATTCTCATTGTTTTGAAAGTATCCTTGTTACTTCTCAAACATTCTACTACAGTTTAACAAATACTTGAAGTATGTCTACAATATGCCAAACACCATGTTAGATTCTAAGTATATAAAAATGAATAAGACAAGTTTCCTTGAAGAGTCAATAGTGTGCAAAAGAAACATATAAAATATAATTCCATGGAATGCACTAGTTGCTGTAGTAGAGGGAGACAGAGGACCTTACAGGACTGTGTGGAAGGAGCCACTGCCACTATCAAACATCATTGTGAGATGACTTTTGTGGAGCATCTGATGCACACTAGACACTGCTCTTGCAGTTTTAGGCCCTGGAAACCACTCAAACACATTAGAAAGTAGGTATCCCCAGCACTTTGGGAAAATCGTTATTTTTTTGGATTCACACTAAAATTGTACATTCATTAAATTCTTCTGACACCTTTGCCCCCCACCCCACAATGTATCAAGATTTGTGGGGCTTGATTTCCAAATGTGCAAAGAACAATAATCATTTTAAAGAAAATCATCAATCTAAAATCCATCAATAAATAATAGTGAGCCATAAGAATCTCTAAATTTGAAATAAAGAAATATTCAAATTATCTGAATTATGGATAAAAGTTATGACTGTTTAATACAGGGTACACAGAACATTAGTTAAAATAAATCCAAATTAAAACAAAAGTAATCATCTTTTTCACTTCTATTTTACCCCTTTTGGTTAGGGTAAAGATTATACAAATCAATTGCATCTCTTCCCAGGCAAACTCAATTCCTCAGGCGTGCATATGTTAAGACCTTATCATGGCCATTATTCTAACTGGGATGTGATTATTTTAAGGAGTATAGATGATAGAAACATTCCAGTCAAACATCTAGTTGTTATTAGGTTCAGTTCCAGAACTTGTTGAGCTCAAAATTCCCATGCCCATGGGAACAGAGTTTGGGCTGTAACTTCAGTCCTCTATTGTAAACATTAATTTCTAGAATGTGCAATTCAGTGGATCATCCTAGATAATATCTACGGTTTTTGTTTTGAGTTAGAATTTCTCTTGCTAAGATTCTGAGGTTCAAAATATATCTTCTTTTTTTCTGCTTTTATACATTATTATTCAGATTTATTGTCATCAATTTACTGTTGCCAGTTGACTAATTAGTGAAGAAATGTTGCCAGATTTCTGCATGCTCATTTTATGCAGATCTTTTGTGCCAAGGACATTTCTGGTGTATGTTTGCAATGCTGAAAATCAGGAGAGTGAGCATGATCATTTTTATGACTGTTGTTTAGAGATTCCCTCAGGTAAGAGCATAAAAAGAATAGACTTGAAAGATAATTCAAAATATAAACACTTCTGCTTACATAATAAAATGTAAACTTTATACTATTGCATGCAAATCCATGAACAATTTAAACTTCCCATCTTCATCCTATTACACTCTTTACTACATCCTCCAGGCACCTTCAGATGACTTGCCATGATTCAAATATGCCTTTTACTTCTTCTTCTTTCTTTGCCTGGTAAACTGTTTGACATCCTTTAAGATTCTCCCAAAAATTCTCTGTGTTCATCAGCACTCTCCTTTATGAAAGTTGCCCAAATCTCTCAGAAGGCCACTTCCCAGTTACACTCATTCTCATAGCACTATTCTACAGTTCTATTATAACATTTATTATGTCACATCACAATTGGTAATGTAGCTGTCTCACTGGAAAAACAATTTAGTTGAGAAAGGAAGAGGAAGGAAACAAATATGAGTTTGGTTATATGCATATTTCTTTCCCCCACCCCAAACCTATGCCTAGTGTCTGTCCTAGTGGAAGCAACCTAGGTGTCCATTATCAGATGAATGGATAAAGATAATATAAGATATATACACAATGGAATATATTCAGCCTTTAAAAAGAAGGAAATTTTGTCATTTGCAACAACATGGATGAACCTGGAGGACATCAACCTAAGTAAAATAAGCTGGGCCAACAAGACAAATACCACACGATCTCACGTAATACGAAATCTAAAAAAGTCAGACTCATACAAAAAGCAGATAGAATGGTGGTTACCAGAGGCTAGGGGTGGAAGGTGAGTGGGAAAACTGGAGATTATCCAACATCAACTGGAGTTGTTGAATAAAGGGTACAAAATTTCAGTTAGACAGGAGGAATGAGCCTTAGTGATCTATTGCACAGAATTGTGACTATAATAAATAACAATGCATCATATAGTTCAAAATTACTAAAAGAACAGATTTTTAAAATATTTTCAGTACATAAATATGGTATGTGAGGTAATAGATTTGCTAATTAGCTTGATTTAATCATTCCCCATTGTAACCATGTATCAAAACATCACATTGTACCCCATAATATATACAATTATTATTTGTTAATTAAACATAAAAGAAAAAAGAACTTAAGGTCTGAACCTAGCTGGATTGTCTGCCAAAATAAACACATTAACGTTGAGGATTACAACAAGATCCAGAGTCTATAAAACATAACATTCACAATACTCAGGAAAAAAGTCAAAATTACTCAAAATTCATTTGTTGAAGTTCTAACTCTCAGTACCTCCAAATCTGACTATTGTTGGAGATAGGATATTTAAAGAAGTAATTAAGTTAAAATGAGGCCATTAGGGTGGACCCTAATTGAACATGACTGGTGTCTTTATAAGAAGAGGAGATTAGGATACCAAGAATGCCATGTGAAGACACAGGAAGAAGACCAGCTACTAGCCAAGGATAGAGCCCTGAGAAGGAATCACTCTTGTAGATACCTTGATCTTACAATTCTCGACTCCAGAACTGTGCAAAAATAAATCACAGGTTCAGTACTTTAAGCCATGCAGCCTGTAGTACTTCGTTATGGCAGCCTTAGCAAACTAATACACATTTGCTCTATAAAGTCAACATATTTCCAATTAAAAATCTCATGGACTTTTCATGGGTAGAGTTTGACAAGGAGATTCTACAATTTATAGGAAAATGCACAGGATCTAGAATAATGAAAAAAGAGAAATATATAAATAACAAAGTTACAGGAATTACCTTAACTGGCATCAAGTCTTACCATAAAGCTACGGTAATCAAGACAGTGTGATATTGACAAGATAGCCAACTAAATCAATGGAATATAATGGATATGATCTAGAAATAGACCATACAAATGACTTTCTTACAAAGACTGCAATTCAATGGGAAATTAATTCTTTTCAACAAATGATGTTAGATCAACTGGATATTCATTTGGGAAAAAATGGACATTGATCCTTGCTTTATATTGATAACAAAATTTAACTCAAAATAGTTTGTAGACCTAAATGTAAAATTTAAACTATAAAATACCAGGAAGAATATAGGAAAAACAATCTTTGCAAGCTTTGAATGAGTAAAAATTTCTTAGTGAAAACTCAAAAACCAAAAACATAAAAGAAAATAGATTGGATTTCATCAAAATGTAAAACTTGCTCATTGAAAGACACCATTTGGAAAACAAACAGGCAAGCCACATACTGGAAGAAAATATTCACAACATATGTATCAAACAAAAGGATTATAACTGAATATATAAATAACTCTAAAGCTTTAGTAATAAAAACAACTCAATTTAAAAATAGTTAAGATCTGAAAGGTCACTTTTTTTTTTTTTTGAGACGGAGTTTCACTCTTGTTGCCCAGGCTGGAGTGCCGTGGTGCGATCTCCGCTCACCACAACCTCTGTCTCCCGGGTTCAAGCGATTCTCCTGCCTCAGCCTTTCAAGTAGCTGGGATTACAGGCATGTGCCACCACGCCCAGCTAATTTTGTATTTTTAGTAGAGACGGGGTTTCTCCATGTTAGTCAGGCTGGTCTCGAACTCTTGACCTCAGGTGATCCGTCTGCCTTGGCCTCCCAAAGTGCTGGGATTACAAGCGTGAGCCACCATGCCTGGCCCTTGAAAGGTCACTTTATAAAAGAGTATATGTGACCAAAAAAACACATTAAAAGATATTTCACATTATTAGTTGCTGGGAAATGCAAACTGAAACCACAATGAGCTACAAAGGGCTAAAAGTTATCATAGACTATACCAAGTGTTAGGAATATGTAGAGTAATTGGAACTCTCATATGACACTGTTAGGAGTGTAAAACAGTACAACTACTTTGGAAAACAGTGTGGAGATTTCTTAAAAATTTAAACCTACACCTACCACCTGCACCAGTCATTCCACTCCTACCTATTTAACCAAGGAATGCAAACATATATGTTCCCACAACATACGTACATAAACATTCACAGCAGTTTTAGTTATAATAGCAAAACACTAAAATCAACATAAATGTCCATGAGTGGATGAGTTTACTCTTTCTATGGAACACCACCTAGCAAGAAAAGGAAATGAACTATTGATGCACACAATAGCATGGAAAAATCTCACAGTCACCATGCTGGATACAAGAAACTAGACTTAAAGAAGTAAAAAGAGTACGTTCCATTTTTATGAAATTATAGAACATGCAAACTAATTCCTAGGTTCAGAAAGCAGTTTAATGGGTGCTTGGGAATAGAAGTAGAAGGAGGGATGGATTTCAAAGAGGCACAAAAAATTTTGGGTAGTAATGAAAATGTTCATTATCTTGTGTTGACAGTTTTTTTGATATCCATCCATACATATATACATATATATGTATGTATGCGTATGTATATATAGATTGATTTGTATACTTTAAACATATAGTCTATTCTCTTTATCCATAGTAGTTATGTTCTATTAAGTCACCACAAATACTGAATCAGAAAATACACAGCTATTGCTACTGGGAAATACAGGGTTAGGTTCCTGTGAGCCTCTGGTCACATTTTGTTCAACCGAAATGTCATTTGCATTATACATGTTCATTTGCCAAGGACCTTGTAAGGTAAGCCAGTCTCATCAGCATTGAAAACCTGCTCCTCTACGTAACCTTTTTCCCTGTAACACTTAGCAGGTATTCTTAAAATTCCTCTGCAGTCTTCTTATCTGCAGAACCTGCCTCACATTGAAGCCTAACATTTTTTATGTGATATCACCATTAGAAAGACACAAGCTGGCCAGTACTAGCCAAGGAGGTTTTAACATTTTCCTGACCTTGGGTAACACAGCCATAAATGTCTTGGACTTTCAGTCTCACAACAATGCTATCCAGTATGCTTTTTTTTTAATTGAAAAAATAAGCTATCATCTCATTAATTCACAAATTTAACTTTTCTTTGTTTTCCATGGCTTCATTTATAAATATTACTTTAACACTTTCTGGAACAGCCTCAGATACAGATTGGCAAATTTTTTCTTCCTTTTCTGGTTGTAACATATTAATATTGAGCTCCCAGTGGAAAGCACTAGAACTCATGCCTAAAGGAAGCTTATCCAAATGACATATTTTCTCTATAAAACACATCACAGACTTCCTGCATTTAGGAACATCAGACAGCACTTTAGTGGTAGGTTCGAGAGACCAATTTTAAACTGCAAAATCACCAACAAAAAGCACAAAAATGTGGACAACTGAAAGGACACATTTTTTTGGTGTCACTGAAAGGACAACCAAAAACAGGGTACTTGTTTACAATTTGAGAGCTGAAACATGAAAGAGAAATTTTTTTCAAATTTTTCACCACTCCACGCATCTTCAGATGACTACAAAAGTGCCATGATGTTATCAAGTAGGTGAATTTACAAATACAGGATTCACAAATAAAAACGATCAACTCTGTGTGGTTTGCTGTACTTCAATTATACTTCAATAAAATTGTGAAGAAAATCATTTGTCCCTTGTTCAAATGAATGAATGAATGAATGAATGAATGAACTTAAGTAACTACAAAACAAAGCTTTTTATTATGGAGGTGCTTAACAGCTCCTCAGAGACTTTTGGGAATTGGGTAGTAATGTCTAGCCATTCCTTCTGTGCCATGTGCAGAACAAAAACCACATCTGACAAGCACAGGCTGCCAGCTTGGTGACATTGATACTTCACTGTAGTTAAGTTCCCACTTCAGGGAGAAAGCATGTGGAAAAAATGGAGATAATGCTCCAACACATGGAGACCGTCCTCCAACAGAGTTTATAAATGCGAAGAGGAAAGCAGGGCAATTTTTCAGTACATACTTTGCTGTTAGGCTTTTTACAAGTCTACTCCTTCCTAAGTTTCCAGCAGTCCCTGTGACCTGAAAGAAGTCTGTACATTTTTCTGGTATAAAATTAGCACGCTGAGCATGTCACCAGGATGACTCTTGTGCAGGCAATTTAGAGACTGCAGCTCACCCAGTTCAGAGGCATATCTCTTTCCAAGTCTTGTTAGCATACATGCCACCAATATCTTTAAAAAACAATATTTCTTTAGCATTCTAAATTCTAGGGTCTCCTTAAAAACAACCAATATTGCCAATTATTTCCTAAATGTGTCACTAGCCCTCTACCGTTGCCAAGCTACTCATTTTAACAGGCTTTCTCCACATTCCCTTTTAAATTATTCCTCAGCATTCTTACATGTAGATCATTTGTGTCTAAATGCAAACTTCTTTATGTGTGTTTAAAATATTTCAACTTTAACTCCTAATAACTTGCAGTTCAGAAAGAAAAATAACTGTATGCCTCACAGATAGCAAGATATTTAATAAACTATATTTTTAAACCTGAATGTTTTGGCCTCTGTGCTGCTGTCTTTTCTGACTATTATTTTTTCTGCTTCTGTCTTTGTGAAAGCACATATTTCTGTCTATCATTCTCTGTCCCTGTCTTCCTCTTTTTTTTCTCTGATTACTGTCATTCTGTGCTGTTGTTCATCTTTGCAGGTCTGTTTCTTCATCTGTCTTTCCGTTTTTGTCATTTCTTGCAGTTGAATTTTTTTTTTCTCTATTTCTTTTCGAAGTCGTGGAAGAAAGCACCGTGTGGAGAACAAGAGCTTGGTCTTTGTACCCAGGTTTCTCAGGTTTGACTACGGCTTTGCTGCTTATTAGTTATAATTTGGGTAAATTACCTACACTCACCAAGCTTCAGTTTTCCCAGCTGTAAAATGGGGATAGAAATAACACCTTTCTTATATATTCTTTGTGAGCTTTACACAATTCATCCTTGGAAATCACTTGGAAACAAAGCCTATCACATAGTGACCACCATTAGTGTTTGTTAAATAAGTGTAATTCATTATGCAGAAATATTATAATGTTATGGAGACTATATGACTCTGGATTAAGTGTAAACACTTATAAGAATGAGCTAAATGGAGGGCCAAAAGGGAAAAAGTCTGGGACTGGGCAATAAGAGGGATTTGGGATGAAAACATCTTTTACAGACAGGCTTCCTGGATTTTCTAGTAACTATCAGCTGACATATTTAAGAGTGAGGGACAGTCCATTCTCTTACAAGAAGTAGTAAGGAACCAGGAAGCTTCTGAAACAATTTAGGGATGTATGATTGGGAGGAGCATGGGGAAGGAGTGTAATAGTAATAAAATTATGAAAGAGACGGGTTAAGGTAACCACTCAGAGAGGATTATGGTAAGGTTTTTCAGGATAAGGTAAAAGAGCGTATGAAGCCTGTTTGGTTACCATCAGCCCCAGGAAGGGAGTCCGTTGGACAGTGTTTCGAATAAAGCAGAGGCAATGTCAGTTTCATGATAAGAAAAAGGCAATAATTCTTATGTGGTGTGTATATACATATTACATTTTTTTGGTCAATGCTCTAAAAGAGAGCTGGTAACTATGTGGATGATTTTTCTTTATATAGAGTGTTTTTAAAACAAATGGAAATAAACGGTACCAAAAGAATAAATGTTGATAAGAATTTTGCCCTGAAAAAAAACTTCTTCAGTCATCTGCCTTAAAAAGTTCTGATAATCTGTAACCCTTGGTTACAAAATAATTGTCCTGTTGACTATGCCTCTGGGAACTTCTTGTGATGTACTCAAAGCACCAGTATAAAGTGCTTTCTGGTTTGAATGCTGAGTAACACAAAAAGTAAGGTAGTTTTTATTTTTGACATGACTTGTTTCTTTCCTTTGTCATGATATTTTTGTTAGAGTTATGAATTCAATGTTCATCATTCAAAAGAACTCACTATCTCATTCAACCATTCTTTCAGCAAACCTGTAATGAACTCCTTCAGTGGCTCAGGTACAATCTTATGTGCTAGTGACCAAAAAAAGTATAAACATTTCCTGACCCTGGGAATCTAAACTTAATTTGGAAGACCCCACACACCAAAAAGCAATTAAAATAGAATGCAATAAGTATTAATGACATTAGGTGTTACGTACTATAGACACATCAAGGAGCTTGCATTAACTAGGCCAGACATGCTTCAGAAATAAATGACAATTTTTATACACATAACACCCTATCCACTATGACTGTTTTTATCCATATACAGTTGGTACCTCCTGCCTAGGATATATTTATTCTCATGGCTCAAGTTGTTCAGAATCACATTGCTTCAATTTTTTTCACTCAATTCAGAGTCGATTTTATGATGTATCAACTTAGCCAAGCTGTATTTCTCAGAATTTCCTTCACTGTATGGTTCTGAGTTAGGGTTAGCCACAAGAGAAATTTGCTAGAGACCTGGAAGGTAGAAAGAAAGCAACAGCTGTTATCCCATGAAATTCAGCATAGGTGAGTGTGGGGCAGCAGCCAGACCCATGGCTTCTGACAATTCTGAATTTTACCCAAGCCCTGTGCTCCCAGAAAAAAAGATCAGGTGAAAATCTACCCTATAGTTTTACACACATGCAACCTTTTGTGTTCCAGAACACAGCTTAGGCAAAGAAACTTTCTTCCTCATATGACCTAGATAGGACTCACCAGTGGTCTCTCTATGACAAGACCAGACACAGACTTTTCAAACTTCCATTTTTTTTTTGTTTCAGAAATGATTACATTAAGTTCTTGTCCCCGCTAATGAATAGCACAATACACTTATTAATTACACTTTGGTTAAGCTTCTCTTCCTCCCCAGGTACTTAAACTTTGACCAGCATATGACTGCATCTTAACAGCCCCATCTGAGAATTGGCTGGCCTCACTGTAAAACATTCTCTGATCTACCATCTGCTACATCTTCATCCCATTTCCTCACACCCCTTTCTGTCTAACTTTGGTATTCTTTTCTATAATAGAGAAACCCTTTTTGCCTAACCTTGAGATGTTTGGAGTTCTTATGGGCACAGCTTTCTCCTTATTGCAATAGTCCCCCCTCTTCTCCCTTGCAATCATTCTTTTGTCAAAGAAAATTTGCACTAGACAAGTTAAATAGGCAAGGAAGACTTTATTTAAGACTATTATAATAAGGGAGTGAGGCTGAACTCACTCCCCAACTCCACTGAAAGAAAAGGCAGGAGAGTTTTTTAGTCCTGGGGTGAGCTTGTGGAAAAGTACTGGAGGATGTGAGGGGGAAGTTGGTCAGTGCAATCTGTCCAGCACTTTGAGTTATTCCTGAGTTTGCAAATGTTTTTCTGTGATTAGTCCATCTGTGTTTGTTAATTGGTGTCCATGGAAATTAGGCTTCTACCCTCCCACAAGGATAGGTTCTCAGGTTTCTGAGAAATACGTTTTCTGGGTGGTAAAACTAGCAAGAGGCTAGAAGAAGCTTTACATATATTTCAAAGGAGTAGATCAAGAATTTATAATTCGAAGTTTTTTCAAGTAAAGTGCTTATCGTCAGGAAGAAGGGTATCAAAGGTTTAATCAAGCTGAGGGGAGAGTTAAGGCCCTCTTGGTCATCTTCAAATGAATTCTCTTTTTACTAAATCCAGATTTGCTTTTACATTTGAGCTCTATCCATTCCTGCCAGACCTCTTTCAGCTTCTCTGAGTTCTGGGCCAGTCATGTAATCAGCTCTGTGGTCAAGGGTTCTGGCTTCTCTTGAGGGTCACCCAGGATGGGAAGCTGTGAGTGGTCGATCGGCTGTAGCATGTCCTCACTGAACTCAGTTTGCCCTCTTTCTCCCCATTTCACACTCAGGCCTTCTGACCTGTAAGTCATCATAGGCCACCTCCAGGAACAGAGGCAACAGCCTTCCAGAGATTTTACCAGCTCCTACCATGGTGGACACATTAATGGTACAATAAATTCTTTATTCCGTACCATTCATAGTGGTTCTGAGTCTGTGACTGAACCCTGATTTACTGCCTCAGCAAATAAGAATTCAACCAGATATAACTTATAATATTTGCCTTAAATTATAAGTTTGAAAATGAATGTATCATTAATATCTCTGACATGATGACAGCAGCAACTTTTTTACACCATAAATATTGAAAGCAAAAAAACCTTTCTAAATTAGATAATCTAATATTTTTCTACTTTCTGCTGTTTCTACAATTCATTTATATAACTACTTTTGCTGAATTATTAAATGTTCCATTAAAAAGAATTTCATAAATATTTTTCCTTTTTAGTAAATTCTTTCCCCCTCTTCCTGACAATAATTCTCTACTTAAGTCATCCACCATAAAAAGTTCTGAGAAGTTGTAACCTTAAGTTACCAAAAAAGTTGTGTTAATTGACTATACTTTGGACTATACCTCCAAGGACTTCTTGTTGATGTACTTCAAGTGTCAGTAAAAGGTTTCCTTTTGGTTTGAATGCTGATTTCTATCCACTCCACACCTCCTCAAAACTCCAATATAACATTAGCCTTTTCTTACTCCTTAGGCTTTATATCCAATTAAAATATCAGGTACTGTTGATTTTTTTCCCCATCTTTCTGGTTTGTATCTTCATCACTGTATTATAGACTACTGAACTATAGCCATGACTGACCTCAACTCCTTGCTTTGGGTTTTTGCTCTGAAGCCAATCCAGTATACCACGAATGAAAAAGTCAACATAAAATAGCTAATATACCATATCATTCCCCTATTTAGAAAGCATCAACAACTCTCTACTACAAAGTTCAAATCCCTAAGCATAAAATTCAAAGCCTTTCATTTGTTGCACTAATCCCCCAGAAGATTCTTATGTGAACTCATCTTCATATTTCTAGGTCCAGTTTTTTAAGTCATGGAAAAAGTCATGGCCATTAATAGCTCAGATGATTCACAATTAAAGAATTGTATTACCCAAACAAGTAATGAACCCCAAATAACAGAAGGCAAAGGGAACATGAAATGGGTAGCAAAATAATAAAAAATATAAATATCAACGGATTTTCTGCCCAACCATGAAAATGAGTAGATCTGAGTACCTATGTTTATTTCTCTGTGCTTTGCTGTGCATATATTTGTATATATTAACTTTTTTTTATCCTTTAGCTTTTAACTGTTATTATACACAAAGTTACTTGTGTAACTTAAACTTATAATTTATCTGTTAATATGTAGGATATCTATGGCAAATTGTGACAGAATATGAATGAATGAGAAGAGTAATGAATGTCATTCAGCAATGGGTGAAATATAACAGGTGAAATTTTTGTTTACTCTTTGTGCATCCTTGTATCAAGGATAATTTCCACACCTTAAGTTGAAGCATAATGTCATTACCATTGTTGTTTGGAAATTAAGTACTGGTGAAATGTTGGGTACAAATATTTAGTATCCAAAGATTTGATAGCCTCATTGTCTATTGGAGACTCAATTTTCTCATTCTGTTTCTTCCTTAACAGAAGGGCTAGATGGGCCAGCAAATTCTAGGTTAGATTCTGTCAACAAAAGACATGAATGAAGGATTTGAACTGTGGAAGGGTGGTAGAAGCTTTATTATTTCTCCAACAGTGGCAGGCAGATGTTACGTGTTTCGCAGATGTGGAATTTTATAATATGTTTCTCAGCAAGTCACTTACCTTAGCACTGGAAGTATATGATTATAAGCATTGATTTTCTGACGTTCCTGACTTCCCAAGTGAGCAATGGCATTCTCTGATCTTTATTCCTCTTCCCTACCAATGTTTGTACATAATTCTCTAAACTGAATTCCTTCTATCTTAAAATACATTAAATGATTTCCATTTTTCTGAAATAATCATGGCTGACACATGCTATGAAGGAAGAAGAGTTCTGAGATCCAGAATGATTGGAGGCTGGTGGCTTCTTTGAGGATAAGATAACTTTTTACAGGGGAGGGTGGATGGGATAGAGAGGAACATTTTGGTTGATATATAAAGGGTGAAAAGAAGCCAGCTATGTTAATTTTCTAGATCTACCATTAAAAAGTATCAAACACTGGGTGGCTTAAAACAACATAAATTTATTCTCACAGTTCTTGAGTCTAGAAATCTGAAATCAAGGTGTCAGAAGGGTGAAGCTCTCTCTGATTGCTCTAGAGGGGAATCCTTCCTTGCTTCTTCTGGCTTCCAGTGTTTGTTGGCAACTCCTGGCCTCCGTTGGCTTATAGACGCATCATGCCAGCTACATGGTGGTCTTCTCCCTGTGTGTCTTCACATAGCCACATAATGTGTCTGTCTCTGTGTCCAACTTTACTCTTCTTATAAGGACGCCAGTCATATTGGATTAGGGCCCATTCTAATGACCTCATTTTACTTTGATTACCTCTCTACAGACGCCATTTCCAAATATGGTCACATTCTTATGTACTTGGGATTAGGACTTCAACATACCTTTTTGGGGAAACTATTCAACTGATAACATTAGCCAAGTAAGGATAAGGGGAAAAGCATTCCATGTAGAGAGAATAACACGTGTAAAGCACCTGATTTTACAAAGAAAGCATTGTTCAAAGATCAGCAAGTGTGTTCTTCCTTGGACTGGAAAATTGAGGTAGAGAAGAGCAGGAAAGTATGAGATTTTCCTGCTTTAGAATATTGATATGAAAACACATACTGACATATTTTTGAATGTTGAAGCATATTTTTGAATGTTGAAGCAGCTTTGAGTTCCCAAATTAACTCTGCTTGTAGATGATGTATTACCTTTGGTATATTTCTATATACCAAAGAAGACTATCGGTTTGTAGTTTTCTTGTAATACTTTGTCTGGTTTTGGTGTCATGGTAATCCTGGCCTCATAAAATATGTTGAAAAGTAGTTTTACCACGTCTATTTTACAGAATCTTGTATATGGAATTGATTTTATTTCATTCTTAACTGTAATTAAGTGTAAATTAGTTCAGTCATTGTGGAAGACAGTGTGGTGATTCCTCAAAGATCTAGAAGCAGAAATACCATTTGACCCTGCAATCTTATTACTGTGTATATACCCAAACTAATGTAAATCATTCTATTATAAAGATACATGCATATGTATGTTCATTGCAGCACTATTCACAATAGCAAACACATGGAATCAACCCAAATGCCCATCAATGGTAGACTGGATAAAGAAAATGTGGTACATAAATGCCATGGAATACTATGCAGCCATAAAAAAGGAATGAGATCATTTCCTTTGCAGGGACATGGATGAAGCTGGAAGCTGTTATCCTTAGCAAACTAACACAGTAATAGAAAACAAAATACCAAATGTTCTCACTTATAAGTGGGAGCTGAACAATGAGAACACATGGACACATCATGGGGGACAATACACACTAGGACCTGTTCGGAGTCGGGGTGGAGGGAGAGCATCAGGAAGAATAGCTAATGCATGAAGGGCTTATGCACATGTACCCAAGAACTTAAAATAAAGGTTGAAAAAAAAAAAAAAAAAAGAAAAGAATGTGTATCCTACTACTTCTACAAGGACTGTTCTACAAGGACTTACAGAAGGTAAGGACAACATTGATACTGTTGTCCTTACCTTCTGTATCCTAACTGATTTTCTATCTAGTTATTTTATGAGTTAATGAGAAAGTAATTTTAAAATATCTAATTTTAATTATATATTTGTCTATTTCTTCTTTAGTTCTATTAGTTTTTGTTTTATATATTTTAAAATTATGTTGATACATGTACTTCAATGTATATATTATGTATATTATTTTTTATAAATTAACCATCTTATCATTATGTAATGTCCCTCTTTTTTCTAATAGTCTTCTTCTCCTGAGGTTCACTTTGTCTTATGCTAACATAGTCACTTGGACTTTCTTCTGCTTACTATTTTCAAATTGTATCTTATTTGACTTTTTCATTGTAAAGTGTGATTTATATTTAAAATGAAACTCTTTTTCTATTGTATAATTTATTGTTCACAACATGATGTTTAGATAGACGTATACTTAGTGAAATAATTTTTAGAGGTAGGCAAAAAATGTATTTTTCATCTTAAATAGTTACCTTTGAGTGTGTGGTAGGAGCACCTAAAATCTACTCTCTCAGCACATTTTCAATGTACAATACTATATTATTAACTATAGTCTTGATGCTGTACATTCGACCTCTAGACTTATTCACCCTACTTTACTGCAAGTTTATACCATTTAGCCAACATATCCCCATTTCCACCACATCCCAGTTCCTGGCAACTATGCTTTTACCTGGCTTCTATGAGTTCTGCTTTTTTTTAAAATTATTATTATACTTTAAGTTCTAGGGTTCACGTGCACAATGTGCAGGTTCGTTACATATGTATACATGTGCCATGTTGGTGTGCTGCACCCATTAACTCATCATTTACATTAGGTATATCTCCTAATGCTAACCCTCCCCCATCCCCCCACCCCACGACAGGCCCTGGTGTGTGATGTTCCCCTTTCTGGGTCCAAGTGTTCTCATTGTTCAATTCCCACCTATGAGTGAGAACATGCGGTGTTTGGTTTTTTGTCCTTGCAATAGTTTGCTGAGAATGATGGTTTCTAGCTTCATTCATGTCCTACAGAGGACATGAACTCATCCTTTGTTATGGCTGCATAGTATTCCATGGTGTATATGTGCCACATTTTCTTAATCCAGTCTACCACTGATGGACATTTGGGTTGGTTCCAAGTCTTTGCTATTGTGAATAGTGCCGCAATAAACATACATGTGCATGTGTCTTTATAGCAGCATGATTTATAGTCCTTTGGGTATATACCCAGTAATGGGATGGCTGGGTCAAATGGTATTTCTAGTTCTAGATCCTTGAGGAATTGCCACACTGTCTTCCACAATGGTTGAACTAGTTTACAGTCCCACCAACAGTGTAAAAGTGTTCCTATTTCTCCACATCCTCTCCAGCACCTGTTGTTTCCTGACTTTTTAATGATTGCCATTCTAACTGGTGTGAGATGGTATCTCATTATGGTTTTGATTTGCATTTCTCTGATGGCCAGTGATGAGCATTTTTTCATGTGTCTGTTGGCTGCATAAATGTCTTCTTTTGAGAAGTGTCTGCTGAAGATCAAATTCATGAAATGAAATGAGAAGAGAAGTTTAGAGAAAAAAAGGGTAAAAAGAAAGGAATAAAGCCTCCAAGAAATATGGGACTATGTGAAAAGACCAAATCTATGTCTGATTGGTGTACCTGAAAGTGATGGGGAGAATGGAACCAAGTTGGAAAACACTCTGCAGGATATTATCCAGGAGAACTTCCCGAACCTAACAAGTCAGGCCAACATTCAAATTCAGGAAAAACAGAGAATGCCACACAGATACTCCTTGAGAAGAGCATATCTAAGACACATAATTTTCAGATTCACCAAAGTTTAAATGAAAGAAAAAATGTTAAAGGCAGCCAGAGAGAAAGGTCGGGTTATCCACAAAGAGAAGCCCATCAGACTAACAGCAGATCTCTTGGCAGAAACTCTACAAGCCAGAAGACAGTAGGGACCAATATTCAACATTCTTAAAGAAAAGAATTTTCAACCCAGAATTTCACATCCAGCCAAACTAAGCTTCATAAGTAAAGAAGAAATAAAATCCTTTACAGACAAGCAAATGCTGAGAGATTTTGTCACCACCAGACCTGCCCTAAAAGAGCTCCTGAAGGAAGCACTAAACATGGAAAGGAACAACCAGTACCAGCCACTGCAAAGACATGCCAAATTGTAAAGACTATAGATACTAGGAAGAAGCTGCATCAACTAATGAGCAAAATAACCAGCTAACATCATAATGACAGGATCAAATTCACACATAACAATATTAACCTTAAATGTAAATGGACTAAATGCTCCAATTAAAAGACACAGACTGGCAAATTGGATAAAGAGTCAAGACCCATCAGTGTGCTGTATTCAGGAAACCCATCTCACGTGCAGAGACACACATAGGCTCAAAATAAAGGGATGGAGGAAGATCTACCAAGCAAATGGAAAACAAAAAAATGGATCAATTCAACAAGAAGAGATAACTATCCTAAATATATATGCACCCAATACAGGAGCACCCAAATTCATAAAGCAAGTCCTTAGAGACTTACAAAGAGACTTAGACTCCCACACAATAATAATGGGAGACTTTAACACCCCACTGTCAACATTAGACAGACCAATGAGACAGAAAGTTAAAAAGGATATCCAGGAATTGAACTCAGCTCTGCACCACGTGGACCTAATAGACATCTACAGAACTCTCCACCCCAAATCAACAGAATATACATTCTTCTCAGCACCACATTGCACTTATTCCAAAATTGACCACATAGTTGGAAGTAAAGCACTCCTCAGCAAATTTGAAAGAACAGAAATTATGACAAACTGTCTCTCAGACCACAGTGCAGTCAAATTAGAACTCAGGATTAAGAAACTCATTCAAAACCGCTCAACTACATGGAAACTGAACAACCTAATCCTGAGTGACTACTGGGTACATAGCGAAATGAAGGCAGAAATAAAGATGTTCTTTGAAACCAATGAGAACAAAGACACAACATACCAGAATCTCTGGGACACATTCAAAGCAGTGTGTAGAGGGAAATTTATAGCACTAAATGCCCACAACAGAAAGCAGGAAAGATCGAGAATTGACAGCCTAACATGACAATTGAAAGAACTAGAGAAGCTAGAGCAAACACATTCAAAAGCTAGCAGAACAAGAAATAACTAAGATCAGGGCAGAACTGAAGGAGATAGAGACACAAAAAACCTTTTTTTTTTAAGGTCCCACATATAATTGAAATCATGTAGTACTTTTTCTTTGTGTGCCTGGCTTATTTCACTTAGCATAATGTTCTCCAGTATTCATGTTGTTGCTAATGGCACTATCTACATTTTTAAGGCTGAAAAATAATATTGCATTATATATATATCACAATGTTTTAAATCTATTTATCCATTGATGGACACTTAGGTTGTTTCCTTATCTTCTTTGTTGTGAATAATGCCACAATAAACATGAGCACACAGTTATCTCTATGATGTGCTGTTTCTGTTGGGCATGTAGCCAGCAGAGGGACTGCTGGGCCATATAGTATTTCAATTTTTAATTTTCTAAGAAACCTTAGCACTGTTTTCCATAATGGCTGTTAAGAATCTGCATTCCTACCTGCAGAATAAAAGGCTTCTCTTTTTTTCACTTCCTCACTAACACTTGTTGTCTCTTGGTTTTGTGATAATAATACCATCCCACCTGCAAATGTATAAGGTTATATCTTATTGTGGTTTACTTGCATTTCTTTGATAATTAGTGGTTGTTAGCAACTTTTTATATATGGACATGCTTAAGTCTTCTTGGAAAAATGCCTATTCAGGTCCTTTGCCTATTTTTAATTGAGTTATTATTATTATTATTGCTAGTGAGTTGTATCAGTTCCTTATACATCCTGGATATTAACTCCTTATCAGATTTGTATTTTGCAAATATTTTCTCACAATCTTTTGGCTGCCTTTCCATTTTGTTAATTGTTTCCTTTGCTGTGCAGAAGCTTTTTAGTTTGATGTAGTCCCAATTGCTATTTTTGCTTATGATGCCTAAACTTTTGGTGGGATATCCAAAAAATCATTGCCAAAATTAATATCAAAAACCTTTTTCCCTTATGAAAATTTATCTAGGAATTTTAAGATTTCAGTCCTTACATTTAGATCTTTAATCCGTGTTGAGTTGATTTTTGTGTAAGGTATAAGAGAAAGGTCTGGTTTCATTTTTATGCCTGTGGATTTCCAGTTTTCTTAACACCATTTATTAAAATGACAGATTTTCCCACTGCATCGTCTTAGTGGCATATCATCACCATGGTGTTTGGCCTAGTTACTAGACCTTTTTAATTTTCTCTCAGTAACTCAGTTTATCACTTGAGTTAGTTGAACCATTTCACTGCATTTTGAGGTGTCCTATAACAACTGGATGCACTCACATGAAGGAATGATGGATCCTGCCAACCATGTAAAGGCTCAAGATGATCAGGTTTGTTTAGGTCAGTCTACATCCCAAGTGCTCCCAAGACTGATACTTCCAAATGGAAAGAAAGATACATATTAAGCATATCCACTTCTGTGCAAAATATAGGGAAACAACTTTTACCAATTACATTTCCTATACATACTAAAGGAAACAAACTTAGAAATATTTGTAATATGTAAAATTATTAAAACACTATTTTATCAAAAGTTTTTCTAAAGAGATATTTTGATTCTCATCTTTCTGTGTTTAATAACCATGCCAAATTTTGCTATTTATAGTCTTTGTGGTGTTCTTTATTGTTAGATTTTTTTTTATTGTTTGGGGAAAACATTATATATTTCTATGCCTCATCTTTAACTGACTTTTTTTTGCTTCCAAGCAATGGTAACTTTTAATATTAATATTTAAAACTAAGTTGCTTGCCAGTTTTCAGATTTCCAGCAATGTTGATATAATTTGTTCCTTTTGCACAAAAATATAGTAGTAGGTGATTTTTAAAGCACATGTTGTAATATCATAATTATAAACCACTGAATCAGCCTCTTTATTTGGAAATGTAAAAGTTCCAGTACTGGGTAATAGATTTGAGCTTAAAAGCAAGTCAGTAGTGTGTGAATCATTACTTTTTAACCACCAAAAACATAAGCTATTATAAAGTGTTTAAATATTTATTTAATAGTATTTTCATGTATATGAGCTAGATAGCTACATAATGCTAAGTATGTATTTGCAGTCTTATAGAATACTGTATCACAATAATTAAACAGCAAGTTAAACAGATTTAGAAATTCAAATTAAAGCAACATTTTTCGGAATTGAAGGCATATTTACTTGCTTTTCAGAGATGTCACTGAGCTTCAAATAATCCTATAACATCTGATTAAGATGCAAGAGATGTCATTTAATCTCATAGGGATATAATGTCATGTATTGTTACAAAATTTTTATGAAGTATTTCATAGGATGCTAGTTAGTCCAATTAAAGATGGATATTTTTATGGTAATTATTTTCTAATTTTCCTCGAACTTATTTTTAAGAAAAATGGAAAATACATCTCATTTATATTTTAGTCAGTTTGGTTTACTTTAACACACAAATAAAATCAAACTTAAATCTTGAGGAAATTATAATCTTTTGCAAAGTGGAGATTTTTTTTATTAGTTATCCATTATGTAACAAATTACCCCAAACTTAGAGGTTTAACACAACAAACATTTGTTAGTTGCTGTACACTAAGAATCTTAGTATAGCTCAGCTGGCTACATCAAGCTCAAGTTCTTCTAGAAGGCTGGAATCCAAGTGTTGGTTGGGGTTGTAGTCTCATCTGAAGGACTGACTGAGGGAGGACCTATTTATATTATTCATGTGGTTGTTGTCAGGATTTGATTTCTCATGAGACTATTGGACTGATGGCCTCCCTTGCTTTCTGGTTGTTGACTGGAGAGCTTCCAAAATTTCTTGCTACAGGGACCTTACCATAAAAGAGCTTATAACATGGCAGCTGGCTCCCATCAGAGCAAACAAGCAAGAAAGCAACAAAGAGCATGCAAAATGGAAACCACAATCACTTTGTAACTCTTTCTTGGCAGTAAAACTTAATCAATTTGTTGTATTCATTAGAAGAGAGTCATTAAATCTAGTCTACAGCCCTATTGGAGGGCAATATAAAAATGTATGACTACCAAGAGGTGGGAATTATTAGAAACTGTGTTAAATGCTGTTTATTACACTTGTTTAAGACTTTCTTTGAATTTCTATGACATATAGAAAGAAGAAATTAAAATAAACCCTCATTTGTTGAAATCAGTAAATGATGTTGAAGGAACAATATTTTGTTGCTTTCAGAAAGTATATTGTTTTATTCACTCAAAGTAGATACTAAAAATAGAACTACCATATGACACAGCAATTGCACCACTGGGCATATATTCAAAAGAAAGGAAATCAGTATATTAAAGATATGTCTGCACTCCTTTGTTTGTTGCTACACTGTTTACAATAGTTAAGATTTGGAAGTAACTGAGTGTCCAAATGTGGTACATATACACATGGAGTACTATTCAGCCAAAAAATAGAATGAGATCCTGTCATTTGCAACAACATGAATGAATTTGGAATCACTATGTTAAGTGAAAAAAGCCAGGCACAGAAAGAAAAACATTGCATGTTCTTACTCATTTGTAGGATCTAAAAATAAAAAACTATTGAACTTATGGACATAGAGTAGAAAGATGGTTACCAGAGGCTGGGAAGAGTAGTGAGGGCCTCAGGGGGAGGTGGGGATTGTTAATGAGTACAAAAATAGTTAGAAAGAAAGAATAAGACCTACTATTTGATTAGGGTGACTATAGTCAATAATAATTATATGTTTAAAAATAACTGAAAGAGCTTAATAAGATTGTTTGTAACACAAATGATAAATGCTTGAGGGGATGAAGACCTCATTATCCATGATGTTATTATTTCACATTGCATGCTTGTATCAAAATATCTCATGTACCCCATAAATAAAATATGCCTATTATATACCCACAAAAATTAAAAATAAAAAAATTTAAAAATAGATACTTAAATTTTCTTTGCTTAAACCTCTTATCTATTTTTGCTTTATCCTTCTCTTTTGAGGGTATAGATTTGTGGAGGGCAGAATTTGTGTTTCTTAGATTTGTGCTATTTCCTACAAATGCGGTGCTTAATTTGCTTAAATTCCATTGAGGAGCATTTATTTATAGGTCAGAGAGACCTACAGAAGTGTTCAACTTCAACATAAACACACCTTCAAGGTCATAATGACCTGCTTTGGAACTTCTCAATGAACTATTGACCATTTTTTAGCTTTCTAAAGTGCAGAAGGTTGTATTAAGTAGACTATGTTTCAGAGTGAAGAAAGAAATATCTTTAGCTGTGATTAATATAAATTTTCTTTCTTAGAGTCCAGAAAAATAATCAGTTTTGTCTACATTTATTTATTTATTAGCTCCCAATCTTCCAGATGAACATTTATAATTTTCCCAAAAGACAAGGATACAAAGCTAGAGACTAATTTGGTTAAACAGGTGATCCATACATTTTCTTTTGTTTGATATTAGTTTTCCCATACTCCAATTTCTTTTCAGCAATCAATTGCTGAAATTTCTTTCACAAAATGATAATAATGTCCTTTTTTCTGTCATTAATGTTAGCTGTGGCCCTGTAATTATGGCAAAGATTCCCACAGCCAAGGAAGTCAACTACAAAATATAGGACCAACTAAATAAGAGCTTCATTAGATTTAGTGTATGTCTCATAGCACAGCTTTATAATTTGAATACAGAGGTTTCCAGACATTGCATTCTGTGACTTAATATCACTAAATGCTCGTCAATGTGCCTTAATCTGTCTGAAATCTTTGTAATGAGCCTAGATATACTTCCCTAGTAATTAGCACTTAGGAAGGCCAATGACTTCTTTTATTATTCATCGTTTCTTGATTTCCATTAGCACAATTAACAGCTGTTCCACCTCAAATGATGAGGATAGTTCCAAACTATTCAATAGATTTAATGAAAAAAATCATTATATTTTGTTTGACATGGATATAAAGGATTGAGATTCTTATATGTCTATTACATTTTGAGTGATCATTTAAAAAGTAGATATAAGTGGTCATGATTTCAAAATTATGATTTTTTTTGCCAATCTGAACAGATTGTAGGTAGAATAATGTTGGTAACTACACTGTCCCCTATGTATATCTTAATATAAAATTGAAATTGAGGTAATTGCCAAATACATTATTATTTCATTTTTTACTCATATAATCATATCTGCTTTATGTCTTTTTTTCCTTTACATACTCCAGGATTGTGTTTTCATGTGTTTTTCTTTCTCTATATGAGAGTTATATTATCAGACTTTCTTGATATTCTTCGAATGCTATCAGAAGTACCAGTGGGAAATTACTATTCTCTAGAATGCAATTAAGAAGCATGAATTTGTTCTCCATTCCCTTTTTTTGTCATTTAGTTTTGTATTTTCCTGGAATTATAACTTACAATGTGTCTGAACTTTATTACTCTTTTAACTCCTAACATTTAAAATTCTTCCTTGGTGAAGAAATTGGTGAATCCAATGGATTGGAGAGTCTGTTAAGAGTGAAGTTTTTTTTTTTCTGTTTTTGTTTTGTTTTGTTTTGTTTTTTGGTCAGTGTATTAGTTCATTTTCACACTGCTATAAAGATACTACCTGAGACTGGGTAGTTTATAAATAAAACAGGTTTAATTGACTCACAGTTCCACATGTCTGGGGAGGCCTCAGGAAACTTACAGTTATGGTGGTAGGCAAAGGAGAAGCAAGCACCATCTTCTTAAGGCAGCAGGAGACAGAGAGAGCACACAGGCGAAACCGCCAATTTTAAAACCATCAGATCTTGATGAGAACTCTCTCACTATCGCAGAGAATAGCATGGGGGAAACCACTCCCATGATCCAATCACTTTCCACCAGGTTCCTCCCTTGACACGTGGGGAATTACAATTTGAGATGAGATCTGGGTGGGGATACAGAGCCAAACCATATCTGTCCGCAAAGAAGTGATTAGAGAGTGAGATACTGATTACTTGGAACTGAGATTTCAGAAATTGTACAGTTACCAGTGATGACAATGGCCTTTATCAAAGGAAGTGAATACTTGAGATGGAAGCAAGGATATCCAGAAATCGAGATGTCAGGCACGTATCTCTATTGACACAGAAGTCAATGAGAAGGCTAATATGAGAGAGAAAAAAGGAGAAAATAGTAGAGCAGTTGCTAAAGTCATAAATAAATAAGGAATTACTGGGTAACTAGGAGATACAAACAATGAGAAGAGGGAGAAATTGGTATAATCTGGTGTTGTACAATGATTATACATATGGTATATATTTTTCTACAATCCTTCCCAGCAGGGGATAAACGATTAACTCTGTCATTTCCTGTGTTGTTCCAACAGGCTTTTCTCATTGTGTTACAGCCCCAGGTTTTGCTTTGTGACTATTTCAGGCATATTAAGTATGGAGTAATGCCAGAAGTTCACAGAATTAAAAGAGAGAAAAAAAAGAAATGACTTATAACAAGAATTCCACTAGGATTTGATACTTTAGTAACAAATTAAATCCTTTTTATAATTATGATTTTGATTACTAATTAACCTTTGGATCCCAAAATCTTGGCATCTCTCATTATCTGTCTATTGAAATGCCCCAAACTCACCAATTCAACTCTTCTGTGGATATTAAACATGTAAGATTAATTACCTAAAAACTCCCAAATGAAACAAACTCAATGACATTTACTGTACCATTCAGCCATTTACTCCTTTTCATCAATCTTGTAATCCTTCTTGAATCACAATTAAAACCTATAATACGTGAAGATGCTGAAAATTTCAAGCAGCATTTCTTTTCTTATTTTTTATTATTATACTTTAAGTTTTAGGGTACATGTGCACAATGTGCAGGTTAGTTACATATGTATACATGTGACATGCTGGTGCGCTGCACCCACTAACTTGTCATCTAGCATTAGGTATATCTCCCAATGCTATCCCTCCCCCCTCCCCCCACCTCACAACAGTCCCCAGAGTGTGATGTTCCCCTTCCTGTGTCCATGTGTTCTCATTGTTCAATTCCCACCTATGAGTGAGAATATGCGGTGTTTGGTTTTTTGTTCTTGCGATACTCTACTGAGAATGATGATTTCCAATTTCATCCATGTCCCTACAAAGGACATGAACTCATCATTTTTTATGGCTGCATACCATTCCATGGTGTATATGTGCCACATTTTCTTAATCCAGTCTATCATTGTTGGACATTTGGGTTGGTTCCAAGTCTTTGCTATTGTGAATAGTGCTGCAATAAACATAAGTGTGCATGTGTCTTTATAGCAACATGATTTATAGTCCTTTGGGTATATACCCAGTAATGGGATGTCTGGGTCAAATGGTATTTCAAGTTCTAGATCCCTGAGGAATCGCCACACTGACTTCCACAATGGTTGAACTAGTTGACAGTCCCACCAACAGTGTAAAAGTGTTCCTATTTCTCCACATCCTCTCCAGCACCTGTTGTTTCCTGACTTTTTAATGATTGCCATTCTAACTGGTGTGAGATGATATCTCATTGTGGTTTTGATTTGTATTTCTCTGATGGCCAGTGATGGTGAGAATTTTTTCATGTGTTTTTTGGCTGCATAAATGTCTTCTTTTGAGAAGTGTCTGTTCATGTCCTTCGCCCACTTTTTGATGGGGTTGTTTGTTTTTTTCTTGTAAATTTGTTTGAGTTCATTGTAGATTCTGGATATTAGCCCTTTGTCAGATGAGTAGGTTGCGACAATTTTCTCCCATTTTGTAGATTGCCTGTTGACTCTGATGGTAGTTTCTTTTGCTGTGCAGAAGCTCTTTAGTTTAATTAGATCCCATTTGTCAATTTTGGCTTTTGTTGCCATTGCTTTTGGTGTTTTAAACATGAAGTCCTCGCCCATGCCTATGTCCTGAATGGTAATGCCTAGGTTTTCTTCTAGGGTTTTTATGGTTTTAGGTCTAATGTTTAAGTCTTTAATACATCTTGAATTGATTTTTGTATAAGGTGTAAGGAAGGGATCCAGTTTCAGCTTTCTACATATGGCTAGCCAGGTTTCACGGCACCATTTATTAAATAGGGAATCCTTTCCCCATTGCTTGTTTTTCTCAGGTTTGTCAAAGATCAGATAGTCGTAGATATGCGGTGTTATTTCTGAAGGCTCTATTTTGTTCCATTGATCTATATCTCTGTTTTGGTACCAGTACCATGCTGTTTTGGTTACTGTAGCCTTGTAGTATAGTTTGAAGTCAGGTAGCGTGATGCCTCCAGCTTTGTTCTTTTGGCTTAGGATTGACTTGGAGATGCGGGCTCTTTTTTGGTTCCATATGAACTTTAAAGTAGTTTTTTCCAATTCTGTGAAGAAAGTCACTGGTAGCTTGATGGGGATGGCATTGAATCTATAAATTACCTTGGGCAGTATGGCCATTTTCACGATATTGATTCTTCCTACCCATGAGCATGGAATGTTCTTCCATTTGTTTGTATCCTCTTTTATTTCCTTGAGCAGTGGTTTGTAGTTCTCCTTGAAGAGGTCCTTCACATCCCTTGTAAGTTGGATTCCCGGGTATTTTATTCTCTTTGAAGCAATTGTGAATGGGAGTTCACTCATGATTTGGCTCTCTGTTTGTTATTGGTGTATAAGAATGCTTGTGATTTTTGTACATTGATTTTGTATCCTGAGACTTTGCTGAAGTTGCTTATCAGCTTAAGGAGATTTTTGGCTGAGACAATGGGGTTTTCTAGATATACAATCATGTCGTCTGTGAACAGAGACAATTTGACTTCCTTTTTTCCTAATTGAATACCCTTTATTTCCTTCTCCTGCCTAATTGCTCTGGCCAGAAGTTCCAAGACTATGCTGAATAGGAGTGGTGAGAGAGGGCATCCCTGTCTTGTTCCAGTTATCAAAGGGAATGCTTCCAGTTTTTGCCCATTCAGTATGATATTGGCTGTGGGTTTGTAATAGATAGCTCTTATGATTTTGAGATACATCCCATTAATACCTAATTTATTGAGAGTTTTTAGCATGAAGGGTTGTTGAATTTTGTCAAAGGCCTTTTCTGCATCTATTGAGATAATCATGTGGTTTTTGTCATTGGTTCTGTTTATATGCTGGATTACATTTATTGATTTGCATATATTGAACCAGCCTTGCTTCCCAGGGATGAAGCCCAGTTGATCATGATGGATAAACTTTTTGATGTGCTGCTGGATTCGGTTTGCCAGTATTTTATTGAGGATTTTTGCATCAATGTTCATCGAGGAAATTGGTCTAAAATTCTCTTTTTTGGTTGTGTCTCTGCCTGGGTTTGGTATCAGGATGATGCTGGCCTCATAAAATGAGTTAGGGAGGATTCCCTCTTTTTCTATTGATTAGAATAGTTTCAGAAGGAATGGTACCAGTTCCTCCTTGTACCTCTGGTAGAATTTGGCTGTGAATCCATCTGGTCCTGGACTCTTTTTGGGTGGTAAGCTATTGATTATTGCCACAATTTCAGCTCCTGTTATTGGTCTATTCAGAGATTCAACTTCTTCCTGGTTTAGTCTTGGGAGAGTGTATGTGTCGAGGAATTTATCCATCTCTTCTAGATTTTCTGGTTTATTTGTGTAGAGGTGTTTGTAGTATTCTCTCATGGTAGTTTGTATTTCTGTGGGATCAATGGTGATATGCCCTTTATCATTTTTTATTGTGTCTATTTGATTCTTCTCTCTTTTTTTTCTTTATTAGTCTTGCTAGCGGTCTATCAGTTTTGTTGATCCTTTCAAAACACCAGCTCCTGGATTCATTAATTTTTTGAAGGGTTTTTTGTGTCTCTATCTCCTTCAGTTCTGCTCTGCTTTTAGTTATTTCTTGCCTTCTGCTAGCTTTTGAATGTGTTTGCTCTTGCTTTTCTAGTTCTTTTAATTGTGATGTTAGGGTGTCAATTTTGGATCTTTCCTGCTTTCTCTTGTGGGCATTTAGTGCTATAAATTTCCCTCTACACACTGATTAGAATGTGTCCCAGAGATTCTGGTATGTTGTGTCTTTGTTCTCGTTGGTTTCAAAGAACATCTTTATTTCTACCTTCATTTCTGTATGTACCCAGTAGTCATTCAGGAGCAGGTTGTTCAGTTTCCATGTAGTTGTGCAGTTTTGAGTGATTTTCGTAATCCTGAGTTCTAGTTTGATTGCACTGTGGTCTGAGAGATAGTTTGTTATAATTTCTGTTCTTTTACATTTGCTGATGAGAGCTTTACTTCCAACTATGTGGTCAATTTTGGAATAGGTGTGGTGTGGTGCTGAGAAAAATGTATATTCTGTTGATTTGGGGTGGAGAGTTCTGTAGATGTCTATTAGGTCCACTCGGTGCAGAGCTGAGTTCAATTCCTGGGTATCCTTGTTGACTTTCTGTCTCCTTGATCTGTCTAATGTTCACAGTGGGGTGTTAAAGTCTCCCACTATTAGTGTGTGGGAGTCTAAGTCTCTTTGTAGGTCACTCAGGACTTGCTTTATGAATCTGGGTGCTCCTCTATTGGGTGCATATATATTTAGGATACTTAGCTCTTCTTGTTGAATTGATCCCTTTACCATTATGTGATGGCCTTCTTTTTCTCTTTTGATCTTTGTTGGTTTAAAGTCTATTTTATCAGAGACTAGGATTGCAACCCCTGCCTTTTTTTGTTTTCCATTTGCTTGGTAGATCTTCCTCCATCCTTTTATTTTGAGCCTATGTGTGTCTCTGCATGTGAGATGGGTTTCCTGAATACAACACATGGTGGGTCTTGACTCTTTATCCTGTTTGCCCGTCTGTGTCTTTTAATTGGGGCATTTAGTCCATTTACATTGAAAGTTAATATTGTTATGTGTGAATTTGAACCTGTCATTATGATGTTAGCTGGTTATTTAGCTTATTGGTTGATGCAGTTTCTTCCTAGTCTCGATGGTCTTTACATTTTGGCATGATTTTGCAGCAGCTGGTACTGGTTGTTCCTTTCCATGTTTAGTGCTTCCTTGAGGAGCTCTTTTAGGGCATGCCTGGTGGTGACAAAATCTCTCAGCATTTGCTTATCTGTAAAGTATTTTATTTCTCCTTCACTTATGAAGCTTAGTTTGGCTGGATGTGAAATTCTGGGTTGAAAATTCTTTTCTTTAAGAATGTTGAATATTGGCACCCACTCTCTTCTGGCCCCCACTCTCTTCTGGCTTGTAGAGTTTCTGCCAAGAGATCCTCTGTTAGTCTGATGGGCTTCCCTTTGTGGGTAACCCAACCTTTCTCTCTGGCTGCCCTTAACATTTTTTCCTTCATTTCAACTTTGGTGAATCTGACAATTATGTGTCTTGGAATTGGTCTTCTGGAGGAGTATCTTTGCGGTGTTCTCTGTATTTCCTGAATCTGAATGTTGGCCTGCCTTGCTAGATTGGGGAAGTTCTCCTGGATAATATCCTGCAGAGTGTTTTCCAACTTGGTTCCATTCTCCCCGTCACTTTCAGGTACACCAATCAGAAGTAGATTTGGTCTTTTCACATAGTCCCATATTTCTTGGAGGCTTTGCTTGTTTTTTTTTATTCTTTTTTCTCTAAACTTCCCTTCTCGCTTCATTTCATTCATTTCATCTTCCATCGCTGATACCCTTTCTTCCAGTTGATCGTATTGGCTCCTGAGGCTTCTGCATTCTTCACGT